>NC_000010.11:39936000-40236000 GCF_000001405.40 Homo sapiens
ATCATTCTCAACAACTACTTTGTGATGTGTGCGTTCAACTCACAGAGTTTAACCTTTCTTTTCATAGAGCAGTTTGGAAACACTCTGTTTGTAAAGCCTGCAAGTGCTTTTTTGGACTTCATTGAGGCCTTCGTTGGAAACGGGATTTCTTCATGTAATGCTAGACAGAAGAATTCTCAGTCACTTCTTTGTGTTGTGTGTATTCAAGTCACAGAGTTGAACCTTCCTTTAGACAGAGCAGTTTTGAAAAATTCTTTCTGTGGAGTTTGCAAGTGGAGATTTCAAGCGATTTGAGGCTAATCTTTGAAATGGAAATATCTTCGTGTAAAAACTACACAGAATCATTCTCAGAAACTGCTTTGTCATCTGTGCGTTCAGTTCACAGAGTTTCACCTTTCTCTTCATAGAGCAGTTTGGAAAGACTCTGTCTGTAAAGTCTGCAAGTGATTAGTTAGACCCCTTTGAGGCCTTCGTTGGAAGCAGGGATTTCTCATTTACTGCTAGACAGAAGAATTCTCAGTAAATCCTTTGTGTTGTGTGTATTCAACTCACAGAGTGGAACCTTCCTTTATTCAGAGCAGTTTTGAAAAACACTTTTTGTGGAATTTGCAAGTGGAGATTTCAAGCGATTTGACGCCAATCTTAGACATGGAAATATCTTCATATTAAAAGTACACAGAGTCATTCGTAGAAACTAGTTTGTGATGTGTGCCTTCAACTCACAGAGTTTAACCTTTCTTTTCATAGAGCAGTTTGGAAACACTCTATTTGTAAAGTCTGCAAGTGGATATTTGGACCTCTTTGAGGCCTTCGTTGGAAACGGGATTTCTTCATACAACGCTAGACAGAAGAATTCTCAGTAACTTCTTTGTGTTGTGTGTATTCAACTCACAGAGTTGAACCTTTCTTTAGAGAGAGCAGAGTTGAAACACTCTGTTTTTGGAATTTGCAACTGCAGATTTCAAGCGATTCTAGGCCTATGGCAGAAAAGGAAATATCTTCGTATAAAAACTACACAGAATCATTCTCAACAACTACTTTGTGATGTGTGCGTTCAATTCACAAAGTTTAACCTTTCTTTTCATAGAGAAGTTTGGAAACACTCTGTTTGTAAAGCCTGCAAGTGCTTTTTTGGACTTCATTGAGGCCTTCATTGGAAACGGGATTTCTTCATATAATGCTAGACAGAAGAATTCTCAGTCACTTCTTTGTGTTGTGTGTATTCAAGTCACAGAGTTGAACCTTCCTTTAGACAGAGCAGTTTTGAAAAGTTCTTTCTGTGTAATTTGCAAGTGGAGATTTCAAGCGATTTGAGGCTAATCTTTGAAATGGAAATATCTTCGTGTAAAAACTACACAGAATCATTCTCAGAAACTGCTTTGTCATCTGTGCGTTCAGTTCACAGAGTTTCACCTTTCTCTTCATAGAGCAGTTTGGAAAGACTCTGTCTGTAAAGTCTGCAAGTGATTAGTTAGACCCCTTTGAGGCCTTCGTTGGAAGCGGGATTTCTCATTTACTGCTAGACAGAAGAATTCTCAGTAAATCCTTTGTGTTGTGTGTATTCAACTCACAGAGTGGAACCTTCCTTTATTCAGAGCAGTTTTGAAAAACACTTTTTGTGGAATTTGCAAGCGGAGATTTCAAGCGATTTGACGCCAATCTTAGACATGGAAATATCTTCATATTAAAAGTACACAGAGTCATTCGTAGAAACTAGTTTGTGATGTGTGCCTTCAACTCACAGAGTTTGACCTTTCTTTTCATAGAGCAGTTTGGAAACACTCTATTTGTAAAGTCTGCAAGTGGATATTTGGACCTCTTTGAGGCCTTCGTTCGAAAAGGGATTTCTTCATACAACGCTAGACAGAAGAATTCTCAGTAACTTCTTTGTGTTGTGTGTATTCAACTCACAGAGTTGAACCTTTCTTTAGAGAGAGCAGAGTTGAAACACTCTGTTTTTGGAATTTGCAAGTGCAGATTTCAAGCGATTCTAGGCCCATGGCAGAAAAGGAAATATCTTCGTATAAAAACTACACAGAATCATTCTCAGAAAACACTTTGTGATGTGTGTGTTCAACTCACAGAGTTTAACCTTTCTTTAATCGAGCAGTTTGGAAATACACTCTTTGTAAGTCTGCAGCTGGATAATTGTCCCTCTATGAGCCCTTCGTTGGAAACGGGATTTCCTCTTATAATGCTAGACAGAAGAATTCTCAGTAACTTCTTTGTGTTGTTTGTATTCAACTCACAGATTTGAACCTTCCTTTAGAGAGAGCAGATTTGAAACACTCTGTTTTCGGAATTTGCAAGTGCAGATTACAAGCGCTTCTAGGCCTATGGCAGAAAAGGAAATATCTTCGTATAAAAACTACACAGAATCATTCTCAACAACTACTTTGTGATGTGTGCGTTCAACTCACAGAGTTTAACCTTTCTTTTCATAGAGCAGTTTGGAAACACTCTGTTTGTAAAGTCTGCAAGTGCTTATTTGGACTTCTTTGAGGCCTTCGTTGGAAACGGGATTTCTTCATGTAATGCTACACAGAAGAATTCTCAGTCACTTCTTTGTGTTGTGTGTATTCAAGTCACAGAGTTGAACCTTCCTTTAGACAGAGCAGTTTTGAAAAATTCCTTCTGTGGAGTTTGCAAGTGGAGATTTCAAGCGATTTGAGGCTAATCTTTGAAATGGAAATATCTTCGTGTAAAAACTACACAGAATCATTCTCCGAAACTGCTTTGTCATCTGTGCGTTCAGTTCACAGAGTTTCACCTTTCTCTTCATAGAGCAGTTTGGAAAGACTCTGTCTGTAAAGTCTGCAAGTGATTAGTTAGACCCCTTTGAGGCCTTCGTTGGAAGCGGGATTTCTCATTTACTGCTAGACAGAAGAATTCTCAGTAAATCCTTTGTGTTGTGTGTATTCAACTCACAGAGTGGAACCTTCCTTTATTCAGAGCAGTTTTGAAACACTCTTTTTGTGGAATTTGCAAGTGGAGATTTCAAGCGACTTCACGCCAATCTTAGACATGGAAACATCTTCGTATTAAAAGTACACAGAGTCATTCGCAGAAACTGGTTTGTGATGTGTGCCTTCAACTCACAGAGTTTAACCATTCTTTTCATACAGCAGTTTGGAAACACTCTATTTGTAAAGTCGGCAAGTGGATATTTGGACCTCTTTGAGACCTTCCTTGGAAACGGGATTTCTTCATATAACGCTAGACAGAAGAATTCTCAGTAACTTCTTTGTGTTGTGTGTATTCAACTCACAGAGTTGAACCTTTCTTGAGAGAGAGCAGATTTGAAACACTCTTTTTGTGGAATTTGCTAGTGCAGATTTCAAACGCTTGGAAGACAATGATAGAAAAGGATATATCTTCGTATTAAAACTAGACAAAATCATTCTCAGAAAACACTTTGTGATGTGTGTGTTCAACTCACAGAGTTTAACCTTTCTTTAATCGAGCAGTTTGGAAATACACTCTTTGTAAGTCTGCAGCTGGATAATTGTCCCTCTATGAGCCCTTCGTTGGAAACGGGATTTCCTCTTATAATGCTAGACAGAAGAATTCTCAGTAACTTCTTTGTGTTGTTTGTATTCAACTCACAGATTTGAACCTTCCTTTAGAGAGAGCAGATTTGAAACACTCTGTTTTTGGAATTTGCAAGTGCAGATTTCAAGCGCTTCTAGGCCTATGGCAGAAAAGGAAATATCTTCGTATAAAAACTACACAGAATCATTCTCAACAACTACTTTGTGAAGTGTGCGTTCAACTCACAGAGTTTAACCTTTCTTTTCATAGAGCAGTTTGGAAACACTCTGTTTGTAAAGCCTGCAAGTGCTTTTTTGGACTTCATTGAGGCCTTCGTTGGAAACGGGATTTCTTCATATAATGCTGGACAGAAGATTTCTCAGTCACTTCTTTGTGTTGTGTGTATTCAAGTCACAGAGTTGAACCTTCCTTTAGACAGAGCAGTTTTGAAAAATTCTTTCTGTGGTGTTTGCAAGTGGAGATTTCAAGCGATTTGAGGCTAATCTTTGAAATGGAAATATCTTCGTGTAAAAACTACACAGAATCATTCTCAGAAACTGCTTTGTCATCTGTGCGCTCAGTTCACAGAGCTTCACCTTTCTCTTCATAGAGCAGTTTGGAAAGACTCTGTCTGTAAAGTCTGCAAGTGATTAGTTAGACCCCTTTGAGGCCTTCGTTGGAAGCGGGATTTCTCATTTACTGCTAGACAGAAGAATTCTCAGTAAATCCTTTGTGTTGTGTGTATTCAACTCACAGAGTGGTACCTTCCTTTATTCAGAGCAGTTTTGAAACACTCTTTTTGTGGAATTTGCAAGAGGAGATTTCAAGCGATTTGACGCCAATCATAGACATAGAAATGTCTTCATATTAAAAGTACACAGAGTCATTCGCAGAAACTAGTTTGTGATGTGTGCCTTCAACTCACAGAGTTTAACCTTTCTTTTCATAGAGCAGTTTGGAAACACTCTATTTGTAAAGTCTGCAAGTGGATATTTGGACCTCTTTGAGGCCTTCGTTGGAAACGGGATTTCTTCATATAACGCTAGACAGAAGAATTCTCAGTAACTTCTTTGTGTTGTGTGTATTCCACTCACAGAGTTGAACCTTTCTTGAGAGAGAGCAGAGTTGAAACACTCTTTTTGTGGAATTTGCTAGTGCAGATTTCAAACGCTTCGAAGACAGTGGTAGAAAAGGATATATCTTCGTATTAAAACTAGACAAAATCATTCTCAGAAAACACTTTGTGATGTGTGTGTTCAACTCACAGAGTTTAACCTTTCTTTAATCGAGCAGTTTGGAAATACACTCTTTGTAATTCTGCAGGTGGATAATTGTCCCTCTATGAGCCCTTCGTTGGAAACGGGATTTCCTCATATAATGCTAGACAGAAGAATTCTCAGTAACTTCTTTGTGTTGTTTGTATTCAACTCACTGATTTGAACCTTCCTTTAGAGAGAGCAGATTTGAAACACTCTGTTTTTGGAATTTGCAAGTGCAGATTTCAAGTGCTTCTAGGCCTATGGCAGAAAAGGAAATATCTTCGTATAAAAACTACACAGAATCATTCTCAACAACTACTTTGTGATGTGTGCGTTCAACTCACAGAGTTTAACCTTTCTTTTCATAGAGCAGTTTGGAAACACTTTGTTTGTAAAGTCTGCAAGTGCTTATTTGGACTTCTTTGAGGCCTTCTTTGGAAACGGGAGTTCTTCATACAATGCTAGACAGAAGAATTTACAGTCACGTCTTTGTGTTGTGTGTATTCAAGTCACAGAGTTGAACCTTCCTTTACACAGAGCAGTTTTGAAAAACTCTTTCTGTGGAATTTGCAAGTGGAGATTTCAAGCGATTTGAGGCTAATCTTTGAAATGGAAATATCTTCGTGTAAAAACTACACAGAATCATTCTCAGAAACTGCTTTGTTATGTGTGCGTTCAGCTCACACGGTTCCACCTTTCTTTTCATAGGGCAGTTTGGAAAGACTCTGTCTGTGAAGTCTGCAAGTGATTACTTGGACCCCTTTGAGGACTTCGTTGGAAGCGGGATTTTTTCATTTACTGCTAGACAGAAGAATTCTCAGTAAATCCTTTGTGTTGTGTGTATTCAACTCACAGAGTGGAACCTTCCTTTATTCAGAGCACTTTTGAAACACTCTTTTTGTGGAATTTGCAAGTGGAGATTTCAAGCGAATTCACGCCAATCTTAGACATGGAAACATCTTCGTATTAAAAGTACAGAATCATTCGTAGAAACTAGTTTGTGATGTGTGCCTTCAACTCACAGAGTTTAACCTTTCTTTTCATAGAGCAGTTCGGAAACACTCTATTTGTAAAGTCTGCAAGTGGATATTTGGACCTACTTTGAGGCCATTGTTGGAAAAGGGATTTCTTCATATAACGCTAGACAGAAGAATTCTCAGTAACTTCTTTGTGTTGTGTGTATTCAACTCACAGAGTTGAACCTTTCTTGAGAGAGAGCAGAGTTGAAACACTCTGTTTGTGGAATTTGCTAGTGCAGATTTCAAACGCTTCGAAGACAGTGATAGAAAAGGATATATCTTCGTATTAAAACTAGACAAAATCATTCTCAGAAAACACTTTGTGATGTGTGTGTTCAACTCACAGAGTTTAACCTTTCTTTAATCGAGCAGTTTGGAAATACACTCTTTGTAAGTCTGCAGCTGGATAATTGTCCCTCTATGAGCCCTTCGTTGGAAACGGGATTTCCTCTTATAATGCTAGACAGAAGAATTCTCAGTAACTTCTTTGTGTTGTTTGTATTCAACTCACAGATTTGAACCTTCCTTTAGAGAGAGCAGATTTGAAACACTCTGTTTTTGGAATTTGCAAGTGCAGATTACAAGCGCTTCTAGGCCTATGGCAGAAAAGGAAATATCTTCGTATAAAAACTACACAGAATCATTCTCAACAACTACTTTGTGATGTGTGCGTTCAACTCACAGAGTTTAACCTTTCTTTTCATAGAGCAGTTTGGAAACACTCTGTTTGTAAAGTCTGCAGGTGCTTATTTGGACTTCTTTGAGGCCTCCGTTGGAAACGGGATTTCTTCATATAATGCTAGACAGAAGAATTCTCAGTCACTTCTTTGTGTTGTGTGTATTCAAGTCACAGAGTTGAACCTTCCTTTACACAGAGCAGTTTTGAAAAACTCTTTCTGTGGAATTTGCAAGTGGAGATTTCAAGCGATTTGAGGCTAATCTTTGAAATGGAAATAGCTTCGTGTAAAAACTACACAGAATCATTCTCAGAAACTGCTTTGTTATCTGTGCGTTCAGTTCACAGAGTTTCACCTTTCTCTTCATAGAGCAGTTTGGAAAGACTCTGTCTGTAAAGTCTGCAAGTGATTAGTTGGACACATTTGAGGCCTTCGTAGGAAGCGGGATTACTCATTTACTGCTAGACAGAAGAATTCTCAGTAAATCCTTTGTGTTGTGTGTATTCAACTCACAGAGTGGAACCTTCCTTTATTCAGAGCACTTTTGAAACACTCTTTTTGTGGAATTTGCAAGTGGAGATTTCAAGCGAATTCACGCCAATCTTAGACATGGAAACATCTTCGTATTAAAAGTACACAGAGTCATTCGCAGAAACTAGTTTGTGATGTGTGCCTTCAACTCACGGAGTTTAACCTTTCTTTTCATAGAGCAGTTTGGAAACACTCTATCTGTAAAGTCTGCAAGTGGATATTTGGACCTCTTTGAGGCCTTCGTTGGAAACGGGATTTCTTCATATAACGCTAGACAGAAGAATTCTCAGTAACTTCTTTGTGTTGTGTGTATTCAACTCACAGAGTTGAACCTTTCTTGAGAGAGAGCAGAGTTGAAACACTCTTTCTGTGGAATTTGCTAGTGCAGATTTCAAACGCTTCGAAGACAGTGATAGAAAAGGATATATCTTCGTATTGAAACTAGACAAAATCATTCTCAAGAACTACTTTGTGACATGTGCGTTCAACTCACAGATTTTAACCTTTCTTTTAATCGAGCAGTTTGGAAACACTCTGGTTGTAAAGTCTGCAAGTGCATATTTGGACTTCTTTGAGGCCTTCGTTGGAAACGGGATTTCTTCATATAGTGCTAGACAGAAGAATTCTCAGTCACTTCTTTGTGTTGTGTGTATTCAAGTCACAGAGTTGAACCTTCATTTAGACAGAGCAGTTTTGAAAAACTATTTCTGTGGAATTTGCAAGTGGAGATTACATGCGATTTAAGGCCAATCTTTGAAATGGAAATATCTCCGTGTAAAAACTAGACAGAATCATTCTCAGAAACTACTTTGTGATGTGTGCGTTGAACTCACAGGGTTTAACCTTTCTTTTCATAGAGCAGTTTGGAAACACTCTGGTTGTAAAGTCTGCAAGTGCATATTTGGACTTCTTTGAGGCCTTCGTTGGCAATGGGATTTCTTCATATAATGCTAGACAGAAGAATTCTCAGTCACTTCTTTGTGTTGTGTGTATTCAAGTAACAGAGTTGAACCTTCCTTTACACAGAGCAGTTTTGAAAAACTCTTTCTGTGGAATTTGCAAGTGGAGATTTCAAGCGATTTGAGGCTAATCTTTGAAATGGAAATAGCTTCGTGTAAAAACTACACAGAGTCATTCGTAGAAACTAGTTTGTGATGTGTGCCTTCAACTCACAGAGTTTAACCTTTCTTTTCATAGAGCAGTTTGGAAACACTCTATTTGTAAAGTCTGCAAGTGGATATTTGGACCTCTTTGAGGCCTTCATTCGAAAAGGGATTTCTTCATACAACGCTAGACAGAAGAATTCTCAGTAACTTCTTTGTGTTGTGTGTATTCAACTCACAGAGTGGAACCTTCCTTTATTGAGAGCAGTTTTGAAACACTCTTTTTGTGGAATTTGCAAGTGGAGATTTCAAGCGAATTCACGCCAATCTTAGACGTGGAAATATCTTCGTATTAAAAGTACACAGAGTCATTCGCAGAAACTAGTTTGTGATGTGTGGCTTCAACTCACAGTGTTTAACCTTTCTTTTCATAGAGCAGTTTGGAAACGCTCTACTTGTAAAGTCTGCAAGTGGATATTTGGACCTCATTGAGGCCTTCGTTGGAAACGGGATTTCTTCATATAACACTAGACAGAAGAATTCTCAGTAACTTCTTTGTGTTGTTTGTATTCAACGCACAGATTTGAACCTTCCTTTAGAGAGAGCAGATTTGAAACACTCTGTTTTTGGAATTTGCAAGTACAGATTTCAAGCGCTTCTTGGCCTATGGCAGAAAAGGAAATATCTTCGTATAAAAACTACACAGAATCATTCTCAGAAAACACTTTGTGATGTGTGTGTTCAACTCACAGAGTTTAACCTTTCTTTAATCGAGCAGTTTGGAAATACACTCTTTGTAAGTCTGCAGCTGGATAATTGTCCCTCTATGAGCCCTTCGTTGGAAACAGGATTTCCTCTTATAATGCTAGACAGAAGAATTCTCAGTAACTTCTTTGTGTTGTTTGTATTCAACTCACAGATTTGAACCTTCCTTTAGAGAGAGCAGATTTGAAACACTCTGTTTTTGGAATTTGCAAGTGCAGATTACAAGCGCTTCTAGGCCTGTGGCAGAAAAGGAAATATCTTCGTATAAAAACTACACAGAATCATTCTCAACAACTACTTTGTGATGTGTGCGTTCAACTCACAGAGTTTAACCTTTCTTTTCATAGAGCAGTTTGGAAACACTCTGTTTGTAAAGTCTGCAGGTGCTTATCTGGACTTCTTTGAGGCCTTCGTTGGAAACGGGATTTCTTCATGTAATGCTAGACAGAAGAATTCTCAGTCACTTCTTTGTGTTGTGTGTATTCAAGTCACAGAGTTGAACCTTCCTTTACACAGAGCAGTTTTGAAAAACTCTTTCTGTGGAATTTGCAAGTGGAGATTTCAAGCGATTTGAGGCTAATCTTTGAAATGGAAATAGCTTCGTGTAAAAACTACACAGAATCATTCTCAGAAACTGCTTTGTTATGTGTGCGTTCAGCTCACAGAGTTCCACCTTTCTTTTCATAGAGGAGTTTGGAAAGACTCTGTCTGTAAAGTCTGCAAGTGATTACTTGGACCCCTTTGAGGACTTCGTTGGAAGCGGGATTTTTTCATTTACTGCTAGACAGAAGAATTCTCAGTAAATCATTTGTGTTGCGTTGATTCAACTCACAGAGTGGAACCTTCCTTTATTCAGAGCAGTTTTGAAACACTCTTTTTGTGGAATTTGCAAGTGGAGATTTCAAGCAATTTGACGCCAATCTTAGACATGGAAATATCTTCATATTAAAAGTACACAGAGTCATTCGCAGAAACTAGTTTGTGATGTGTGCGTTCAACTCACAGAGTTTAACCTTTCTTTTCATAGAGCAGTTTGGAAACACTCTGTTTGTAAAGTCTGCAGGTGCTTATTTGGACTTCTTTGAGGCCTTCCTTGGAAACGGGATTTCTTCATATAATGCTAGACAGAAGAATTCTCAGTCACTTCTTTGTGTTGTTTGTATTGAAGTCACAGAGTTGAACCTTCCTTTAGATAGAGCAGTTTTGAAAAACTCTTTCTGTGGAATTTGCAAGTGGAGATTTCAAGCGATTTGAGGCTAATCTTTGAAATGGAAATATCTTCGTGTAAAAACTACACAGAATCACTCTCAGAAACTGCTTTGTTATGTGTGCGTTCAACTCACAGAGTTTCACCTTTCTTTTCATAGAGCAGTTTGGAAAGACTCTGTCTGTAAAGTCTGCAAGTGAATACTTGGACCCCTTTGAGGCCTTCGTTGGAACCGGGATTTTTTCACTTACTGCTAGACAGAAGAATTCTCAGTAAATCCTTTGTGTTGTGTGTATTCAACTCACAGAGTGGAACCTTCCTTTATTCAGAGCAGTTTTGAAACACTCTTTTTGTGGAATTTGCAAGTGGAGATTTCAAGCGAATTCACGCCAATACTTAGACATGGAAACATCTTCGTATTAAAAGTACACAGAGTCATTCGCAGAAACTAGTTTGTGATGTGTGCCTTCAACTCACAGAGTTTAACCTTTCTTTTCATAGAGCAGTTTGGAAACACTCTATTTGTAAAGTCTGCAAGTGGATATTTGGACCTCTTTGAGGCCTTCGTTGGAAACGGGATTTCTTCATATAACGCTAGACAGAAGAATTCTCAGTAACTTCTTTGTGATGTGTGTATCCAACTCACAGGGTTGAACCTTTCTTTAGAGAGAGCAGATTTGATACACTCTTTTTCTGTAATTTGGTAGTGCAGATTTCAAACGCTTCGAAGACAATGATAGAAAAGGATATATCTTCGTATTAAAACTAGACAAAATCATTCTCAGAAAACACTTTGTGATGTGTGTGTTCAACTCACAGAGTTTAACCTTTCTTTAATCGAGCAGTTTGGAAATACACTCTTTGTAAGTCTGCAGCTGGATAATTGTCCCTCTATGAGCCCTTCGTTGGAAACGGGATTTCCTCTTATAATGCTAGACAGAAGAATTCTCAGTAACTTCTTTGTGTTGTTTGTATTCAACTCACAGATTTGAACCTTCCTTTGGAGAGAGCAGATTTGAAACACTCTGTTTTTGGAATTTGCAAGTGCAGATTGCAAGCGCTTCTAGGCCTATGGCAGAAAAGGAAATATCTTCGTATAAAAACTACACAGAATCATTCTCAACAACTACTTTGTGATGTGTGCGTTCAACTCACAGAGTTTAACCTTTCGTTTCATAGAGCAGTTTGGAAACACTCTGTTTGTAAAATCTGCAGGTGCTTATTTGGACTTCTTTGAGGCCTTCGTTGGAAACGGGATTTCTTCATATAATGCTAGACAGTAGCATTCTCAGTCACTTCTTTGTGTTGTGTGTATTCAAGTCACAGAGTTGAACCTTCCTTTAGACAGAGCAGTTTTGAAAAACTCTTTCTGTGGAATTTGCAAGTGGAGATTTCAAGCGATTTGAGGCTAATCTTTGAAATGGAAATATCTTCATGTAAAAACTACACAGAACCATTCTCAGAAACTGCTTTGTTATCTGTGCGTTCAGTTCACAGAGTTTCACCTTTCTCTTCATAGAGCAGTTTGGAAAGACCCTGTCTGTAAAGTCTGCAAGTGATTAGTTAGACCCCTTTGAGGCCTTCGTTGGAAGCGGGATTTCTCATTTACTGCTAGACAGAAGAATTCTCAGTAAATCCTTTGTGTTGTGTGTATTCAACTCACAGAGTGGAACCTTCCTTTATTCAGAGCAGTTTTGAAACACTCTTTTTGTGGAATTTGCAAGTGGAGATTTCAAGCGAATTCACGCCCATCTTAGACATGGAAACATCTTCGTATTAAAAGTACACAGAGTCATTCGCAGAAACTAGTTTGTGATGTGTGCCTTCAACTCACGGAGTTTAACCTTTCTTTTCATAGAGCAGTTTGGAAACACTCTATTTGTAAGTCTGCAAGTGGATATTTGGACCTCTTTGAGGCCTTCGTTGGAAACGGGATTTCTTCATATAACGCTAGACAGAAGAATTCTCAGTAACTTCTTTGTGTTGTGTGTATTCCACTCACAGAGTTGAACCTTTCTTGAGAGAGAGCAGAGTTGAAACACTCTGTTTGTGGAATTTGCTAGTGCAGATTTCAAACGCTTCAAAGACAGTGATAGAAAAGGATATATCTTCGTATTAAAACTAGACAAAGTCATTCGCAGAAACTAGTTTGTGATGTGTGCCTTCAACTCACAGTGTTTAACCTTTCTTTTCATAGAGCAGTTTGGAAACACTCTATTTGTAAAGTCTGCAAGTGGATATTTGGACTTCTTTGACGCCTTCGTTGGAAACGGGATTTCTTCTTATAACGCTACACAGAAGAATTCACAGTAACTTCTTTGTGTTGTGTGTATTCAACTCACAGAGTTGAACCTTTCTTTAGAGAGAGCAGATTTGAAACACTCTTTTTGTGGAATTTGCTAGTGCAGATATCAAAGGCTTCGAAGATAGTGATAGAAAAGGATATATCTTCATATTAAAACTAGACAAAATCATTCTCAGAAAACACTTTGTGATGTGTGTGTTCAACTCACAGAGTTTAACCTTTCTTTAATGGAGCAGTTTGGAAATACACTCTTTGTAAATGTGAAAGTCGAGAATTGTCCCTCTTTGAGCCCTTCGTTGGAAAAGGGATTTCCTCATATAATGCTAGACAGAAGAATTCTCAGTCACTTCTTTGTGTTGTGTGTATTCAAGTCACAGAGTTGAACCTTCCTTTACACAGAGCAGTTTTGAAAAACTCTTTCTGTGGAATTTGCAAGTGGAGATTTCAAGCGATTTGAGGCTAATCTTTGAAATGGAAATAGCTTCGTGTAAAAACTACACAGAATCATTCTCAGAAACTGCTTTGTTATGTGTGCGTTCAACTCACAGAGTTTCACCTTTCTTTTCATACAGCAGTTTGGAAAGACTCTGTCTGTAAAGTCTGCAAGTCAATACTTGGATTCCTTGGAGGCCTTCGTTGGAAGCTTGATTTTTTCACTTACTGCTAGACAGAAGAATCCTCAGTAAATCCTTTGTGTTGTGTGTATTCAACTCACAGAGTTGAACCTTCCTTTATTCAGAGCAGTTTGGAAACACTCTTTGTGGAATTTGCCAGTGGAGATTTCAAGCGATTTGACGCCAATCTTAGACATGGAAATATCTTCGTATTAAAACTACACAGAGTCATTCGTAGAAACTAGTTTGTGATGTGTGCCTTCAACTCACAGAGTTTAACCTTTATTTTCATAGAGCAGTTGGGAAACACTCTATTTGTAAAGTCTGCAAGTGGATATTTGGACCTCTTTGAGGCCTTCGTTGGAAACGGGATTTCTTCATATAACGCTAGACAGAAGAATTCTCAGTAACTTCTTTGTGTTGCGTGTATTCAACTCACCGAGTTGAACCTTTCTTTAGAGATAGCAGAGTTGAAACACTCTTCTTGTGGAATTTGCTAGTGTAGATTTCAAACGCTTCGAAGACAGTGATAGAAAAGGATATATCTTCGTATTAAAACTAGACAAAATCATTCTCAGTAAAACACTTTGTGATGTGTGTGTTCAACTCACAGAGTTTAACCTTTCTTTAATCGAGCAGTTTGGAAATACACTCTTTGTAAGTCTGCAGCTGGATAATTGTCCCTCTAGGAGCCCTTCGTTGGAAACGGGATTTCCTCTTATAATGCTAGACAGAAGAATTCTCAGTAACTTCTTTGTGTTGTTTGTATTCAACTCACAGATTTGAACCTTCCTTTGGAGAGAGCAGATTTGAAACACTCTGTTTTTGGAATTTGCAAGTGCAGATTACAAGCGCTTCTAGGCCTATGGCAGAAAAGGAAATATCTTCGTATAAAAACTACACAGAATCATTCTCAACAACTACTTTGTGATGTGTGCGTTCAACTCACAGAGTTTAACCTTTCTTTTCATAGAGCAGTTTGGAAACACTCTGTTTGTAAAGTCTGCAGGTGCTTATTTGGACTTCTTTGAGGCCTTCGTTGGAAACGGGATTTCTTCATGTAATGCTAGACAGAAGAATTCTCAGTCACTTCTTTGTGTTGTGTGTATTCAAGTCACAGAGTTGAACCTTCCTTTAGACAGAGCAGTTTTGAAAAATTCTTTCTGTGGAATTTACAAGTGGAGATTTCAAGCGATTTGAGGCTAATCTTTGAATTGGAAATATCTTCGTGTAAAAACTACACAGAATCATTGTCAGAAACTGCTTTGTTATGTGTGCGTTCAGCTCACAGAGTTCCACCTTTCTTTTCATAGAGCAGTTTGGAAAGACTCTGTCTGTAAAGTCTGCAAGTGATTACTTGGACCCCTTTGAGGACTTCGTTGGAAGCGGGATTTTTTCATTTACTGCTAGACAGAAGAATTCTCAGTGAATCCTTTGTGTTGTGTGTATTCAACTCACAGAGTGGAACCTTCCTTTATTCAGAGCAGTTTTGAAACACTCTTTTTGTGGAATTTGCAAGTGGAGATTTCAAGCGAATTCACGCCAATCTTAGACATGGAAACATCTTCGTATTAAAAGTACACAGAGTCATTCGCAGAAACTAGTTTGTGATGTGTGCCTTCAACTCACAGAGTTTAACCTTTCTTTTCATAGAGCAGTTTGGAAACACTCTATTTGTAAAGTCTGCAAGTGGATATTTGGACCTCTTTGAGGCCTTCGTTGGAAACGGGATTTCTTCATATAACGCTAGACAGAAGAATTCTCAGTAACTTCTTTTTGTTGTGTGTATTCAACTCACAGAGTTGAATCTTTCTTGAGAGAGAGCAGAGTTGAAACACTCTTTTTGTGGAATTTGCTAGTGCAGATTTCAAACGCTTCGAAGATAGTGATAGA
The DNA here is from genome assembly GCF_000001405.40 of Homo sapiens. Taxonomy (NCBI): domain Eukaryota; kingdom Metazoa; phylum Chordata; class Mammalia; order Primates; family Hominidae; genus Homo; species Homo sapiens. Next base: position 39,950,905 of record NC_000010.11, read on the forward strand.
AAAGGATATATCTTCGTATTAAAACTAGAAAAAATCATTCTCAGAAAACACTTTGTGATGTGTGTGTTCAACTCACAGAGTTTAACCTTTCTTTAATCGAGCAGTTTGGAAATACACTCTTTGTAAGTCTGCAGCTGGATAATTGTCCCTACTATGAGCCCTTCGTTGGAAACGGGATTTCCTCATATAATGCTAGACAGAAGAATTCTCAGTAACTTCTTTGTGTTGTTTGTATTCAACTCACAGATTTGAACCTTCCTTTAGAGAGAGCAGATTTGAAACACTCTGGTTTCGGAATTTGCAAGTGCAGATTACAAGCGCTTCTAGGCCTATGGCAGAAAAGGAAATATCTTCGTATAAAAACTACACAGAATCATTCTCAACAACTACTTTGTGATGTGTGCGTTCAACTCACAGAGTTTAACCTTTCTTTTCATAGAGCAGTTTGGAAACACTCTGTTTGTAAAGCCTGCAAGTGCTTTTTTGGACTTCATTGAGGCCTCCGTTGGAAACGGGATTTCTTCATATAATGCTAGACAGAAGAATTCACAGTCACTTCCTTGTGTTGTGTTTATTCAAGTCACAGAGTTGAACCTTCCTTTAGACACAGCAGTTTTGAAAAACTCTTTCTGTGGAATTTGCAAGTGGAGATTTCAAGCGATTTGAGGCTAATCTTTGAAATGGAAATATCTTCGTGTAAAAACTACACAGAATCATTGTCAGAAACTGCTTTGTTATGTGTGCGTTCAGCTCACAGAGTTCCACCTTTCTTTTCATAGAGCAGTTTGGAAAGACTCTGTAAAGTCTGCAAGTGATTACTTGGACCCCTTTGAGGACTTCATTGGAAGCGGGATTTTTTCATTTACTGCTAGACAGAAGAATTCTCAGTAAATCCTTCGTGTTGTGTGTATTCAACTCACAGAGTGGAACCTTCCTTTATTCAGAGCAGTTTTGAAACACTCTTTTTGTGGAATTTGCAAGTGCAGATTTCAAGCGAATTCACGCCAATCTTAGACATGGAAACATCTTCGTATTAAAAGTACACAGAGTCATTCGCAGAAACTAGTTTGTGATGTGTGCCTTCAACTCACAGAGTTTAACCTTTCTTTTCATAGAGCAGTTTGGAAACACTCTATTTGTAAAGTCTGCAAGTGGATATTTGGACCTCTTTGAGGCCTTCGTTGGAAACGGGATTTCTTCATATAACGCTAGACAGAAGAATTCTCAGTAACTTCTTTGTGTTGTGTGTATTCCACTCACAGAGTTGAACCTTTCTTGAGAGAGAGCAGAGTTGAAACACTCTTTCTGTGGAATTTGCTAGTGCAGATTTCAAACGCTTCGAAGACAGTGATAGAAAAGGATATATCTTCGTATTAAAACTAGACAAAATCATTCTCAGAAAACACTTTGTGATGTGTGTGTTCAACTCACAGAGTTTAACCTTTCTTTAATCGAGCAGTTTGGAAATACACTCTTTGTAAGTCTGCAGCTGGATAATTGTCCCTCTATGAGCCCTTCGTTGGAAACGGGATTTCCTCATATAATGCTAGACAGAAGAATTCTCAGTAACTTCTTTGTGTTGTTTGTATTCAACTCACAGATTTGAACCTTCCTTTGGAGAGAGCAGATTTGAAACACTCTGTTTTTGGAATTTGCAAGTGCAGATTGCAAGCGCTTCTAGGCCTATGGCAGAAAAGGAAATATGTTCGTATAAAAACTACACAGAATCATTCTCAACAACTACTTTGTGATGTGTGCGTTCAGCTCACAGAGTTTAACCTTTCTTTTCATAGAGCAGTTTGGAAACACTCTGTTTGTAAAGTCTGCAGGTGCTTATTTGGACTTCTTTGAGGCCTTCGTTGGAAACGGGATTTCTTCATATAATGCTAGACAGAAGAATTCTCAGTCACTTCTTTGTGTTGTGTGTATTCAAGTCACAGAGTTGAACCTTCCTTTACACAGAGCAGTTTTGAAAAACTCTTTCTGTGGAATTTGCAAGTGGAGATTACAAGCTATTTGAGGCTAATCTTTGAAATGGAAATATCTTCGTGTAAAAACTACACAGAATCATTCTCAGAAACTGCTTTCTTATGTGTGCGTTCAGCTCACAGAGTTCCACCTTTCTTTTCATAGAGCAGTTTGGAAAGACTCTGTCTGTAAAGTCTGCAAGTGATTACTTGGACCCCTTTGAGGACTTCGCTGGAAGCGGGATTTTTTCATTTACTGCTAGACAGAAGAATTCTCAGTAAATCCTTTGTGTTGTGTGTATTCAACTCACAGAGTGGAACCTTCCTTTATTCAGAGCAGTTTTGAAACACTCTTTTTGTGGAATTTGCAAGTGGAGATTTCAAGTGATTTGACGCCAATCTTAGACATGGAAATATCTTCATATTAAAAGTACACAGAGTCATTCGCAGAAACTAGTTTGTGATGTGTGCCTTCAACTCACAGAGTTTAACCTTTCTTTTCATAGAGCAGTTTGGAAACACTCTATTTGTAAAGTCTGCAAGTGGATATTTGGACCTCTTTGAGGCCTTCGTTGGAAACGGGATTTCTTCATATAACGCTAGACAGAAGAATTCTCAGTAACTTCTTTGTGTTGTGTGTATTCCACTCACAGAGTTGAACCTTTCTTGAGAGAGAGCAGAGTTGAAACACTCTGTTTGTGGAATTTGCTATTGCCGATTTCAAACGCTTCGAAGACAGTGATAGAAAAGGATATATCTTCGTATTAAAACTAGACAAAATCATTCTCAGAAAACTCTTTGTGATGTGTGTGTTCAACTCACAGAGTTTAACCTTTCTTTAATCGAGCAGTTTGGAAATACACTCTTTGTAAGTCTGCAGGTGGATATTTGGCCCTCTTTGAGCCCTTCGTTGGAAACGGGATTTCCTCATATAATGCTAGACAGAAGAATTCTAAGTAACTTCTTTGTGTTGTTTGTATTCAACACACAGATTTGAACCTTCCTTTAGAGAGAGCAGATTTGAAACACTCTGTTTTTGGAATTTGCAAGTGCAGATTTCAAGCGCTTCTAGGCCTATGGCAGAAAAGGAAATATCTTCGTATAAAAACTACACAGAATCATTCTCAACAGCTACTTTGTGATGTGTGCGTTCAACTCACAGAGTTTAACCTTTCTTTTCATAGAGCAGTTTGGAAACACTCTGTTTGTAAAGCCTGCAAGTGCTTTTTTGGACTTCATTGAGGCCTTCGTTGGAAACGGGATTTCTTCATATAATGCTAGACAGAAGAATTCTCAGTCACTTCTTTGTGTTGTGTGTATTCAAGTCACAGAGTTGAACCTTCCTTTAGACAGAGCAGTTTTGAAAAATTCTTTCTGTGGAGTTTGCAAGTGGAGATTTCAAGCGATTTGAGGCTAATCTTTGAAATGGAAATATCTTCGTGTAAAAACTACACAGAATCATTCTCCGAAACTGCTTTGTCATCTGTGCGTTCAGTTCACAGAGTTTCACCTTTCTCTTCATAGAGCAGTTTGGAAAGACTCTGTCTGTAAAGTCTGCAAGTGATTAGTTAGACCCCTTTGAGGCCTTCGTTGGAAGCGGGATTTCTCCTTTACTGCTAGACAGAAGAATTCTCAGTAAATCCTTTGTGTTGTGTGTATTCAACTCACAGAGTGGAACCTTCCTTTATTCAGAGCAGTTTTGAAACACTCTTTTTGTGGAATTTGCAAGTGGAGATTTCAAGCGATTTGACGCCAATCTTAGACATGGAAATATCTTCATATTAAAAGTACACAGAGTCATTCGTAGAAACTAGTTTGTGATGTGTGCCTTCAACTCACAGAGTTTAACCTTTCTTTTCATAGAGCAGTTGGGAAACACTCTATTTGTAAAGTCTGCAAGTGGATATTTGGACCTCTTTGAGGCCTTCGTTGGAAACGGGATTTCTTCATATAACGCTAGACAGAAGAATTCTCAGTAACTTCTTTGTGTTGTGTGTATTCAACTCACAGAGTTGAACCTTTCTTTAGAGGGAGCAGAGGTGAAACACTCTTTTTGTGGAATTTGCTAGTGTAGATTTCAAACGCTTCGAAGACAGTGATAGAAAAGGATATATCTTCGTATTAAAAGTAGACAAAATCATTCTCAGAAAACACTTTGTGATGTGTGTGTTCAACTCACAGAGTTTAACCTTTCTTTAATCGAGCAGTTTGGAAATACACTCTTTGTAAGTCTGCAGCTGGATAATTGTCCCTCTATGAGCCCTTCGTTGGAAACAGGATTTCCTCTTATAATGCTAGACAGAAGAATTCTCAGTAACTTCTTTGTGTTGTTTGTATTCAACTCACAGATTTGAACCTTCCTTTAGAGAGAGCAGATTTGAAACACTCTGTTTTTGGAATTTGCAAGTGCAGATTACAAGCGCTTCTAGGCCTATGGCAGAAAAGGAAATATCTTCGTATAAAAACTACACAGAATCATTCTCAACAACTACTTTGTGATGTGTGCGTTCAACTCACAGAGTTTAACCTTTCTTTTCATAGAGCAGTTTGGAAACACTCTGTTTGTAAAGTCTGCAGGTGCTTATTTGGACTTCTTTGAGGCCTTCGTTGGAAACGGGATTTCTTCATGTAATGCTAGACAGAAGAATTCTCAGTCACTTCTTTGTGTTGTGTGTATTCAAGTCACAGAGTTGAACCTTCCTTTACACAGAGCAGTTTTGAAAAACTCTTTCTGTGGAATTTGCAAGTGGAGATTTCAAGCGATTTGAGGCTAATCTTTGAAATGGAAATAGCTTCGTGTAAAAACTACACAGAATCATTCTCAGAAACTGCTTTGTTATGTGTGCGTTCAGCTCACAGAGTTCCACCTTTCTTTTCATAGAGCAGTTTGGAAAGACTCTGTCTGTAAAGTCTGCAAGTGATTACTTGGACCCCTTTGAGGACTTCGTTGGAAGCGGGATTTTTTCATTTACTGCTAGACAGAAGAATTCTCAGTAACTTCTTTGTGTTGTTTGTATTCAACTCACTGATTTGAACCTTCCTTTATTCACAGCACTTTTGAAAAACACTTTTTGTGGAATTTGCAAGTGGAGATTTCAAGCGATTTGACGCCAATCTTAGACATGGAAATGTCTTCATATTAAAAGTACACAGAGTCATTCGTAGAAACTAGTTTGTGATGTGTGCCTTCAACTCACAGAGTTTAACCTTTCTTTCCATAGAGCAGTTGGGAAACAGTCTATTTGTAAAGTCTGCAAGTGGATATTTGGACCTCTTTGAGGCCTTCGTTGGAAACGCGATTTCTTCATACAACGCTAGACAGAAGAATTCTCAGTAACTTCTTTGTGTTGTGTGTATTCAACTCACAGAGTTGAACCTTTCTTGAGAGAGAGCAGAGTTGAAACACTCTGTTTGTGGAATTTGCTAGTGCAGATTTCAAACGCTTCGAAGACAGTGATAGAAAAGGATATATCTTCGTATTAAAACTAGACAAAATCATTCTCAGAAAACACTTTGTGATGTGTGTGTTCAACTCACAGAGTTTAACCTTTCTTTAATCGAGCAGTTTGGAAATACACTCTTTGTAAGTCTGCAGCTGGATAATTGTCCCTCTATGAGCCCTTCGTTGGAAACGGGATTTCCTCTTATAATGCTAGACAGAAGAATTCTCAGTAACTTCTTTGTGTTGTTTGTATTCAACTCACAGATTTGAACCTTCCTTTAGAGAGAGCAGATTTGAAACACTCTGTTTTTGGAATTTGCAAGTGCAGATTACAAGCGCTTCTAGGCCTATGGCAGAAAAGGAAATATCTTCGTATAAAAACTACACAGAATCATTCTCAACAACTACTTTGTGATGTGTGCATTCAACTCACAGAGTTTAACCTTTCTTTTCATAGAGCAGTTTGGAAACACTCCGTTTGTAAAGTCTGCAGGTGCTTATTTGGACTTTCTTTGAGGCCTTCGTTGGAAACGGGATTTCTTCATATAATGCTAGACAGAAGAATTCTCAGTCACTTCTTTGTGTTGTGAGTATTCAAGTCACAGAGTTGAACCTTCCTTTAGACAGAGCAGTTTTGAAAAATTCTTTCTGTGGAGTTTGCAAGTGGAGATTTCAAGCGATTTGAGGCTAATCTTTGAAATGGAAATATCTTCGTGTAAAAACTACACAGAATCATTCTCAGAAACTGCTTTGTTATGTGTGCGTTCAGCTCACAGAGTTCCACCTTTCTTTTCATAGAACAGTTTGGAAAGACTCTGTCTGTAAAGTCTGCAAAGTGATTACTTGGACCCCTTTGAGGACTTCGTTGGAAGCGGGATTTTTTCATTTACTGCTAGACAGAAGAATTCTCAGTAAATCCTTTGTGTTGTGTGTATTCAACTCACAGAGTGGAACCTTCCTTTATTCAGAGCAGTTTTGAAACACTCTTTTTGTGGAAATTGCAAGTGGAGATTTCAAGCGAATTCACGCCAATCTTAGACATGGAAACATCTTCGTATTAAAAGTACACAGAGTCATTCGCAGAAACTGGTTTGTGATGTGTGCCTTCAACTCACAGAGTTTAACCATTCTTTTCATACAGCAGTTTGGAAACACTCTATTTGTAAAGTCGGCAAGTGGATATTTGGACCTCTTTGAGGCCTTCCTTGGAAACGGGATTTGTTCATATAACGCTAGACAGAAGAATTCTCAGTAACTTCTTTGTGTTGTGTGTATTCCACTCACAGAGTTGAACCTTTCTTGAGAGAGAGCAGAGTTGAAACACTCTTTCTGTGGAATTTGCTAGTGCAGATTTCAAACGCTTCGAAGACAGTGATAGAAAAGGATATATCTTCGTATTAAAACTAGACAAAATCATTCTCAGAAAACACTTTGTGATGTGTGTGTTCAACTCACAGAGTTTAACCTTTCTTTAATCGAGCAGTTTGGAAATACACTCTTTGTAAGTCTGCAGCTGGATAATTGTCCCTCTAGGAGCCCTTCGTTGGAAACGGGATTTCCTCTTATAATGCTAGACAGAAGAATTCTCAGTAACTTCTTTGTGTTGTTTGTATTCAACTCACAGATTTGAACCTTCCTTTAGAGAGAGCAGATTTGAAACACTCTGTTTTTGGAATTTGCAAGTGCAGATTACAAGCGCTTCTAGGCCTATGGCAGAAAAGGAAATATCTTCGTATAAAAACTACACAGAATCATTCTCAACAACTACTTTGTGATGTGTGCGTTCAACTCACAAAGTTTAACCTTTCTTTTCATAGAGAAGTTTGGAAACACTCTGTTTGTAAAGTCTGCAAGTGCTTTTTTGGACTTCATTGAGGCCTTCGTTGGAAACGGGATTTCTTCATATAATGCAAGACAGAAGAATTCTCAGTCACTTCTTTGTGTTGTGTGTATTCAAGTCACAGAGTTGAACCTTCCTTTAGACAGAGCAGTTTTGAAAAATTCTTTCTGTGGAGTTTGCAAGTGGAGATTTCAAGCGATTTGAGGCTAATCTTTGAAATGGAAATATCTTCGTGTAAAAACTACACAGAATCTTTCTCAGAAACTGCTTTGTTATGTGTGCGTTCAGCTCACAGAGTTCCACCTTTCTTTTCATAGAGCAGTTTGGAAAGACTCTGTCTGTAAAGTCTGCAAGTGATTACTTGGACCCCTTTGAGGACTTCGTTGGAAGCGGGATTTTTTCATTTACTGCTAGACAGAAGAATACTCAGTAAATCCTTTGTGTTGTTTGTATTCAACTCACAGAGTTTAAACTTCCTTTATTCAGAGAAGTTTTGAAAAACACTTTTTGTGGAATTTGCAAGTGGAGATTTCAAGCGATTTGACGCCAATCTTAGACTGGGAAATATCTTCATATTAAAAGTACACAGAGTCATTCGCAGAAACTAGTTTGTGATGTGTGCCTTCAACTCACAGAGTTTAACCTTTCTTTTCATAGAGCAGTTTGGAAACACTCTATTTGTAAAGTCTGCAAGTGGATATTTGGACCTCTTTGAGGCCTTCGTTGGAAACGGGATTTCTTCATATAACGCTAGACAGAAGAATTCTCAGTAACTTCTTTGTGTTGTGTGTATTCAATTCACAGAGTTGAACCTTTCTTTAGAGAGAGCAGAGGTGAAACACTCTTTTTGTGGAATTTGCTAGTTTAGATTTCAAACGCTTCGAAGACAGTGATAGAAAAGGATATATCTTCGTATTAAAAGTAGACAAAATCATTCTCAGAAAACACTTTGTGATGTGTGTGTTCAACTCACAGAGTTTAACCTTTCTTTAATCGAGCAGTTTGGAAATACACTCTTTGTAAGTCTGCAGCTGGATAATTGTCCCTCTATGAGCCCTTCGTTGGAAACGGGATTTCCTCTTATAATGCTAGACAGAAGAATTCTCAGTAACTTCTTTGTGTTGTTTGTATTCAACTCACAGATTTGAACCTTCCTTTGGAGAGAGCAGATTTGAAACACTCTGTTTTTGGAATTTGCAAGTGCAGATTGCAAGCGCTTCTAGGCCTATGGCAGAAAAGGAAATATCTTCGTATAAAAACTACACAGAATCATTCTCAACAACTACTTTGTGATGTGTGCGTTCAACTCACAAAGTTTAACCTTTCTTTTCATAGAGCAGTGTGGAAACACTCTGTTTGTAAAGCCTGCAAGTGCTTTTTTGGACTTCATTGAGGCCTTCGTTGGAAACGGGATTTCTTCATATAATCCTAGACAGAAGAATTCTCAGTCACTTCTTTGTGTTGTGTGTATTCAAGTCACAGAGTTGAACCTTCCTTTAGACAGAGCAGTTTTGAAAAATTCTTTCTGTGGAATTTGCAAGTGGAGATTTCAAGCGATTTGAGGCTAATCTTTGAAATGGAAATATCTTCGTGTCAAAACTACACAGAATCATTCTCAGAAACTGCTTTGTTATGTGTGCGTTCAGCTCACAGAGTTCCACCTTTCTTTTCATAGAGCAGTTTGGAAAGACTCTGTCTGTAAAGTCTGCAAGTGATTACTTGGACCCCTTTGAGGACTTCGTTGGAAGCGGGATTTTTTCATTTACTGCTAGACAGAAGAATTCTCAGTAAATCCTTTGTGTTGTGTGTATTCAACTCACAGAGTGGAACCTTCCTTTATTCAGAGCACTTTTGAAACACTCTTTTTGTGGAATTTGCAAGTGGAGATTTCAAGCGAATTCACGCCAATCTTAGACATGGAAACATCTTCGTATTAAAAGTACACAGAGTCATTCGCAGAAACTAGTTTGTGATGTGTGCCTTCAACTCACGGAGTTTAACCTTTCTTTTCATAGAGCAGTTTGGAAACACTCTATTTGTAAAGTCTGCAAGTGGATATTTGGACCTCTTTGAGGCCTTCGTTGGAAACGGGGATTTCTTCATATAACGCTAGACAGAAGAATTCTCAGTAACTTCTTTGTGTTGTGTGTATTCAACTCACAGAGTTGAACCTTTCTTTAGAGGGAGCAGAGGTGAAACACTCTTTTTGTGGAATTTGCTAGTGTAGATTTCAAACGCTTCGAAGACAGTGATAGAAAAGGATATATCTTCGTATTAAAAGTAGACAAAATCATTCTCAGAAAACTCTTTGTGATGTGTGTGTTCAAGTCACAGAGTTTAACCTTTCTTTAATCGAGCAGTTTGGAAATACACTCTTTGTAAGTCTGCAGGTGGATATTTGGCCCTCTTTGAGCCCTTCGATGGAAACGGGATTTCCTCATATAATGGTAGACAGAAGAATTCTCAGTAACTTCTTTGTGTTGTTTGTATTCAACACACAGATTTGAACCTTCCTTTAGAGAGAGCAGATTTGAAACACTCTGTTTTTGGAATTTGCAAGTGCAGATTTCAAGCGCTTCTAGGCCTATGGCAGAAAAGGAAATATCTTCGTATAAAAACTACACAGGATTCATTCTCAACAACTACTTTGTGATGTGTGCGTTGAACTCACTGAGTTTAACCTTTCTTTTCATAGAGCAGTTTGGAAACACTCTGTTTGTAAAGCCTGCAAGTGCTTTTTTGGCCTTCATTGAGGCCTTCGTAGGAAACGGGATTTCTTCATATAATGCTAGACAGAAGAATTCTCAGTCACTTCTTTGTGTTGTGTGTATTCAAGTCACAGCAGTTGAACCTTCCTTTAGACAGAGCAGTTTTGAAAAATTCTTTCTGTGTAATTTGCAAGTGGAGATTTCAAGCGATTTGAGGCTAATCTTTGAAATGGAAATATCTTCGTGTAAAAACTACACAGAATCATTCTCAGAAACTGCTTTGTTATCTGTGCGTTCAGTTCACAGAGTTTAACCTTTCTCTTCATAGAGCAGATTGGAAAGACTCTGTCTGTAAAGTCCGCAAGTGATTAGTTAGACCCCTTTGAGGCCTTCGTTGGAAGCGGGATTTCCCATTTACTGCTAGACAGAAGAATTCTCAGTAAATCCTTTGTGTTGTGTGTATTCAACTCACAGAGTGGAACCTTCCTTTATTCAGAGCAGTTTTGAAAAACACTTTTTGTGGAATTTGCAAGTGGAGATTTCAAGCGATTTGACGCCAATCTTAGACATGGAAATATCTTCATATTAAAAGTACACAGAGTCATTCGTAGAAACTAGTTTGTGATGTGTGCCTTCAACTCACAGAGTTTAACCTTTCTTTTCATAGAGCAGTTTGGAAACACTCTATTTGTAAAGTCTGCAAGTGGATATTTGGACCTCTTTGAGGCCTTCGTTGGAAACGGGATTTCTTCATACAACTCTAGACAGAAGAATTCTCAGTAACTTCTTTGTGTTGTGTGTTTTCAACTCACAGAGTTGAACCTTTCTTGAGAGAGAGCAGAGTTGAAACACTCTTTCTGTGGAATTTGCTAGTGCAGATTTCAAACGCTTCGAAGACAGTGATAGAAAAGGATATATCTTCGTATTAAAACTAGACAAAATCATTCTCAGAAAACACTTTGTGATGTGTGTGTTCAACTCACAGAGTTTAACCTTTCTTTAATCGAGCAGTTTGGAAATACACTCTTTGTAAGTCTGCAGCTGGATAATTGTCCCTCTATGAGCCCTTCGTTGGAAACGGGATTTCCTCTTATAATGCTAGACAGAAGAATTCTCAGTAACTTCTTTGTGTTGTGTGTATTCAACTCACAGAGTTGAACCTTTCTTTAGAGAGAGCAGAGTTGAAACACTCTTTTTGTGGAATTTGCTAGTGCAGATTTCAAACGCTTCGAAGACAGTGATAGAAAAGGACATATCTTCGTATTAAAACTAGACAAAATCATTCTCAGAAAACACTTTGTGATGTGTGTGTTCAACTCACAGAGTTTAACCTTTCTTTAATCGAGCAGTTTGGAAATACACTCTTTGTAAGTCTGCAGGTGGATAATGGGCCCTCTTTGAGCCCTCGTTTTAAACGGGATTTCCTCATATAATGCTAGACAGAAGAATTCTCAGTCACTTCTTTGTGTTGTGTGTATTCAAGTCACAGAGTTGAACCTTCCTTTACACAGAGCAGTTTTGAGAAACTCTTTCTGTGGAATTTGCAAGTGGAGATTTCAAGCGATTTGAGGCTAATCTTTGAAATGGAAATAGCTTCGTGCAAAAACTACACAGAATCATTCTCAGAAACTGCTTTGTTATGTGTGCGTTCAGCTCACAGAGTTCCACCTTTCTTTTCATAGAGCAGTTTGGAAAGACTCCGTCTGTAAAGTCTGCAAGTGATTACTTGGACCCCTTTGAGGACTTCGTTGGAAGCGGGATTTTTTCATTTACTGCTAGACAGAAGAATTCTCAGTAAATCCTTTGTGTTGTGTGTATTCAACTCACAGAGTGGAACCTTCCTTTATTCAGAGCAGTTTTGAAACACTCTTTTGGTGGAATTTGCAAGTGGAGATTTCAAGCGAATTCACGCCAATCTTAGACATGGAAACATCTTCGTATTAAAAGTACACAGAGTCATTCGTAGAAACTAGTTTGTGATGTGTGCCTTCAACTCACAGAGTTTAACCTTTCTTTTCATAGAGCAGTTTGGAAACACTCTATTTCTAAAGTCTGCAAGTGGATATTTGGACCTCTTTGAGGCCTTCGTTGGAAACGGGATTTCTTCATACAACGCTAGACAGAAGAATTCTCAGTAACTTCTTTGTGTTGTGTGTATTCCACTCACAGAGTTGAACCTTTCTTGAGAGAGAGCAGAGTGGAAACACTCTGTTTGTGGAATTTGCTAGTGCAGATTTCAAACGCTTCGAAGACAGTGATAGAAAAGGATATATCTTCGTATTAAAACTAGACAAAATCATTCTCAGAAAACACTTTGTGATGTGTGTGTTCAACTCACAGAGTTTAACCTTTCTTTAATCGAGCAGTTTGGAAATACACTCTTTGTAAGTCTGCAGCTGGATAATTGTCCCTCTATGAGCCCTTCGTTGGAAACGGGATTTCCTCTTATAATGCTAGACAGAAGAATTCTCAGTAACTTCTTTGTGTTGTTTGTATTCAACTCACAGATTTGAACCTTCCTTTAGAGAGAGCAGATTTGAAACACTCTGTTTTTGGAATTTGCAAGTGCAGATTACAAGCGCTTCTAGGCCTATGGCAGAAAAGGAAATATCTTCGTATAAAAACTACACAGAATCATTCTCAACAACTACTTTGTGATGTGTGCGTTCAACTCACAGAGTTTAACCTTTCTTTTCATAGAGCAGTTTGGAAACACTCTGTTTGTAAAGCCTGCAAGTGCTTTTTTGGACTTCATTGAGGCCTTAGTTGGAAACGGGATTTCTTCATATAATGCTAGACAGAAGAATTCTCAGTCACTTCTTTGTGTTGTGTGTATTCAAGTCACAGAGTTGAACCTTCCTTTAGACAGAGCAGTTTTGAAAAATTCTTTCTGTGGAATTTGCAAGTGGAGATTTCAAGTGATTTGAGGCTAATCTTTGAAATGGAAATATCTTCATGTAAAAACTACACAGAATCATTCTCAGAAACTGCTTTGTTATGTGTGCGTTCAGCTCACAGAGTTCCACCTTTCTTTTCATAGAGCAGTTTGGAAAGACTCTGTCTGTAAAGTCTGCAAGTGATTACTTGGACCCCTTTGAGGACTTCGTTGGAAGCGGGATTTTTTCATTTACTGCCAGACAGAAGAATTCTCAGTAAATCCTTTGTGTTGTGTGTATTCAACTCACAGAGTGGAACCTTCCTTTATTCAGAGCAGTTTTGAAACACTCTTCTTGTGGAATTTGCAAGTGGAGATTTCAAGCGATTTGATGCCAATCTTAGACATGGAAATATCTTCATATTAAAAGTACACAGAGTCATTCGCAGAAACTAGTTTGTGATGTGTGCCTTCAACTCACAGAGTTTAACCTTTCTTTTCATAGAGCAGTTTGGAAACACTCTATTTGTAAAGTCTGCAAGTGGATATTTGGACCTCTTTGAGGCCTTCGTTGGAAACGGGATTTCTTCATATAACGCTAGACAGAAGAATTCTCAGTAACTTCTTTGTGTTGTGTGTATTCCACTCACAGAGTTGAACCTTTCTTGAGAGAGAGCAGAGTTGAAACACTCTCTTTGTGGAATTTGCTAGTGCAGATTTCAAACGCTTCAAAGACAGTGATAGAAAAGGATATATCTTCGTATTAAAACTAGACAAAATCATTCTCAGAAAACACTTTGTGATGTGTGTGTTCAACTCACAGAATTTAAACGTTCTTTAATCGAGCAGTTTGGAAACACAATCTTTGTAAGTCTGCAGGTGGATAATTGGCCCTCTTTGAGCCCTTCGTTGGAAACGGGATTTCCTCATATAATGCTAGACAGAAGAATTCTCAGTAACTTCTTTGTGTTGTTTGTATTCAACTCACAGATTTGAACCTTCCTTTAGAGAGAGCAGATTTGAAACACTCTGTTTTTGGAATTTGCAAGTGCAGATTTCAAGCGCTTATAGGCCTATGGCAGAAAAGGAAATATCTTCGTATAAAAACTACACAGAATCATTCTCAACAACTACTTTGTGATGTCTGCGTTCAACTCACAGAGTTTAACCTTTCTTTTCATAGAGCAGTTTGGAAACACTCTGTTTGTAAAGTCTGCAGGTGCTTATTTGGACTTCTTTGAGGCCTTCGTTGGAAACGGGATTTCTTCATATAATGTTAGACAGAAGAATTCTCAGTCACTTCTCTGTGTTGTGTGTATTCAAGTCACAGAGTTGAACCTTCCTTTAGACAGAGCAGTTTTGAAAAATTCTTTCTGTGGAGTTTGCAAGTGGAGATTTCAAGCGATTTGAGGCTAATCTTTGAAATGGAAATATCTTCGTGTAAAAACTACACAGAAGCATTCTCAGAAACTGCTTTGTCATCTGTGCGTTCAGTTCACAGAGTTTCACCTTTCTCTTCATAGAGCAGTTTGGAAAGACTCTGTCTGTAAAGTCTACAAGTGATTAGTTAGACCCCATTGAGGCCTTCTTTGGAAGCGGGATTTCTCATTTACTGCTAGACAGAAGAATTCTCAGTAAATCCTTTGTGTTGTGTGTATTCAACTCACAGAGTGGAACCTTCCTTTATTCAGAGCACTTTTGAAAAACACTTTTAGTGGAATTTGCAAGTGCAGATTTCAAGCGATTTGACGCCAATCTGAGACATGGAAATATCTTCATATTAAAAGTACACAGAGTCATTCGTAGAAACTAGTTTGTGATGTGTGCCTTCAACTCACAGAGTTTGACCTTTCTTTTCATAGAGCAGTTTGGAAACACTCTATTTGTAAAGTCTGCAGGTGGATATTTGGACCTCTTTGAGGCCTTCGTTCGAAAAGGGATTTCTTCATACAACGCTAGACAGAAGAATTCTCAGTAACTTCTTTGTGTTGTGTGTATTCAACTCACAGAGTTGAACCTTTCTTGAGAGAGAGCAGAGTTGAAACACTCTGTTTGTGGAATTTGCTAGTGCAGATTTCAAACGCTTCGAAGACAGTGATAGAAAAGGATATATCTTCGTATTAAAACTAGACAAAATCATTCTCAGAAAACACTTTGTGATGTGTGTGTTCAACTCACAGAGTTTAACCTTTCTTTAATCGAGCAGTTTGGAAATACACTCTTTGTAAGTCTGCAGCTGGATAATTGTCCCTCTATGAGCCCTTCGTTGGAAACGGGATTTCCTCTTATAATGCTAGACAGAAGAATTCTCAGTAACTTCTTTGTGTTGTTTGTATTCAACTCACAGATTTGAACCTTCCTTTAGAGAGAGCAGATTTGAAACACTCTGTTTTTGGAATTTGCAAGTGCAGATTACAAGCGCTTCTAGGCCTATGGCAGAAAAGGAAATATCTTCGTATAAAAACTACACAGAATCATTCTCAACAACTACTTTGTGATGTGTGCGTTCAACTCACAGAGTTTAACCTTTCTTTTCGTAGAGCAGTTTGGAAACACTCTGTTTGTAAAGTCTGCAGGTGCTTATTTGGACTTCTTTGAGGCCTTCGTTGGAAACGGGATTTCTTCATGTAATGCTAGACAGAAGAATTCTCAGTCACTTCTTTGTGTTGTGTGTATTCAAGTCACAGAGTTGAACCTTCCTTTACACAGAGCAGTTTTGAAAAACTCTTTCTGTGGAATTTGCAAGTGGAGATTTCAAGCGATTTGAGGCTAATCTTTGAAATGGAAATAGCTTCGTGTAAAAACCACCAGAATCATTCTCAGAAACTGCTTTGTTATGTGTGCGTTCAGCTCACAGAGTTCCACCTTTCTTTTCATAGAGCAGTTTGGAAAGACTCTGTCTGTAAAGTCTGCAAGTGATTACTTGGACCCCTTTGAGGACTTCGTTGGAAGCGGGATTTTTTCATTTACTGCTAGACAGAAGAATTCTCAGTAACTTCTTTGTGTTGTGTGTATTCAACTCACCGAGTTGAACCTTTCTTTAGAGAGAGCAGAGTTGAAACACTCTTCTTGTGGAACTTGCTAGTGCAGATTTCAAACGCTTCGAAGACAGTGATAGAAAAGGATATATCTTTGTATTAAAACTAGACAAAATCATTCTCAGAAAAGACTTTGTGATGTGTGTGTTCAACTCACAGAGTTTAACCTTTCTTTAATTGAGCAGTTTGGAAATACACTCTTTGTAAGTCTGCAGGTGGATAATTGGCCCTCTTTGAGCCCTTCGTTGGAAACGGGATTTCCTCATATAATGCTAGACAGAAGAATTCTCAGTAACTTCTTTGTGTTGTGTGTATTCAACTCACAGAGTTGAACCTTTCTTGAGAGAGAGCAGAGTTGAAACACTCTTTCTGTGGAATTTGCTAGTGCAGATTTCAAACGCTTCGAAGACAGTGATAGAAAAGGATATATCTTCGTATTAAAACTAGACAAAATCATTCTCAGAAAACACTTTGTGATGTGTGTGTTCAACTCACAGAGTTTAACCTTTCTTTAATCGAGCAGTTTGGAAATACACTCTTTGTAAGTCTGCAGCTGGATAATTGTCCCTCTATGAGCCCTTCGTTGGAAACGGGATTTCCTCTTATAATGCTAGACAGAAGAATTCACAGTAACTTCTTTGTGTTGTTTGTATTCAACTCACAGATTTGAACCTTCCTTTAGAGAGAGCAGATTTGAAACACTCTGTTTTTGGAATTTGCAAGTGCAGATTACAAGCGCTTCTAGGCCTATGGCAGAAAAGGAAATATCTTCGTATAAAAACTACACAGAATCATTCTCAACAACTACTTTGTGATGTGTGCGTTCAACTCACAGAGTTTAACCTTTCTTTTCGTAGAGCAGTTTGGAAACACTCTGTTTGTAAAGCCTGCAAGTGCTTTTTTGGACTTCATTGAGGCCTTCGTTGGAAACGGGATTTCTTCATACAACGCTAGACAGAAGAATTCTCAGTTACTTCTTTGTGTTGTGTGTATTCAAGTCACAGAGTTGAACCTTCTTTTAGACAGAGCAGTTTTGAAAAATTCTTTCTGTGGAATTTGCAATTGGAGATTTTAAGAGATTTGAGGCTAATCTTTGAAATGGAAATATCTTCGTGTAAAAACTACACAGAATCATTCTCAGAAACTGCTTTGTTATGTGTGCGTTCAGCTCACAGAGTTCCAACTTTCTTTTCATAGAGCAGTTTGGAAAGACTCTGTCTGTAAAGTCTGCAAGTGATTACTTGGACCCCTTTGAGGACTTTGTTGGAAGCGGGATTTTTTCATTTACTGCTAGACAGAAGAATTCTCAGTAAATCCTTTGTGTTGTGTGTATTCAACTCACAGAGTGGAACCTTCCTTTATTCAGAGCAGTTTTGAAAAACACTTTTTGTGGAATTTGCAAGTGGAGATTTCAAGCGATTTGACGCCAATCTTAGACATGGAAATATCTTCATATTAAAAGTACACAGAGTCATTCGTAGAAACTAGTTTGTGATGTGTGCCTTCAACTCACAGAGTTTAACCTTTCTTTTCATAGAGCAGTTTGGAAACACTCTATTTGTAAAGTCTGCAAGTGGATATTTGGACCTCTTTGAGGCCTTCGTTGGAAACGGGATTTCTTCATACAACGCTAGACAGAAGAATTCTCAGTAACTTCTTTGTGTTGTGTGTATTCAACTCACAGAGTTGAACCTTTCTTTAGAGAGAGCAGAGTTGAAACACTCTGTTTTTGGAATTTGCAACTGCAGATTTCAAGCGATTCTAGGCCTATGGCAGAAAAGGAAATATCTTCGTATAAAAACTACACAGAATCATTCTCAACAACTACTTTGTGATGTGTGCGTTCAACTCACAGAGTTTAACCTTTCTTTTCATAGAGCAGTTTGGAAACACTCTGTTTGTAAAGCCTGCAAGTGCCTTTTTGGACTTCATTGAGGCCTTCGTTGGAAACGGGATTTCTTCATATAATGCTAGACAGAAGAATTCTCAGTCACTTCTTTGTGTTGTGTGTATTCAAGTCACAGAGTTGAACCTTCCTTTAGACAGAGCAGTTTTGAAAAATTCTTTCTGTGTAATTTGCAAGTGGAGATTTCAAGCGATTTGAGGCTAATCTTTGAAATGGAAATATCTTCGTGTAAAAACTACACAGAATCATTCTCAGAAACTGCTTTGTCATCTGTGCGTTCAGTTCACAGGGTTTCACCTTTCTCTTCATAGAGCAGTTTGGAAAGACTCTGTCTGTAAAGTCTGCAAGTGATTAGTTAGACCCCTTTAAGGCCTTCGTTGGAAGCGGGATTTCTCATTTACTGCTAGACAGAAGAATTCTCAGTAAATCCTTTGTGTTGTGTGTATTCAACTCACAGAGTGGAACCTTCCTTTATTCAGAGCAGTTTTGAAACACTCTTTTTGTGGAATTTGCAAGTGGAGATTTCAAGCGATTTGACGCCAATCTTAGACATGGAAATATCTTCATATTAAAAGTACACAGAGTCATTCGTAGAAACTAGTTTGTGATGTGTGCCTTCAACTCACAGAGTTTAACCTTTCTTTTCATAGAGCAGTTGGGAAACACTCTATTTGTAAAGTCTGCAAGTGGATATTTGGACCTCTTTGAGGCCTTCGCTGGAAACGGGATTTCTTCATATAACGCTAGACAGAAGAATTCTCAGTAACTTCTTTGTGTTGTGTGTATTCAACTCACAGAGTTGAACCTTTCTTTAGAGGGAGCAGAGGTGAAACACTCTTTTTGTGGAATTTGCTAGTGTAGATTTCAAACGCTTCGAAGACAGTGATAGAAAAGGATGTATCTTCGTATTAAAAGTAGACAAAATCATTCTCAGAAAACTCTTTGTGATGTGTGTGTTCAACTCACAGCAGTTTAACCTTTCTTTAATCGAGCAGTTTGGAAATACACTCTTTGTAAGTCTGCAGGTGGATATTTGGCCCTCTTTGAGCCCTTCGTTGGAAACGGGATTTCCTCATATAATGCTAGACAGAAGAATTCTCAGTAACTTCTTTGTGTTGTTTGTATTCAACACACAGATTTGAACCTTCCTTTAGAGAGAGCAGATTTGAAACACTCTGTTTTTGGAATTTGCAAGTGCAGATTTCAAGCGCTTCTAGGCCTATGGCAGAAAAGGAAATATCTTCCTATAAAAACTACACAGAATCATTCTCAACAACTACTTTGTGATGTGTGCGTTCAACTCACAGAGTTTAACCTTTCTTTTCATAGAGCAGTTTGGAAACACTCTATTTGTAAAGCCTGCAAGTGCTTTTTTGGACTTCATTGAGGCCTTCGTTGGAAACGGGATTTCTTCATATAATGCTAGACAGAAGGATTCTCAGTAACTTCTTTGTGTTGTGTGTATTCAAGTCACAGAGTTGAACCTTCTTTTAGACAGAGCAGTTTTGAAAAATTCTTTCTGTGGAATTTGCAATTGGAGATTTCAAGCGATTTGAGGCTAATCTTTGAAATGGAAATATCTTCGTGTCAAAACTACACAGAATCATTCTCAGAAACTGCTTTGTTATGTGTGCGTTCAGCTCACAGAGTTCCACCTTTGTTTTCATAGAGCAGTTTGGAAAGACTCTGTAAAGTCTGCAAGTGATTACTTGGACCCCTTTGAGGACTTCGTTGGAAGCGGGATTTTTTCATTTACTGCTAGACAGAAGAATTCTCAGTAAATCCTTTGTGTTGTGTGTATTCAACTCACAGAGTGGAACCTTCCTTTATTCAGAGCAGTTTTGAAACACTCTTTTTGTGGAATTTGCAAGCGGAGATTTCAAGCGAATTCACGCCAATCTTAGACATGGAAACATCTTCGTATTAAAAGTACACAGAGTCATTCGCAGAAACTAGTTTGTGATGTGTGCCTTCAACTCACAGAGTTTAACCTTTCTTTTCATAGAGCATTTTGGAAACACTCTATTTGTAAAGTCTGCAAGTGGATATTTGGACCTCTTTGAGGCCTTCGTTGGAAACGGGATTTCTTCATGTAACGCTAGACAGAAGAATTCTCAGTAACTTCTTTGTGTTGTGTGTATTCCACTCACAGAGTTGAACCTTTCTTGAGAGAGAGCAGAGTTGAAACACTCTGTTTGTGGAATTTGCCAGTGCAGATTTCAAACGCTTCGAAGACAGTGATAGAAAAGGATATATCTTCGTATTAAAACTAGACAAAATCATTCTCAGAAAACACTTTGTGATGTGTGTGTTCAACTCACAGAGTTTAACCTTTCTTTAATCGAGCAGTTTGGAAATACACTCTTTGTAAGTCTGCAGCTGGATAATTGTCCCTCTATGAGCCCTTCGTTGGAAACGGGATTTCCTCTTATAATGCTAAACAGAAGAATTCTCAGTAACTTCTTTGTGTTGTTTGTATTCAACTCACAGATTTGAACCTTCCTTTGGAGAGAGCAGATTTGAAACACTCTGTTTTTGGAATTTGCAAGTGCAGATTGCAAGCGCTTCTAGGCCTATGGCAGAAAAGGAAATATCTTCGTATAAAAACTACACAGAATCATTCTCAACAACTACTTTGTGATGTGTGCGTTCAACTCACAGAGTTTAACCTTTCTTTTCATAGAGCAGTTTGGAAACACTCTGTTTGTAAAGTCTGCAGGTGCTTCTTTGGACTTCTTTGAGGCCTTCGTTGGAAACGGGATTTCTTCATATAATGCTAGACAGAAGAATTCTCAGTCACTTCTTTGTGTTGTGTGTATTCAAGTCACAGAGTTGAACCTTCCTTTACACAGAGCAGTTTTGAAAAACTCTTTTTGTGGAATTTGCAAGTGGAGATTTCAAGCGAATTCACGCCAATCTTAGACATGGAAACATCTTCGTATTAAAAGTACACAGAGTCGTTCGCAGAAACTAGTTTGTGATGTGTGCCTTCAACTCACAGAGTTTAAGCTTTCTTTTCATAGAGCAGTTTGGAAACACTCTATTTGTAAAGTCTGCAAGTGGATATTTGGACCTCTTTGAGGCCTTCGTTGGAAACGGGATTTCTTCATATAACGCTAGACAGAAGAATTCTCTGTAACTTCTTTGTGTTGTGTGTATTCCACTCACAGAGTTGAACCTTTCTTGAGAGAGAGCAGAGTTGAAACACTCTTTCTGTGGAATTTGCTAGTGCAGATTTCAAACGCTTCGAAGACAGTGATAGAAAAGGATATATCTTCGTATTAAAACTAGACAAAATCATTCTCAGAAAACACTTTGTGATGTGTGTGTTCAACTCACAGAGTTTAACCTTTCTGTAATCGAGCAGTTTGGAAATACACTCTTTGTAAGTCTGCAGGTGGATAATTGTCCCTCTATGAGCCCTTCGTTGGAAACGGGATTTCCTCATATAATGCTAGACAGAAGAATTCTCAGTAACTTCTTTGTGTTGTTTGTATTCAACTCACAGATTTGAACTTTCCTTTAGAGAGAGCAGATTTGAAACACTCTGCTTTTGGAAATTGTAAGTGCAGATTACAAGCGCTTCTAGGCCTATGGCAGAAAAGGAAATATCTTCGTGTAAAAACTACACAGAATCATTCTCAACAACTACTTTGTGATGTGTGCGTTCAACTCACAGAGTTTAACCTTTCTTTTCATAGAGCAGTTTGGAAACACCCTGTTTGTGAAGTCTGCAGGTGCTTATTTGGACTTCTTTGAGGCCTTCGGTGGAAACGGGATTTCTTCATATAATGCCAGACAGAAGAATTCTCAGTCACTTCTTTGTGTTGTGTGTATTCAAGTCACAGAGTTGAACCTTCCTTTACACAGAGCAGTTTTGAGAAACTCTTTCTGTGGAATTTGCAAGTGGAGATTTCAAGCGATTTGAGGCTAATCTTTGAAATGGAAATAGCTTCGTGCAAAAACTACACAGAATCATTCTCAGAAACTGCTTTGTTATGTGTGCGTTCAGCTCACAGAGTTCCACCTTTCTTTTCATAGAGCAGTTTGGAAAGACTCCGTCTGTAAAGTCTGCAAGTGATTACTTGGACCCCTTTGAGGACTTCGTTGGAAGCGGGATTTTTTCATTTACTGCTAGACAGAAGAATTCTCAGTAAATCCTTTGTGTTGTGTGTATTCAACTCACAGAGTGGAACCTTCCTTTATTCAGAGCAGTTTTGAAACACTCTTTTTGTGGAATTTGCAAGTGGAGATTTCAAGCGAATTCACGCCAATCTTAGACATGGAAACATCTTCGTATTAAAAGTACACAGAGTCATTCGCAGAAACTAGTTTGTGATGTGTGCCTTCAACTCACAGAGTTTAACCTTTCTTTTCATAGAGCATTTTGGAAACACTCTATTTGTAAAGTCTGCAAGTGGATATTTGGACCTCTTTGAGGCCTTCGTTGGAAACGGGATTTCTTCATGTAACGCTAGACAGAAGAATTCTCAGTAACTTCTTTGTGTTGTGTGTATTCCACTCACAGAGTTGAACCTTTCTTGAGAGAGAGCAGAGTTGAAACACTCTTTCTGTGGAATTTGCTAGTGCAGATTTCAAACGCTTCGAAGACAGTGATAGAAAAGGATATATCTTCGTATTAAAACTAGACAAAATCATTCTCAGAAAACACTTTGTGATGTGTGTGTTCAACTCACAGAGTTTAACCTTTCTTTAATCGAGCAGTTTGGAAATACACTCTTTGTAAGTCTGCAGCTGGATAATTGTCCCTCTATGAGCCCTTCGTTGGAAACGGGATTTCCTCATATAATGCTAGACAGAAGAATTCTCAGTAACTTCTTTGTGTTGTTTGTATTCAACTCACAGATTTGAACCTTCCTTTGGAGAGAGCAGATTTGAAACACTCTGTTTTTGGAATTTGCAAGTGCAGATTGCAAGCGCTTCTAGGCCTATGGCAGAAAAGGAAATATCTTCGTATAAAAACTACACAGAATCATTCTCAACAACTACTTTGTGATGTGTGCGTTCAGCTCACAGAGTTTAACCTTTCTTTTCATAGAGCAGTTTGGAAACACTCTGTTTGTAAAGTCTGCAGGTGCTTATTTGGACTTCTTTGAGGCCTTCGTTGGAAACGGGATTTCTTCATATAATGCTAGACAGAAGAATTCTCAGTCACTTCTTTGTGTTGTGTGTATTCAAGTCACAGAGTTGAACCTTCCTTTACACAGAGCAGTTTTGAAAAACTCTTTCTGTGGAATTTGCAAGTGGAGATTTCAAGCGATTTGAGGCTAATCTTTGAAATGGAAATATTCTTCGTGTAAAAACTACACAGAATCATTCTCAGAAACTGCTTTGTTATGTGTGCGTTCAGCTCACAGAGTTCCACCTTTCTTTTCATAGAGCAGTTTGGAAAGACTCTGTCTGTAAAGTCTGCAAGTGAATACTTGGACCCCTTTGAGGACTTCGTTGGAAGCGGGATTTTTTCATTTACTGCTAGACAGAAGAATTCTCAGTAAATCCTTTGTGTTGTGTGTATTCAACTCACAGAGTGGAACCTTCCTTTATTCAGAGCAGTTTTGAAACACTCTTTTTGTGGAATTTGCAAGTGGAGATTTCAAGCGAATTCACGCCAATCTTAGACATGGAAACATCTTCGTATTAAAAGTACACAGAGTCATTCGTAGAAACTAGTTTGTGATGTGTGCCTTCAACTCACGGAGTTTAACCTTTCTTTTCATAGAGCAGTTCGGAAACACTCTATTTGTAAAGTCTGCAAGTGGATATTTGGACCTCTTTGAGGCCTTCGTTGGAAACAGGATTTCTTCATATAACGCTAGACAGAAGAATTCTAAGTAACTTCTTTGTGTTGTGTGTATTCAACTCACAGAGTTGAACCTTTCTTTAGAGGGAGCAGAGGTGAAACACTCTTTTTGTGGAATTTGGTAGTGCAAATTTGAAACGCTTCGAAGTCGGTGATAGAAAAGGATATATATTCGTATTAAAACTAGACAAAATCATTCTCAGAAAACACTTTGTGATGTGTGTGTTCAACTCACAGAGTTTAACCTTTCTTTAATCGAGCAGTTTGGAAATACACTCTTTGTAAGTCTGCAGCTGGATAATTGTCCCTCTATGAGCCCTTCGTTGGAAACGGGATTTCCTCTTATAATGCTAGACAGAAGAATTCTCAGTAACTTCTCTGTGTTGTTTGTATTCAACACACAGATTTGAACCTTGCTTTAGAGAGAGCAGATTTGAAACACTCTGTTTTTGGAATTTGCAAGTGCAGATTTCAAGCACTTCTAGGCCTATGGCAGAAAAGGAAATATCTTCGTATAAAAACTACACAGAATCATTCTCAACAACTACTTTGTGATGTGTGCGTTCAACTCACAGAGTTTAACCTTTCTTTTCATAGAGCAGTTGGGAAACACTCTGTTTGTAAAGCCTGCAAGTGCTTTTTTGGACTTCATTGAGGCCTTCGTTGGAAACGGGATTTCTTCATACAACGCTAGACAGAAGAATTCTCAGTCACTTCTTTGTGTTGTGTGTATTCAAGTCACAGAGTTGAACCTTCCTTTACACAGAGCAGTTTTGAAAAACTCTTTCTGTGGAATTTGCAAGTGGAGATTTCAAGCGATTTGAGGCTAATCTTTGAAATGGAAATATCTTCGTGTAAAAACTACACAGAATCATTCTCAGAAACTGCTTTGTTATGTGTGCGTTCAGCTCACAGAGTTCCACCTTTCTTTTCATAGAGCAGTTTGGAAAGACTCTGTCTGTAAAGTCTGCAAGTGATTACTTGGACCCCTTTGAGGACTTCGTTGGAAGCGGGATTTTTTCATTTACTGCTAGACAGAAGAATTCTCAGTAAATCCTTTGTGTTGTGTGTATTCAACTCACAGAGTGGAACCTTCCTTTATTCAGAGCAGTTTTGAAACACTCTTTTTGTGGAATTTGCAAGTGGAGATTTCAAGCGAATTCACGCCAATCTTAGACATGGAAACATCTTCGTATTAAAAGTACACAGAGTCATTCGCAGAAACTTGTTTGTGATGTGTGCCTTCAACTCACAGAGTTTAACCTTTCTTTTCATAGAGCAGTTTGGAAACACTCTATTTGTAAAGTCTGCAAGTGGATATTTGGACCTCTTTGAGGCCTTCGTTGGAAACGGGATTTCTTCATATAACGCTAGACAGAAGAATTCTCAGTAACTTCTTTGTGTTGTGTGTATTCCACTCACAGAGTTGAACCTTTCTTGAGAGAGAGCAGAGTTGAAACACTCTTTCTGTGGAATTTGCTAGTGCAGATTTCAAACGCTTCGAAGACAGTGATAGAAAAGGATATATCTTCGTATTAAAACTAGACAAAATCATTCTCAGAAAACACTTTGTGATGTGTGTGTTCAACTCACAGAGTTTAACCTTTCTTTAATCGAGCAGTTTGGAAATACACTCTTTGTAAGTCTGCAGGTGGATAATTGTCCCTCTAGGAGCCCTTCGTTGGAAACGGGATTTCCTCTTATAATGCTAGACAGAAGAATTCTCAGTAACTTCTTTGTGTTGTTTGTATTCAACTCACAGATTTGAACCTTCCTTTAGAGAGAGCAGATTTGAAACACTCTGTTTTTGGAATTTGCAAGTGCAGATTACAAGCGCTTCTAGGCCTATGGCAGAAAAGGAAATATCTTCGTATAAAAACTACACAGAATCATTCTCAACAACTACTTTGTGATGTGTGCGTTCAACTCACAGAGTTTAACCTTTCTTTTCATAGAGCAGTTTGGAAACACTCTGTTTGTAAAGTCTGCAGGTGCTTATTTGGACTTCTTTGAGGCCTTCGTTGGAAACGGGATTTCTTCATGTAATGCTAGACAGAAGAATTCTCAGTCACTTCTTTGTGTTGTGTGTATTCAAGTCACAGAGTTGAACCTTCCTTTTCACAGAGCAGTTTTGAAAAACTCTTTCTGTGGAATTTGCAAGTGGAGATTTCAAGCGATTTGAGGCTAATCTTTGAAATGGAAATAGCTTCGTGTAAAAACTACACAGAATCATTCTCAGAAACTGCTTTGTTATGTGTGCGTTCAGCTCACAGAGTTCCACCTTTCTTTTCATAGAGCAGTTTGGAAAGACTCTGTCTGTAAAGTCTGCAAGTGATTACTTGGACCCCTTTGAGGACTTCGTTGGAAGCGGGATTTTTTCATTTACTGCTAGACAGAAGAATTCTCAGTAAATCCTTTGTGTTGTGTGTATTCAACTCACAGAGTGGAACCTTCCTTTATTCAGAGCAGTTTTGAAACACTCTTTTTGTGGAATTTGCAAGTGGAGATTTCAAGCGAATTCACGCCAATCTTAGACATGGAAACATCTTCGTATTAAAAGTACACAGAGTCATTCGCAGAAACTAGTTTGTGATGTGTGCCTTCAACTCACAGAGTTTAACCTTTCTTTTCATAGAGCAGTTTGGAAACACTCTATTTGTAAAGTCTGCAAGTGGATATTTGGACCTCTTTGAGGCCTTCGTTGGAAACGGGATTTCTTCATATAACGCTAGACAGAAGAATTCTCAAGTAACTTCTTTGTGTTGTTTGTATTCAACTCACAGATTTGAACCTTCCTTTAGAGAGAGCAGATTTGAAACACTCTGTTTTTGGAATTTGCAAGTGCAGATTTCAGGCGCTTCTAGGCCTATGGCAGAAAAGGAAATATCTTCGTATAAAAACTACACAGAAATCATTCTCAACAACTACTTTGTGATGTGTGCGTTCAACTCACAAAGTTTAACCTTTCTTTTCATAGAGAAGTTTGGAAACACTCTGTTTGTAAAGCCTGCAAGTGCTTTTTTGGACTTCATTGAGGCCTTCGTTGGAAACGGGATTTCTTCATATAATGCAAGACAGAAGAATTCCCAGTAACTTCTTTGTGTTGTTTGTATTCAACTCACCGATTTGAACCTTCCTTTGGAGAGAGCAGATTTGAAACACTCTGTTTTTGGAATTTGCAAGTGCAGATTGCAAGCGCTTCTAGGCCTATGGCAGAAAAGGAAATATCTTCGTATAAAAACTACACAGAATCATTCTCAACAACTACTTTGTGATGTGTGCGTTCAGCTCACAGAGTTTAACCTTTCTTTTCATAGAGCAGTTTGGAAACACTCTGTTTGTAAAGTCTGCAGGTGCTTATTTGGACTTCTTTGAGGCCTTCGTTGGAAACGGGATTTCTTCATATAATGCTAGACAGAAGAATTCTCAGTCACTTCTTTGTGTTGTGTGTATTCAAGTCACAGAGTTGAACCTTCCTTTACACAGAGCAGTTTTGAAAAACTCTTTCTGTGGAATTTGCAAGTGGAGATTTCAAGCGATTTGAGGCTAATCTTTGAAATGGAAATATCTTCGTGTAAAAACTACACAGAATCATTCTCAGAAACTGCTTTGTTATGTGTGCGTTCAGCTCACAGAGTTCCACCTTTCTTTTCATAGAGCAGTTTGGAAAGACTCTGTCTGTAAAGTCTGCAAGTGATTACTTGGACCCCTTTGAGGACTTCGTTGGAAGCGGGATTTTTTCATTTACTGCTAGACAGAAGAATTCTCAGTAAATCCTTTGTGTTGTGTGTATTCAACTCACAGAGTGGAACCTTCCTTTATTCAGAGCAGTTTTGAAACACTCTTTTTGTGGAATTTGCAAGTGGAGATTTCAAGCGAATTCACGCCAATCTTAGACATGGAAACATCTTCGTATTAAAAGTACACAGAGTCATTCGCAGAAACTAGTTTGTGATGTGTGCCTTCAACTCACAGAGTTTAACCTTTCTTTTCATAGAGCAGTTTGGAAACACTCTATTTGTAAAGTCTGCAAGTGGATATTTGGACCTCTTTGAGGCCTTCGTTGGAAACGGGATTTCTTCATATAACGCTAGACAGAAGAATTCTCAGTAACTTCTTTGTGTTGTGTGTATTCAACTCACAGAGTTGAACCTTTCTTGAGAGAGAGCAGAGTTGAAACACTCTGTTTGTGGAATTTGCTAGTGCAGATTTCAAACGCTTCGAAGACAGTGATAGAAAAGGATATATCTTCGTATTAAAACTAGACAAAATCATTCTCAGAAAACACTTTGTGATGTGTGTGTTCAACTCACAGAGTTTAACCTTTCTTTAATCGAGCAGTTTGGAAATACACTCTTTGTAAGTCTGCAGCTGGATAATTGTCCCTCTATGAGCCCTTCGTTGGAAACGGGATTTCCTCATATAATGCTAGACAGAAGAATTCTCAGTAAGTTCCTTGTATTGTTTGTATTCAACTCACAGATTTGAACCTTCCTTTAGAGAGAGCAGATTTGAAACACTCTGTTTTTGGAATTTGCAAGTGCAGATTGCAAGCGCATCTAGGCCTATGGCAGAAAAGGAAATATCTTCGTATAAAAACTACACAGAATCATTCTCAACAACTACTTTGTGATGTGTGTGTTCAACTCACAAAGTTTAACCTTTCTTTTCATAGAGCAGTTTGGAAACACTCTGTTTGTAAAGCCTGCAAGTGCTTTTTTGGACTTCATTGAGGCCTTCGTTGGAAACGGGATTTCTTCATATAATCCTAGACAGAAGAATTCTCAGTCACTTCTTTGTGTTGTGTGTATTCAAGTCACAGAGTTGAACCTTTCTTTAGACAGAGCAGTTTTGAAAAATTCTTTCTGTGGAGTTTGCAAGTGGAGATTTCAAGCGATTTGAGGCTAATCTTTGAAATGGAAATATCTTCGTGTAAAAAATACACAGAATCATTCTCAGAAACTGCTTTGTTATGTGTGCGTTCAGCTCACAGTAGTTCCACCTTTCTTTTCATAGAGCAGTTTGGAAAGACTCTGTCTGTAAAGTCTGCAAGTGATTACTTGGACCCCTTTGAGGACTTCGTTGGAAGCGGGATTTTTTCATTTACTGCTAGACAGAAGAATTCTCAGTAAATCCTTTGTGTTGTGTGTACTCAACTCACAGAGTGGAACCTTCCTTTATTCAGAGCAGTTTTGAAACACTCTTTTTGTGGAATTTGCAAGTGGAGATTTCAAGCGAATTCACGCCAATCTTAGACATGGAAACATCTTCGTATTAAAAGTACACAGAGTCATTCGCAGAAACTAGTTTGTGATGTGTGCCTTCAACTCACGGAGTTTAACCTTTCTTTTCATAGAGCAGTTTGGAAACACTCTATTTCTAAAGTCTGCATGTGGATATTTGGACCTCTTTGAGGCCTTCGTTGGAAACGGGATATCTTCATATAACGCTAGACAGAAGAATTCTCACTAACTTCTTTGTGTTGTGTGTATTCAACTCACAGAGTTGAACCTTTCTTTAGAGAGAGCAGAGTTGAAACACTCTTTTTGTGGAATTTGCTAGTGCAGATTTCAAACGCTTTGAAGACAGTGATAGCAAAGGATATATCTTCGTATTAAAACTAGACAAAATCATTCTCAGAAAACACTTTGTGATGTGTGTGTTCAACTCACAGAGTTTAACCTTTCTTTAATCGAGCAGTTTGGAAATACACTCTTTGTAAGTCTGCAGCTGGATAATTGTCCCTCTATGAGCCCTTCGTTGGAAACGGGATTTCCTCTTATAATGCTAGACAGAAGAATTCTCAGTAACTTCTTTGTGTTGTTTGTATTCAACTCACAGATTTGAACCTTCCTTTAGAGAGAGCAGATTTGAAACACTCTGTTTTTGGAATTTGCAAGTGCAGATTTCAAGCGCTTCTAGGCCTATGGCAGAAAAGGAAATATCTTCGTATAAAAACTACACAGAATCATTCTCAACAACTACTTTGTGATGTGTGCGTTCAACTCACAGAGTTTAACCTTTCTTTTCATAGAGCAGTTTGGAAACACTCTGTTTGTAAAGTCTGCAGGTGCTTATTTGGACTTCTTTGAGGCCTTCGTTGGAAACGGGATTTCTTCATATAATGCTAGACAGAAGAATTCTCAGTCACTTCTTTGTGTTGTGTGTATTCAAGTCACAGAGTTGAACCTTCCTTTACACAGAGCAGTTTTGAAAAACTCTTTCTGTGGAATTTGCAAGTGGAGATTTCAAGCGATTTGAGGCTAATCTTTGAAATGGAAATATCTTCGTGTAAAAACTACACAGAATCATTCTCAGAAACTGCTTTGTTATGTGTGCGTTCAGCTCACAGAGTTCCACCTTTCTTTTCATAGAGCAGTTTGGAAAGACTCTGTCTGTAAAGTCTGCAAGTGATTACTTGGACCCCTTTGAGGACTTCGTTGGAAGCGGGATTTTTTCATTTACTGCTAGACAGAAGAATTCTCAGTAAATCCTTTGTGTTGTGTGTATTCAACTCACAGAGTGGAACCTTCCTTTATTCAGAGCACTTTTGAAACACTCTTTTTGTGGAATTTGCAAGTGGAGATTTCAAGCGAATTCACGCCAATCTTAGACATGGAAACATCTTCGTATTAAAAGTACACAGAGTCATTCGCAGAAACTAGTTTGTGATGTGTGCCTTCAACTCACGGAGTTTAACCTTTCTTTTCATAGAGCAGTTTGGAAACACTCTATTTGTAAAGTCTGCAAGTGGATATTTGGACCTCTTTGAGGCCTTCGTTGGAAACGGGATTTCTTCATATAACGCTAGACTAGAAGAATTCTCAGTAACTTCTTTGTGTTGTTTGTATTCAACTCACAGCATTTGAACCTTCCTTTAGAGAGAGCAGTTTTGAAACACTCTGTTTTTGGAATTTGCAAGTGCAGATTTCAAGCGCTTCTGGGCCTATGGCAGAAAAGGAAATATCTTCGTATAAAAACTACACAGAATCATTCTCAACAACTACTTTGTGATGTGTGCGTTCAACTCACAGAGTTTAACCTTTCTTTTCATAGAGCAGTTTGGAAACACTCTGTTTGTAAAGCCTGCAAGTGCTTTTTTTGACTTCATTGAGGCCTTCGTTGGAAACGCGATTTCTTCATATAATGCTAGACAGAAGAATTCTCAGTCACTTCTTTGTGTTGTGTGTATTCAAGTCACAGAGTTGAACCTTCCTTTACACAGAGCAGTTTTGAAAAACTCTTTCAGTGGAATTTGCAAGTGGAGATTTCAAGCGATTTGAGGCTAATACTTTGAAATGGAAATATCTTCGTGTAAAAACTACACAGAATCATTCTCAGAAACTGCTTTGTTATGTGTGCGTTCAGCTCACAGAGTTCCACCTTTCTTTTCATAGAGCAGTTTGGAAAGACTCTGTCTGTAAAGTCTGCAAGTGATTACTTGGACCCCTTTGAGGACTTCGTTGGAAGCGGGATTTTTTCATTTACTGCTAGACAGAAGAATTCTCAGTAAATCCTTTGTGTTGTGTGTATTCAACTCACAGAGTGGAACCTTCCTTTATTCAGAGCAGTTTTGAAACACTCTTTTTGTGGAATTTGCAAGTGGAGATTTCAAGCGAATTCACGCCAATCTTAGACATGGAAACATCTTCGTATTAAAAGTACACAGAGTCATTCGCAGAAACTAGTTTGAGATGTGTGCCTTCAACTCACGGAGTTTAACCTTTCTTTTCATAGAGCAGTTTGGAAACACTCTATTTGTAAAGTCTGCAAGTGGATATTTGGACCTCTTTGAGGTCTTCGTTGGAAACGGGATTTCTTCATATAACGCTAGACAGAAGAATTCTCAGTAACTTCTTTGTGTTGTGTGTATTCCACTCACAGAGTTGAACCTTTCTTGAGAGAGAGCAGAGTGGAAACACTCTGTTTGTGGAATTTGCTAGTGCAGATTTCAAACGCTTCGAAGACAGTGATAGAAAAGGATATATCTTCGTATTAAAACTAGACAAAATCATTCTCAGAAAACACTTTGTGATGTGTGTGTTCAACTCACAGTAGTTTAACCTTTCTTTAATCGAGCAGTTTGGAAATACACTCTTTGTAAGTCTGCAGCTGGATAATTGTCCCTCTATGAGCCCTTCGTTGGAAACGGGATTTCCTCTTATAATGCTAGACAGAAGAATTCTCAGTAACTTCTTTGTGTTGTTTGTATTCAACTCACAGATTTGAACCTTCCTTTGGAGAGAGCAGATTTGAAACACTCTGTTTTTGGAATTTGCAAGTGCAGATTGCAAGCGCTTCTAGGCCTATGGCAGAAAAGGAAATATCTTCGTATAAAAACTACACAGAATCATTCTCAACAACTACTTTGTGATGTGTGCGTTCAGCTCACAGAGTTTAACCTTTCTTTTCATAGAGCAGTTTGGAAACACTCTGTTTGTAAAGTCTGCAGGTGCTTATTTGGACTTCTTTGAGGCCTTCGTTCGAAACGGGATTTCTTCATATAATGCTAGACAGAAGAATTCTCAGTCACTTCTTTGTGTTGTGTGTATTCAAGTCACAGAGCTGAACCTTCCTTTACACAGAGCAGTTTTGAAAAACTATTTCTGTGGAATTTGCAAGTGGAGATTTCAAGCGATTTGAGGCTAATCTTTGAAATGGAAATAGCTTCGTGTAAAAACTACACAGAATCATTCTCAGAAACTGCTTTGTCATCTGTGCGTTCAGTTCACAGAGTTTCACCTTTCTCTTCATAGAGCAGTTTGGAAAGACTCTGTCTGTAAAGTCTGCAAGTGATTAGTTAGACCCCTTTGAGGCCTTCGTTGGAAGCGGGATTTCTCATTTACTGCTAGACAGAAGAATTCTCAGTAAATCCTTTGTGTTGTGTGTATTCAACTCACAGAGTGGAACCTTCCTTTATTCAGAGCAGTTTTGAAAAACACTTTTTGTGGAATTTGCAAGTGGAGATTTCAAGCGATTTGACGCCAATCTTAGACATGGAAATATCTTCATATTAAAAGTACACAGAGTCATTCGTAGAAACTAGTTTGTGATGTGTGCCTTCAACTCACAGAGTTTAACCTTTCTTTTCATAGAGCAGTTTGGAAACACTCTATTTGTAAAGTCTGCAAGTGGATATTTGGACCTCTTTGAGGCCTTCGTTGGAAACGGGATTTCTTCATACAACACTAGACAGAAGAATTCTCAGTAACTTCTTTGTGTTGTGTGTATTCAACTCACAGAGTTGAACCTTTCTTTAGAGAGAGCAGAGTTGAAACACTCTGTTTTTGGAATTTGCAAGTGCAGATTTCAAGCGATTCTAGGCCTATGGCAGAAAAGGAAATATCTTCGTATAAAAACTACACAGAATCATTCTCAACAACTACTTTGTGAAGTGCGCGTTCAACTCACAGAGTTTAACCTTTCGTTTCATAGAGCAGTTTGGAAACACTCTGTTTGTAAAGTCTGCAGGTGCTTATTTGGACTTCTTTGAGGCCTTCGTTGGAAACGGGATTTCTTCATATAATGCTAGACAGAAGAATTCTCAGTCACTTCTTTGTGTTGTGTGTATTCAAGTCACAGAGTTGAACCTTCCTTTAGACAGAGCAGTTTTGAAAAATTCTTTCTGTGTAGTTTGCAAGTGGAGATTTCAAGCGATTTGAGGCTAATCTTTGAAATGGAAATATCTTCGTGTAAAAACTACACAGAATCATTCTCAGAAACTGCTTTGTCATCTGTGCGTTCAGTTCACAGAGTTTCACCTTTCTCTTCATAGAGCAGTTTGGAAAGACTCTGTCTGTAAAGTCTGCAAGTGATTAGTTAGACCCCTTTGAGGCCTTCGTTGGAAGTGGGATTTCTCATTTACTGCTAGACAGAAGAATTCTCAGTAAATCCTTTGTGTTGTGTGTATTCAACTCACAGAGTGGAACCTTCCTTTATTCAGAGCAGTTTTGAAACACTCTTTTTGTGGAATTTGCAAGTGGAGATTTCAAGCGATTTGACGCCAATCTTAGACATGGAAATGTCTTCATATTAAAAGTACACAGAGTCATTCGTAGAAACTAGTTTGTGATGTGTGCCTTCAACTCACAGAGTTTAACCTTTCTTTTCATAGAGCAGTTGGGAAACACTCTATTTGTAAAGTCTGCAAGTGGATATTTGGACCTCTTTGAGGCCTTCGTTGGAAACGGGATTTCTTCATATAACGCTAGACAGAAGAATTCTCAGTAACTTCTTTGTGTTGCGTGTATTCAACTCACAGAGTTGAACCTTTCTTTAGAGGGAGCAGAGGTGAAACACTCTTTTTGTGGAATTTGCTAGTGTAGATTTCAAACGCTTCGAAGACAGTGATAGAAAAGGATATATCTTCGTATTAAAAGTAGACAAAATCATTCTCAGAAAACTCTTTGTGATGTGTGTGTTCAACTCACAGAGTTTAACCTTTCTTTAATCGAGCAGTTTGGAAATACACTCTTTGTAAGTCTGCAGGTGGATATTTGGCCCTCTTTGAGCCCTTCGTTGGAAACGGGATTTCCTCATATAATGCTAGACAGAAAAATTCTCAGTAACTTCTTTGTGTTGTTTGTATTCAACACACAGATTTGAACCTTCCTTTAGAGAGAGCAGATTTGAAACACTCTGTTTTTGGAATTTGCAAGTGCAGATTTCAAGCGCTTCTAGGCCTATGGCAGAAAAGGAAATATCTTCGTATAAAAACTACACAGAATCATTCTCAACAACTACTTTGTGATGTGTGCGTTCAACTCACAGAGTTTAACCTTTCGTTTCATAGAGCAGTTTGGAAACACTCTGTTTGTAAAATCTGCAGGTGCTTATTTGGACTTGCTTTGAGGCCTTCGTTGGAAACGGGATTTCCTTCATATAATGCTAGACAGTAGAATTCTCAGTCACTTCTTTGTGTTGTGTGTATTCAAGTCACAGAGTTGAACCTTCCTTTAGACAGAGCAGTTTTGAAAAATTCTTTCTGTGGAATTTGCAAGTGGAGATTTCAAGCGATTTGAGGCTAATCTTTGAAATGGAAATATCTTCGTGTAAAAACTACACAGAATCATTCTCAGAAACTGCTTTGTCATCTGTGCGTTCAGTTCACAGAGTTTCACCTTTCTCTTCATAGAGCAGTTTGGAAAGACTCTGTCTGTAAAGTCTGCAAGTGATTAGTTAGACCCCTTTGAGGCCTTCGTTGGAAGCGGGATTTCTCATTTACTGCTAGACAGAAGAATTCTCAGTAAATCCTTTGTGTTGTGTGTATTCAACTCACAGAGTGGAACCTTCCTTTATTCAGAGCAGTTTTGAAACACTCTTTTTGTGGAATTTGCAAGTGGAGATTTCAAGCGATTTGACGCCAATCTTAGACATGGAAATATCTTCATATTAAAAGTACACAGAGTCATTCGTAGAAACTAGTTTGTGATGTGTGCCTTCAACTCACAGAGTTTAACCTTTCTTTTCATAGAGCAGTTGGGAAACACTCTATTTGTAAAGTCTGCAAGTGGATATTTGGACCTCTTTGAGGCCTTCGTTGGAAACGGGATTTCTTCATATAACGCTAGACAGAAGAATTCTCAGTAACTTCTTTGTGTTGTGTGTATTCAACTCACAGAGTTGAACCTTTCTTTAGAGGGAGCAGAGGTGAAACACTCTTTTTGTGGAATTTGCTAGTGTAGATTTCAAACGCTTCGAAGACAGTGATAGAAAAGGATATATACTTCGTATTAAAAGTAGACAAAATCATTCTCAGAAAACACTTTGTGATGTGTGTGTTCAACGCACAGTGTTTAACCTTTCTTTAATCGAGCAGTTTGGAAATACACTCTTTGTAAGTCTGCAGGTGGATAATTGGCCCTCTTTGAGCCCTTCGTTGGAAACGGGATTTCCTCATATAATGTTAGACAGAAGAATTCTCAGTAACTTCTTTGTGTTGTTTGTATTCAACTCACAGATTTGAACCTTCCTTTAGAGAGAGCAGATTTGAAACACTGTGTTTTTGGAATTTGCAAGTGCAGATTTCAAGCGCTTCTAGGCCTATGGCAGAAAAGGAAATATCTTCGTATAAAAACTACACAGAATCATTCTGAACAACTACTTTGTGATGTGTGCGTTCAACTCACAGTAGTTTAACCTTTCTTTTCATAGAGCAGTTTGGAAACACTCTGTTTGTAAAGCCTGCAAGTGCTTTTTTGGACTTCATTGAGGCCTTCGTTGGAAACGGGATTTCTTCATATAACGCTAGACAGAAGAATTCTCAGTCACTTCTTTGTGTTGTGTGTATTCAAGTCACAGAGTTGAACCTTCCTTTAGACAGAGCAGTTTTGAAAAATTCTTTCTGTGGACTTTGCAAGTGGAGATTTCAAGCGATTTGAGGCTAATCTTTGAAATGGAAATATCTTCGTGTAAAAACTACACAGAATCATTCTCAGAAACTGCTTTGTCATCTGTGCGTTCAGTTCACAGAGTTTCACCTTTCTCTTCATAGAGCAGTTTGGAAAGACTCTGTCTGTAAAGTCTGCAAGTGATTAGTTAGACCCCTTTGAGGCCTTCGTTGGAAGCGGGATTTCTCATTTACTGCTAGACAGAAGAATTCTCAGTAAATCCTTTGTGTTGTGTGTATTCAACTCACAGAGTGGAACCTTCCTTTATTCAGAGCAGTTTTGAAAAACACTTTTTGTGGAATTTGCAAGTGGAGATTTCAAGCGATTTGACGCCAATCTTAGACATGGAAATATCTTCATATTAAAAGTACACAGAGTCATTCGTAGAAACTAGTTTGTGATGTGTGCCTTCAACTCACAGAGTTTAACCTTTCTTTTCATAGAGCAGTTTGGAAACACTCTATTTGTAAAGTCTGCAAGTGGATATTTGGACCTCTTTGAGGCCTTCGTTGGAAACGGGATTTCTTCATACAACGCTAGACAGAAGAATTCTCAGTAACTTCTTTGTGTTGTGTGTATTCAACTCACAGATTTGAACCTTTCTTTAGAGAGAGC
Organism: Homo sapiens; assembly: GCF_000001405.40. Classification (NCBI taxonomy): domain Eukaryota; kingdom Metazoa; phylum Chordata; class Mammalia; order Primates; family Hominidae; genus Homo; species Homo sapiens. The sequence goes on from NC_000010.11 coordinate 39,987,506, forward strand.
AGAGTTGAAACACTCTGTTTTTGGAATTTGCAAGTGCAGATATCAAGCGATTCTAGGCCTATAGCAGAACAGGAAATATCTTCGTATAAAAACTGCACAGAATCATTCTCAACAACTACTTTGTGATGTGTGCGTTCAACTCACAAAGTTTAACCTTCCTTTTCATAGAGCAGTTTGGAAACACTCTGTTTGTAAAGCCTGCAATTGCTTTTTTGGACTTCATTGAGGCCTTCGTTGGAAACGGGATTTCTTCATATAATGCTAGACAGAAGAATTCTCAGTCACTTCTTTGTGTTGTGTGTATTCAAGTCACAGAGTTGAACCTTCCTTTAGACAGAGCAGTTTTGAAAAATTCTTTCTGTGGGGTTTGCAAGTGGAGATTTCAAGCGATTTGAGGCTAATCTTTGAAATGGAAATATCTTCGTGTAGAAACTACAAAGAATCATTCTCAGAAACTGCTTTGTTATGTGTGCGTTCAAGCTCACAGAGTTCCACCTTTCTTTTCATAGAGCAGTTTGGAAAGACTCTGTCTGTAAAGTCTGCAAGTGATTACTTGGACCCCTTTGAGGACTTCGTTGGAAGCGGGATTTTTTCATTTACTGCTAGACAGAAGAATTCTCAGTAAATCCTTTGTGTTGTGTGTATTCAACTCACAGAGTGGAACCTTCCTTTATTCAGAGCAGTTTTGAAACACTCTTTTTGTGGAATTTGCAAGTGGAGATTTCAAGCGAATTCACGCCAATCTTAGACATGGAAACATCTTCGTATTAAAAGTACACAGAGTCATTCGCAGAAACTAGTTTGTGATGTGTGCCTTCAACTCACAGAGTTTAACCTTTCTTTTCATAGAGCAGTTTGGAAACACTCTATTTGTAAAGTCTGTAAGTGGATATTTGGACCTCTTTGAGGCCTTCGTTGGAAACGGGATTTCTTCATATAACGCTAGACAGAAGAATTCTCAGTAACTTCTTTGTGTTGTGTGTATTCCACTCACAGAGTTGAACCTTTCTTGAGAGAGAGCAGAGTTGAAACACTCTGTTTGTGGAATTTGCTAGTGCCGATTTCAAACGCTTCGAAGACAGTGATAGAAAAGGATATATCTTCGTATTTAAACTAGACAAAATCATTCTCAGAAAACACTTTGTGATGTGTGTGTTCAACTCACAGAGTTTAACCTTTCTTTAATCGAGCAGTTTGGAAATACACTCTTTGTAAGTCTGCAGCTGGATAATTGTCCCTCTATGAGCCCTTCGTTGGAAACGGGATTTCCTCTTATAATGCTAGACAGAAGAATTCTCAGTAACTTCTTTGTGTTGTTTGTATTCAACTCACAGATTTGAACCTTCCTTTGGAGAGAGCAGATTTGAAACACTCTGTTTTTGGAATTTGCAAGTGCAGATTGCAAGCGCTTCTAGGCCTATGGCAGAAAAGGAAATATCTTCGTATAAAAACTACACAGAATCATTCTCAACAACTACTTTGTGATGTGTGCGTTCAACTCACAGAGTTTAACCTTTCTTTTCATAGAGCAGTTTGGAAACACTCTGTTTGTAAAGTCTGCAGGTGCTTATTTGGACTTCTTTGAGGCCTTCGTTGGAAACGGGATTTCTTCATATAATGCTAGACAGAAGAATTCTCAGTCACTTCTTTGTGTTGTGTGTATTCAAGTCACAGAGTTGAACCTTCCTTTACACAGAGCAGTTTTGAAAAACTCTTTCTGTGGAATTTGCAAGTGGAGATTTCAAGCGATTTGAGGCTAATCTTTGAAATGGAAATATCTTCGTGTAAAAACTACACAGAGTCATTCGTAGAAACTAGTTTGTGATGTGTGCCTTCAACTCACAGAGTTTAACCTTTCTTTTCATAGAGCAGTTTGGAAACACTCTATTTGTAAAGTCTGCAAGTGGATATTTGGACCTCTTTGAGGCCTTCGTTGGAAACGGGATTTCCTCATATAATGCTAGACAGAAGAATTCTCAGTAACTTCTTTGTGTTGTGTGTATTCAACTCACAGAGTTGAACCTTTCTTTAGAGAGAGCAGAGTTGAAACACTCTTTTTTTGGAATTTGCAAGTGCAGATATCAAGCGATTCTAGGCCTATGGCAGAAAAGGAAATATCTTCGTATAAAAACTACACAGAATCATTCTCAACAACTACTTTGTGATGTGTGCGTTCAACTCACAGAGTTTAACCTTTCTTTTCATAGAGCAGTTTGGAAACACTCTGTTTGTAAAGCCTGCAAGTGCTTTCTTGGACTTCATTGAGGCCTTCGTTGGAAACGGGATTTCTTCATATAATGCTAGACAGAAGAATTCTCAGTCACTTCTTTGTGTTGTGTGTATTCAAGTCACAGAGTTGAACCTTCCTTTAGACAGAGCAGTTTTGAAAAATTCTTTCTGTGGAGTTTGCAAGTGGAGATTTCAAGCGATTTGAGGCTAATCTTTGAAATGGAAATATCTTCGTGTAAAAACTACACAGAATCATTCTCAGAAACTGCTTTGTCATCTGTGCGTTCAGTTCACAGAGTTTCACCTTTCTCTTCATAGAGCAGTTTGGAAAGACTCTGTCTGTAAAGTCTGCAAGTGATTAGTTAGACCCCTTTGAGGCCTTCGTTGGAAGCGGGATTTCTCATTTACTGCTAGACAGAAGAATTCTCAGTAAATCCTTTGTGTTGTGTGTATTCAACTCACAGAGTGGAACCTTCCTTTATTCAGAGCAGTTTTGAAAAACACTTTTTGTGGAATTTGCAAGTGGAGATTTCAAGCGATTTGACGCCAATCTTAGACATGGAAATATCTTCATATTAAAAGTACACAGAGTCATTCGTAGAAACTAGTTTGTGATGTGTGCCTTCAACTCACAGAGTTTAACCTTTCTTTTCATAGACCAGTTTGGAAACACTCTATTTGTAAAGTCTGCAAGTGGATATTTGGACCTCTTTGAGGCCTTCGTTGGAAACGGGATTTCTTCATACAACGCTAGACAGAAGAATTCTCAGTAACTTCTTTGTGTTGTGTGTATTCAACTCACAGAGTTGAACCTTTCTTTAGAGAGAGCAGAGTTGAAACACTCTGTTTTTGGAATTTGCAACTGCAGATTTCAAGCGATTCTAGGCCTATGGCAGAAAAGGAAATATCTTCGTATAAAAACTACACAGAATCATTCTCAACAACTACTTTGTGATGTGTGCGTTCAACTCACAGAGTTTAACCTTTCTTTTCATAGAGCAGTTTGGAAACACTCTGTTTGTAAAGCCTGCAAGTGCTTTTTTGGACTTCATTGAGGCCTTCGTTGGAAACGGGATTTCTTCATATAATGCTAGACAGAAGAATTCTCAGTCACTTCTTTGTGTTGTGTGTATTCAAGTCACAGAGTTGAACCTTCCTTTAGACAGAGCAGTTTTGAAAAATTCTTTCTGTGTAATTTGCAAGTGGAGATTTCAAGCGATTTGAGGCTAATCTTTGAAATGGAAATATCTTCGTGTAAAAACTACACAGAATCATTCTCAGAAACTGCTTTGTCATCTGTGCGTTCAGTTCACAGAGTTTCACCTTTCTCTTCATAGAGCAGTTTGGAAAGACTCTGTCTGTAAAGTCTGCAAGTGATTAGTTAGACCCCTTTGAGGCCTTCGTTGGAAGCGGGATTTCTCATTTACTGCTAGACAGAAGAATTCTCAGTAAATCCTTTGTGTTGTGTGTATTCAACTCACAGAGTGGAACCTTCCTTTATTCAGAGCAGTTTTGAAACACTCTTTTTGTGGATTTTGCAAGTGGAGATTTCAAGCGATTTGACGCCAATCTTAGACATGGAAATATCTTCATATTAAAAGTACACAGAGTCATTCGTAGAAACTAGTGTGTGATGTGTGCCTTCAACTCACAGAGTTTAACCTTTCTTTTCATAGAGCAGTTGGGAAACACTCTATTTGTAAAGTCTGCAAGTGGATATTTGGACCTCTTTGAGGCCTTCGTTGGAAACGGGATTTCTTCATATAACGCTAGACAGAAGAATTCTCAGTAACTTCTTTGTGTTGTGTGTATTCAACTCACAGAGTTGAACCTTTCTTTAGAGGGAGCAGAGGTGAGACACTCTTTTTGTGGAATTTGCAACTGCAGATTTCAAGCGATACTTGGCCTATGGCAGAAAAGGAAATATCTTCGTATAAAAACTACACAGAGTCATTCTCAACAACTACTTTGTGATGTGTGCGTTCAACTCACAGAGTTTAACCTTTCTTTTCATAGAGCAGTTTGGAAACACTCTGTTTGTAAAGCCTGCAAGTGCTTTTTTGGACTTCATTGAGGCCTTCGTTGGAAACGGGATTTCTTCATATAATGCTAGACAGAAGAATTCTCAGTCACTTCTTTGTGTTGTGTGTATTCAAGTCACAGAGTTGAACCTTCCTTTAGACAGAGCAGTTTTGAAAAATTCTTTCTGTGTAATTTGCAAGTGGAGATTTCAAGCGATTTGAGGCTAATCTTTGAAATGGAAATATCTTCGTGTAAAAACTACACAGAATCATTCTCAGAAACTGCTTTGTCATCTGTGCGTTCAGTTCACAGAGTTTCACCTTTCTCTTCATAGAGCAGTTTGGAAAGACTCTGTCTGTAAAGTCTGCAAGTGATTAGTTAGACCCCTTTGAGGCCTTCGTTGGAAGCGGGATTTCTCATTTACTGCTAGACAGAAGAATTCTCAGTAAATCCTTTGTGTTGTGTGTATTCAACTCACAGAGTGGAACCTTCCTTTATTCAGAGCAGTTTTGAAACACTCTTTTTGTGGAATTTGCAAGTGGAGATTTCAAGCGATTTGACGCCAATCTTAGACATGGAAATATCTTCATATTAAAAGTACACAGAGTCATTCGTAGAAACTAGTTTGTGATGTGTGCCTTCAACTCACAGAGTTTAACCTTTCTTTTCATAGAGCAGTTGGGAAACACTCTATTTGTAAAGTCTGCAAGTGGATATTTGGACCTCTTTGAGGCCTTCGTTGGAAACGGGATTTCTTCATATAACGCTAGACAGAAGAATTCTCAGTAACTTCTTTGTGTTGTGTGTATTCAACTCACAGAGTTGAACCTTTCTTTAGAGGGAGCAGAGGTGAAAAACTCTTTTTGTGGAATTTGCTAGTGTAGATTTCAAACGCTTCGAAGACAGTGATAGAAAAGGATATATCTTCGTATTAAAAGTAGACAAAATCATTCTCAGAAAACTCTTTGTGATGTGTGTGTTCAACTCACAGAGTTTAACCTTTCTTTAATCGAGCAGTTTGGAAATACACTCTTTGTAAGTCTGCAGGTGGATATTTGGCCCTCTTTGAGCCCTTCGTTGGAAACGGGATTTCCTCATATAATGCTAGACAGAAGAATTCTCAGTAACTTCTTTGTGTTGTTTGTATTCAACACACAGATTTGAACCTTCCTTTAGAGAGAGCAGATTTGAAACACTCTGTTTTTGGAATTTGCAAGTGCAGATTTCAAGCGCTTCTAGGCCTATGGCAGAAAAGGAAATATCTTCGTATAAAAACTACACAGAATCATTCTCAACAACTACTTTGTGATGTGTGCGTTCAACTCACAGAGTTTAACCTTTCTTTTCATAGAGCAGTTTGGAAACACTCTGTTTGTAAAGCCTGCAAGTGCTTTTTTGGACTTCATTGAGGCCTTCGTTGGAAACGGGATTTCTTCATATAATGCTAGACAGAAGAATTCTCAGTCACTTCTTTGTGTTGTGTGTATTCAAGTCACAGAGTTGAACCTTCCTTTAGACAGAGCAGTTTTGAAAAATTCTTTCTGTGGAGTTTGCAAGTGGAGATTTCAAGCGATTTGAGGCTAATCTTTGAAATGGAAATATCTTCGTGTAAAAACTACACAGAATCGTTCTCAGAAACTGCTTTGTCATCTGTGCGTTCAGTTCACAGAGTTTCACCTTTCTCTTCATAGAGCAGTTTGGAAAGACTCTGTCTGTAAAGTCTGCAAGTGATTAGTTAGACCCCTTTGAGGCCTTCGTTGGAAGCGGGATTTCTCATTTACTGCTAGACAGAAGAATTCTCAGTAAATCCTTTGTGTTGTGTGTATTCAACTCACAGAGTGGAACCTTCCTTTATTCAGAGCAGTTTTGAAACACTCTTTTTGTGGAATTTGCAAGTGGAGATTTCAAGCGATTTGACGCCAATCTTAGACATGGAAATATCTTCATATTAAAAGTACACAGAGTCATTCGTAGAAACTAGTTTGTGATGTGTGCCTTCAACTCACAGAGTTTAACCTTTCTTTTCATAGAGCAGTTGGGAAACACTCTATTTGTAAAGTCTGCAAGTGGATATTTGGACCTCTTTGAGGCCTTCGTTGGAAACGGGATTTCTTCATATAACGCTAGACAGAAGAATTCTCAGTAACTTCTTTGTGTTGTGTGTATTCAACTCACAGAGTTGAACCTTTCTTTATAGGGAGCAGAGGTGAAACAGTCTTTTTGTGGAATTTGCTAGTGTAGATTTCAAACGCTTCGAAGTCAGTGATAGAAAAGGATATATCTTCGTAGTAAAAGTCGACAAAATCATTCTCAGAAAACTCTTTGTGATGTGTGTGTTCAACTCACAGAGTTTAACCTTTCTTTAATCGAGCAGTTTGGAAATACACTCTTTGTAAGTCTGCAGGTGGATATTTGGCCCTCTTTGAGCCCTTCTTTGGAAACGGGATTTCCTCTTATAATGCTAGACAGAAGAATTCTCAGTAACTTCTCTGTGTTGTTTGTATTCAACACACAGATTTGAACCTTCCTTTAGAGAGAGCAGATTTGAAACACTCTGTTTTTGGAATTTGCAAGTGCAGATTTCAAGCGCTTTTAGGCCTATGGCAGAAAAGGAAATATCTTCGTATAAAAACTACACAGAATCATTCTCAGAAAACACTTTGTGATGTGTGTGTTCAACTCACAGAGTTTAACCTTTCTTTAATCGAGCAGTTTGGAAATACACTCTTTGTAAGTCTGCAGCTGGATAATTGTCCCTCTAGGAGCCCTTCGTTGGAAACGGGATTTCCTCTTATAATGCTAGACAGAAGAATTCTCAGTAACTTCTTTGTGTTGTTTGTATTCAACTCACAGATTTGAACCTTCCTTTAGAGAGAGCAGATTTGAAACACTCTGTTTTTGGAATTTGCAAGTGCAGATTACAAGCGCTTCTAGGCCTATGGCAGAAAAGGAAATATCTTCGTATAAAAACTACACAGAATCATTCTCAACAACTACTTTGTGATGTGTGCGTTCAACTCACAGAGTTTAACCTTTCTTTTCATAGAGCAGTTTGGAAACACTCTGTTTGTAAAGTCTGCAGGTGCTTATTTGGACTTCTTTGAGGCCTTCGTTGGAAACGGGATTTCTTCATATAATGCTAGACAGAAGAATTCTCAGTCACTTCCTTGTGTTGTGTGTATTCAAGTCACAGAGTTGAACCTTCCTTTACACAGAGCAGTTTTGAAAAACTCTTTCTGTGGAATTTGCAAGTGGAGATTTCAAGCGATTTGAGGCTAATCTTTGAAATGGAAATATCTTCGTGTAAAAACTACACAGAATCATTCTCAGAAACTGCTTTGTTATGTGTGCGTTCAGCTCACAGAGTTCCACCTTTCTTCTCATAGAGCAGTTTGGAAAGACTCTGTCTGTAAAGTCTGCAAGTGATTACTTGGACCCCTTTGAGGACTTCGTTGGAAGCGGGATTTTTTCATTTACTGCTAGACAGAAGAATTCTCAGTAAATCCTTTGTGTTGTGTGTATTCAACTCACAGAGTGGAACCTTCCTTTATTCAGAGCACTTTTGAAACACTCTTTTTGTGGAATTTGCAAGTGGAGATTTCAAGCGAATTCACGCCAATCTTAGACATGGAAACATCTTCGTATTAAAAGTACACAGAGTCATTCGCAGAAACTAGTTTGTGATGTGTGCCTTCAACTCACGGAGTTTAACCTTTCTTTTCATAGAGCAGTTTGGAAACACTCTATTTGTAAAGTCTGCAAGTGGATATTTGGACCTCTTTGAGGCCTTCGTTGGAAACGGGATTTCTTCATATAACGCTCGACAGAAGAATTCTCAGTAACTTCTTTGTGTTGTGTGTTTTCAACTCACAGAGTTGAACCTTTCTTGAGAGAGAGCAGAGTTGAAACACTCTTTCTGTGGAATTTGCTAGTGCAGATTTCAAACGCTTCGAAGACAGTGATAGAAAAGGATATATCTTCGTATTAAAACTAGACAAAATCATTCTCAGAAAACACTTTGTGATGTGTGTGTTCAACTCACAGAGTTTAACCTTTCTTTAATCGAGCAGTTTGGAAATACACTCTTTGTAAGTCTGCAGCTGGATAATTGTCCCTCTATGAGCCCTTCGTTGGAAACGGGATTTCCTCTTATAATGCTAGACAGAAGAATTCTCAGTAACTTCTTTGTGTTGTTTGTATTCAACTCACAGATTTGAACCTTCCTTTAGAGAGAGCAGATTTGAAAGACTCTGTTTTTGGAATTTGCAAGTGCAGATTGCAAGCGCTTCTAGGCCTATGGCAGAAAAGGAAATATCTTTGTATAAAAACTACACAGAATCATTCTCAACAACTACTTTGTGATGTGTGCGTTCAACTCACAGAGTTTAACCTTTCTTTTCATAGAGCAGTTTGGAAACACTCTGTTTGTAAAGTCTGCAGGTGCTTATTTGGACTTCTTTGAGGCCTTCGTTGGAAACGGGATTTCTTCATGTAATGCTAGACAGAAGAATTCTCAGTCACTTCTTTGTGTTGTGTGTATTCAAGTCACAGAGTTGAACCTTCCTTTACACAGAGCAGTTTTGAAAAACTCTTTCTGTGGAATTTGCAAGTGGAGATTTCAAGCGATTTGAGGCTAATCTTTGAAATGGAAATAGCTTCGTGTAAAAACTACACAGAATCATTCTCAGAAACTGCTTTGTTATGTGTGCGTTCAGCTCACAGAGTTCCACCTTTCTTTTCATAGAGCAGTTTGGAAAGACTCTGTCTGTAAAGTCTGCAAGTGATTACTTGGACACCTTTGAGGACTTCGTTGGAAGCGGGATTTTTTCATTTACTGCTAGACATAAGAATTCTCAGTAAATCCTTTGTGTTGTGTGTATTCAACTCACAGAGTGGAACCTTCCTTTATTCAGAGCAGTTTTGAAACACTCTTTTTGTGGAATTTGCAAGTGGAGATTTCAAGCGAATTCACGCCAATCTTAGACATGGAAACATCTTCGTATTAAAAGTACACAGAGTCATTCGCAGAAACTAGTTTGTGATGTGTGCCTTCAACTCACGGAGTTTAACCTTTCTTTTCATAGAGCAGTTTGGAAACACTCTATTTGTAAAGTCTGCAAGTGGATATTTGGACCTCTTTGAGGCCTTCGTTGGAAACGGGATTTCTTCATATAACGCTAGACAGAAGAATTCTCAGTAACTTCTTTGTGTTGTGTGTATTCAACTCACAGAGTTGAACCTTTCTTGAGAGAGATCAGAGTTGAAACACTCTGTGTGTGGAATTTGCTAGTGCAGATTTCAAACGCTTCGAAGACAGTGATAGAAAAGGATATATCTTCGTATTAAAACTAGACAAAAATCATTCTCAACAACTACTTTGTGATGTGTGCGTTCAACTCACAGAGTTTAACCTTTCTTTTCATAGAGCAGTTTGGAAACACTCTGTTTGTAAAGCCTGCAAGTGCTTTTTTGGACTTCATTGAGGCCTTCGTTGGAAACGGGATTTCTTCATATAATGCTAGACAGAAGAATTCTCAGTCACTTCTTTGTGTTGTGTGTATTCAAGTCACAGAGTTGAACCTTCCTTTAGACAGAGCAGTTTTGAAAAATTCTTTCTGTGGAGTTTGCAAGTGGAGATTTCAAGCGATTTGAGGCTAATCTTTGAAATGGAAATATCTTCGTGTAAAAACTACACAGAATCATTCTCAGAAACTGCTTTGTCATCTGTGCGTTCAGTTCACAGAGTTTCACCTTTCTCTTCATAGAGCAGTTTGGAAAGACTCTGTCTGTAAAGTCTGCAAGTGATTAGTTAGACCCCTTTGAGGCCTTCGTTGGAAGCGGGATTTCTCATTTACTGCTAGACAGAAGAATTCTCAGTAAATCCTTTGTGTTGTGTGTATTCAACTCACAGAGTGGAACCTTCCTTTATTCAGAGCAGTTTTGAAAAACACTTTTTGTGGAATTTGCAAATGGAGATTTCAACCGATTTGACGGCAATCTTAGACATGGAAATATCTTCATATTAAAAGTACACAGAGTCATTCGTAGAAACTAGTTTGTGATGTGTGCCTTCAACTCACAGAGTTTAACCTTTCTTTTCATAGAGCAGTTTGGAAACACTCTGTTTGTAAAGCCTGCAAGTGCTTTTTTGGACTTCATTGAGGCCTTCGTTGGAAACGGGATTTCTTCATACAACGCTAGACAGAAGAATTCTCACTAACTTCTTTGTGTTGTGTGTATTCAACTCACAGAGTTGAACCTTTCTTTAGAGAGAGCAGAGCTGAAACACTCTGTTTTTGGAATTTGCAAGGGGAGATTTCAAGCGATTCTAGGCCTATGGCAGAAAAGGAATTATCTTCGTATAAAAACTACACAGAATCATTCTCAACAACTACTTTGTGATGTGTGCGCTCCACTCACAAAGTTTAACCTTTCTTTTCATAGAGCAGTTTGGAAACACTCTGCTTGTAAAGCCTGCCAGTGCCTTTTTCGACTTCATTGAGGCCTTCGTTGGAAACGGGATTTCTTCATATAATGCTAGACAGAAGAATTCTCAGTAAATCCTTTGTGTTGTGTGTATTCAACTCACAGAGTGGAACCTTCCTTTATTCAGAGCAGTTTTGAAACACTCTTTTTGTGGAATTTGCAAGTGGAGATTTCAAGCGATTTGACGCCAATCTTAGACATGGAAATATCTTCATATTAAAAGTACACAGAATCATTCGTAGAAACAAGTTTGTGTTGTGTGCCTTCAACTCACAGAGTTTAACCTTTCTTTTCATAGAGCAGTTCGGAAACATTCTATTTGTAAAGTCTGCAAGTGGATATTTGGACCTCTTTGAGGCCTTCGTTGGAAAAGGGATTTCTTCATATAACGCTAGACAGAAGAATTCTCAGTAACTTCTTTGTGTTGTGTGTATTCAACTCACAGAGTTGAACCTTTCTTTAGAGAGAGCAGAGTTGAAACACTCTTTTTGTGGAATTTGCTAGTGCAGATTTCAAACGCTTCGAAGACAGTGATAGCAAAGGATATATCTTCGTATTAAAACTAGACAAAATCATTCTCAGAAAACACTTTGTGATGTGTGTGTTCAACTCACAGAGTTTAACCTTTCTTTAATCGAGCAGTTTGGAAATACACTCTTTGTAAGTCTGCAGGTGGATAATTGGCCCTCTTTGAGCCCTTCATTGGAAACGGGATTTCCTCATATAATGCTAGACAGAAGAATTCTCAGTAACTTCTTTGTGTTGTTTGTATTCAACTCACAGATTTGAACCTTCCTTTAGAGAGAGCAGATTTGAAACACTCTGTTTTTGGAATTTGCAAGTGCAGATTTCAAGCGCTTCTAGGCCTATGGCAGAAAAGGAAATATGTTCGTATAAAAACTACACAGAATCATTATCAACAACTACTTTGTGATGTGTGCTTTCAACTCACAGAGTTTAACCTTTCTTTTCTTAGAGCAGTTTGGAAACACTCTGTTTGTAAAGCCTGCAAGTGCTTTTTTGGACTTCATTGAGGCCTTCGTTGGAAACGGGATTTCTTCATATAATGCTAGCAGAAGAATTCTCAGTCAGTTCTTTGTGTTGTGTGTATTCAAGTCACAGAGTTGAACCTTCTTTTAGCAGAGCAGTTTTGAAAAATTCTTTCTGTGGAATTTGCAAGTGGAGATTTCAAGCGATTTGAGGCTAATCTTTGAAATGGAAATATCTTCGTGTAAAAACTACACAGAATCATTCTCAGAAACTGCTTTGTTATCTGTGCGTTCAGTTCACAGAGTTTCACCTTTCTCTTCATAGAGCAGTTTGGAAAGACTCTGTCTGTAAGTCTGCAAGTGATTAGTTAGACCCCTTTGAGGCCTTCGTTGGAAGCGGGATTTCTCATTTACTGCTAGACAGAAGAATTCTCAGTAAATCCTTTGTGTTGTGTGTATTCAACTCACAGAGTGGAACCTTCCTTTATTCAGAGCAGTTTTGAAAAACACTTTTTGTGGAATTTGCAAGTGGAGATTTCAAGCGATTTGACGCCAATCTTAGACATGGAAATATCTTCATATTAAAAGTACACAGAGTCATTCGTAAAAACTAGTTTGTGATGTGTGCCTTCAACTCACAGAGTTTAACCTTTCTTTTCATAGAGCAGTTTGGAAACACTCTGTTTGTAAAGTCTGCAAGTGGATATTTGGACCTCTTTGAGGCCTTCGTTGGAAACGGGATTTCTTCATACAACGCTAGACAGAAGAATTCTCAGTAACTTCTTTGTGTTGTGTGTATTCAACTCACAGTGTTGAACCTTTCTTTAGAGAGAGCAGAGTTGAAACACTCTGTTTTTGGAATTTGCAAGTGCAGATTTCAAGCCATTCTAGGCCTATGGCAGAAAAGGAAATATCTTCGTATAAAAACTACACAGAATCATTCTCAACAACTACTTTGTGATGTGTGCGTTCAACTCACAGAGTTTAACCTTTCTTTTCATAGAGCAGTTTGGAAACACTCTGTTTGTAAAGCCTGCAAGTGCTTTTTTGGACTTCATTGAGGCCTTCGTTGGAAACGGGATTTCTTCATACAACGCTAGACAGAAGAATTCTCAGTTACTTCTTTGTGTTGTGTGTATTCAACTCACAGAGTTGAACCTTTCTTTAGAGAGAGCAGATTTGAAACACTCTGTTTTTGGAATTTGCAAGTGCAGATTTTAAGCGCTTCTAGGCCTATGGCAGAAAAGGAAATATCTTCGTATAAAAACTACACAGAATCATTCTCAACAACTACTTTGTGATGTGCGCGTTCAACTCACAGAGTTTTACCTTTCTTTTCATAGAGCAGTTTGGAAACACTCTGTTTTTAAAGTCTGCAAGTGCTTATTTGGACTTCTTTGAGGCCTTCGTTGGAAACGGGAGTTCTTCATATAATGCTAGACAGAAGAATTCTCAGTCACTTCTTTGTGTTGTGTGTATTCAAGTCACAGAGTTGAACCTTCCTTTAGACAGAGCAGTTTTGAAAAATTCTTTCTGTGGAATTTGCAAGTGGAGATTTCAAGCGATTTGAGGCTAATCTTTGAAATGGAAATATCTTCGTGTAAAAACTACACAGAATCATTCTCAGAAACTGCTTTGTCATCTGTGCGTTCAGTTCACAGAGTTTCACCTTTCTCTTCATAGAGCAGTTTGGAAAGACTCTGTCTGTAAAGTCTGCAAGTGACTAGTTAGACCCCTTTGAGGCCTTCGTTGGAATCGGGATTTCTCATTTACTGCTAGACAGAAGAATTCTCAGTAAATCCTTTGTGTTGTGTGTATTCAACTCACAGAGTGGAACCTTCCTTTATTCAGAGCAGTTTTGAAACACTGTTTTTGTGGAATTTGCAAGTGGAGATTTCAAGCGATTTGACGCCAATCTTAGACATGGAAATATCTTCATATTAAAAGTACACAGAGTCATTCGTAGAAACTAGTTTGTGATGTGTGCCTTCAACTCACAGAGTTTAACCTTTCTTTTCATAGAGCAGTTGGGAAACACTCTATTTGTAAAGTCTGCAAGTGGATATTTGGACCTCTTTGAGGCCTTCGTTGGAAACGGGATTTCTTCATATAACGCTAGACAGAAGAATTCTCAGTAACTTCTTTGTGTTGTGTGTATTCAACTCACAGAGTTGAACCTTTCTTTAGAGGGAGCAGAGGTGAAACACTCTTTTTGTGGAATTTGCTAGTGTAGATTTCAAACGCTTCGAAGACAGTGATAGAAAAGGATATATCTTCGTATTAAAAGTAGACAAAATCATTCTCAGAAAACTCTTTGTGATGTGTGTGTTCAACTCACAGATTTTAACCTTTCTTTAATCGAGCAGTTTGGAAATACACTCTTTGTAAGTCTGCAGGTGGATATTTGGCCCTCTTTGAGCCCTTCGTTGGAAACGGGATTTCCTCATATAATGCTAGACAGAAGAATTCTCAGTAACTTCTTTGTGTTGTGTGTATTCAACTCACAGAGTTGAATCTTCCTTTAGAGAGAGCAGAGTTGAAACACTCTGTTTTTGGAATTTGCAACTGCAGATTTCAAGCGCTTCTAGGCCTATGGCAGAAAAGGAAATATCTTCGTATAAAAACTACACAGAATCATTCTCAACAACTACTTTGTGATGTGTGCGTTCAACTCACAGAGTTTAACCTTTCTTTTCATAGAGCAGTTTGGAAACACTCTGTTTGTAAAGCCTGCAAGTGCTTTTTTGGACTTCATTGAGGCCTTCGTTGGAAACGGGATTTCTTCATATAATGCTAGACAGAAGAATTCTCAGTCACTTCTTTGTGTTGTGTGTATTCAAGTCACAGAGTTGAACCTTCCTTTAGACAGAGCAGTTTTGAAAAATTCTTTCTGTGGAGTTTGCAAGTGGAGATTTCAAGCGATTTGAGGCTAATCTTTGAAATGGAAATATCTTCGTGTAAAAACTACACAGAATCATTCTCAGAAACTGCTTTGTCATCTGTGCGTTCAGTTCACAGAGTTTCACCTTTCTCTTCATAGAGCAGTTTGGAAAGACTCTGTCTGTTAAAGTCTGCAAGTGATTAGTTAGACCCCTTTGAGGCCTTCGTTGGAAGCGGGATTTCTCATTTACTGCTAGACAGAAGAATTCTCAGTAAATCCTTTGTGTTGCGTGTATTCAACTCACAGAGTGGAACCTTCCTTTATTCAGAGCAGTTTTGAAACACTCTTTTTGTGGAATTTGCAAGTGGAGATTTCAAGAGATTTGACGCCAATCTTAGACATGGAAATATCTTCATATTAAAAGTACACAGAGTCATTCGTAGAAACTGGTTTGTGATGTGTGCCTTCAACTCACAGAGTTTAACCTTTCTTTTCATAGAGCAGTTCGGAAACACTCTATTTGTAAAGTCTGCAAGTGGATATTTGGACCTCTTTGAGGCCTTCGTTAGAAACGGGATTTCTTCATATAACGCTAGACAGAAGAATTCTCAGTAACTTCTTTGTGTTGTGTGTATTCAACTCACAGAGTTGAACCTTTCTTCAGAGAGAGCAGAGTTGAAACACTCTTTTTGTGGAATTTGCTAGTGCAGATTTCAAACGCTTCGAAGACAGTGATAGAAAAGGACATATCTTCGTATTAAAACTAGACAAAATCATTCTCAGAAAACACTTTGTGATGTGTGTGTTCAACTCACAGAGTTTAACCTTTCTTTAATCGAGCAGTTTGGAAATGCACTCTTTGTAAGTCTGCAGGTGGATAATTGTCCCTCTATGAGCCCTTCGTTGGAAACGGGATTTCCTCATATAATGCTAGACAGAAGTATTCTCAGTAACTTCTTTGTGTTGTTTGTATTCAACTCACAGATTTGAAACTTCCTTTAGAGGGAGCAGATTTGAAACACTCTGTTTTTGGAATTTGCAAGTGCAGATTGCAAGCGCTTCTAGGCCTATGGCAGAAAAGGAAATATCTTCGTATAAAAACTACACAGAATCATTCTCAACAACTACTTTGTGATGTGTGCGTTCAACTCACAGAGTTTAACCTTTCTTTTCATAGAGCAGTTTGGAAACACTCTGTTTGTAAAGTCTGCAGGTGCTTATTTGGACTTCTTTGAGGCCTTCGTTGGAAACGGGATTTCTTCATATAATGCTAGACAGAAGAATTCTCAGTCACTTCTTTGTGTTGTGTGTATTCAAGTCACAGAGTTGAACCTTCCTTTACACAGAGCAGTTTTGAAAAACTCTTTCTGTGGAATTTGCAAGTGGAGATTTCAAGCGATTTGAGGCTAATCTTTGAAATGGAAATATCTTCGTGTAAAAACTACACAGAATCATTCTCAGAAACTGCTTTGTTATGTGTGCGTTCAGCTCACAGAGTTCCACCTTTCTTTTCATAGAGCAGTTTGGAAAGACTCTGTCTGTAAAGTCTGCAAGTGATTACTTGGACCCCTTTGAGGACTTCGTTGGAAGCGGGATTTTTTCATTTACTGCTAGACAGAAGAATTCTCAGTAAATCCTTTGTGTTGTGTGTATTCAACTCACAGAGTGGAACCTTCCTTTATTCAGAGCAGTTTTGAAACACTCTTTTTGTGGAATTTGCAAGTGGAGATTTCAAGCGAATTCACGACAATCTTAGACATGGAAACATCTTCGTATTAAAAGTACACAGAGTCATTCGCAGAAACTAGTTTGTGATGTGTGCCTTCAACCTCACAGAGTTTAACCTTTCTTTTCATAGAGCAGTTTGGAAACACTCTATTTGTAAAGTCTGCAAGTGGATATTTGGACCTCTTTGAGGCCTTCGTTGGAAACGGGATTTCTTCATATAACGCTAGACAGAAGAATTCTCAGTAACTTCTTTGTGTTGTGTGTATTCCACTCACAGAGTTGAACCTTTCTTGAGAGAGAGCAGATTTGAAACACTCTTTTTCTGGAATTTGCTAGTGCAGATTTCAAACGCTTGGAAGACAATGATAGAAAAGGATATATCTTCGTATTAAAACTAGACAAAATCATTCTCAGAAAACACTTTGTGATGTGTGTGTTCAACTCACAGAGTTTAACCTTTCTTTAATCGAGCAGTTTGGAAATACACTCTTTGTAAGTCTGCAGCTGGATAATTGTCCCTCTATGAGCCCTTCGTTGGAAACGGGATTTCCTCTTATAATGCTAGACAGAAGAATTCTCAGTAACTTCTTTGTGTTGTTTGTATTCAACTCACAGATTTGAACCTTCCTTTGGAGAGAGCAGATTTGAAACACTCTGTTTTTGGAATTTGCAAGTGCAGATTGCAAGCGCTTCCAGGCCTATGGCAGAAAAGGAAATATCTTCGTATAAAAACTACACAGAATCATTCTCAACAACTACTTTGTGATGTGTGCGTTCAACTCACAGAGTTTAACCTTTCTTTTCATAGAGCAGTTTGGAAACACTCTGTTTGTAAAGCCTGCAAGTGCTTTTTTGGACTTCATTGAGGCCTTCGTTGGAAACGGGATTTCTTCATGTAATGCTAGACAGAAGAATTCTCAGTCACTTCTTTGTGTTGTGTGTATTCAAGTCACAGAGTTGAACCTTCCTTTAGACAGAGCAGTTTTGAAAAATTCTTTCTGTGGAGTTTGCAAGTGGAGATTTCAAGCGATTTGAGGCTAATCTTTGAAATGGAAATATCTTCGTGTAAAAACTACACAGAATCATTCTCAGAAACTGCTTTGTCATCTGTGCGTTCAGTTCACAGAGTTTCACCTTTCTCTTCATAGAGCAGTTTGGAAAGACTCTGTCTGTAAAGTCTGCAAGTGATTAGTTAGACCCCTTTGAGGCCTTCGTTGGAAGCGGGATTTCTCATTTACTGCTAGACAGAAGAATTCTCAGTAAATCCTTTGTGTTGTGTGTATTCAACTCACAGAGTGGAACCTTCCTTTATTCAGAGCAGTTTTGAAACACTCTTTTTGTGGAATTTGCAAGTGGAGATTTCAAGCGATTTGACGCCAATCTTAGACATGGAAATATCTTCATATTAAAAGTACACAGAGTCATTCGTAGAAACTAGTTTGTGATGTGTGCCTTCAACTCACAGAGTTTAACCTTTCTTTTCATAGAGCAGTTGGGAAACACTCTATTTGTAAAGTCTGCAAGTGGATATTTGGACCTCTTTGAGGCCTTCGTTGGAAACGGGATTTCTTCATATAACGCTAGACAGAAGAATTCTCAGTAACTTCTTTGTGTTGTGTGTATTCAACTCACAGAGTTGAACCTTTCTTTAGAGGGAGCAGAGGTGAAACACTCTTTTTGTGGAATTTGCTAGTGTAGATTTCAAACGCTTCGAAGACAGTGATAGAAAAGGATATATCTTCGTATTAAAAGTAGACAAAATCATTCTCAGAAAACTCTTTGTGATGTGTGTGTTCAACTCACAGAGTTTAACCTTTCTTTAATCGAGCAGTTTGGAAATACACTCTTTGTAAGTCTGCAGGTGGATATTTGGCCCTCTTTGAGCCCTTCGTTGGAAACGGGATTTCCTCATATAATGCTAGACAGAAGAATTCTCAGTAACTTCTTTGTGTTGTTTGTATTCACCACACAGATTTGAACCTTCCTTTAGAGAGAGCAGATTTGAAACACTCTGTTTTTGGAATTTGCAAGTGCAGATTTCAAGCGCTTCTAGGCCTATGGCAGAAAAGGAAATATCTTCGTATAAAAACTACACAGAATCATTCTCAGAAAACACTTTGTGATGTGTGTGTTCAACTCACAGAGTTTAACCTTTCTTTAATCGAGCAGTTTGGAAATACACTCTTTGTAAGTCTGCAGGTGGATAATTGTCCCTCTATGAGCCCTTCGTTGGAAACGGGATTTCCTCATATAATGCTAGACAGAAGAATTCTCAGTAACTTCTTTGTGTTGTTTGTATTGAACTCACAGATTTGAACCTTCCTTTAGAGAGAGCAGATTTGAAACACTCTGTTTTTGGAATTTGCAAGTGCAGATTGCAAGCGCTTCTAGGCCTATGGCAGAAAAGGAAATATCTTCGTATAAAAACTACACAGAATCATTCTCAACAACTACTTTGTGATGTGTGCGTTCAACTCACAGAGTTTAACCTTTCTTTTCATAGAGCAGTTTGGAAACACTCTGTTTGTAAAGTCTGCAGGTGCTTATTTGGACTTCTTTGAGGCCTTCGTTGGAAACGGGATTTCTTCATATAATGCTAGACAGAAGAATTCTCAGTCACTTCTTTGTGTTGTGTGTATTCAAGTCACAGAGTTGAACCTTCCTTTACACAGAGCAGTTTTGAAAAACTCTTCCTGTGGAATTTGCAAGTGGAGATTTCAAGCGATTTGAGGCTAATCTTTGAAATGGAAATATCTTCGTGTAAAATCTACACAGAATCATTGTCAGAAACTGCTTTGTTATGTGTGCGTTCAGCTCACAGAGTTCCACCTTTCTTTTCATAGAGCAGTTTGGAAAGACTCTGTCTGTAAAGTCTGCAAGTGATTACTTGGACCCCTTTGAGGACTTCGTTGGAAGCGGGATTTTTTCATTTACTGCTAGACAGAAGAATTCTCAGTAAATCCTTTGTGTTGTGTGTATTCAACTCACAGAGTGGAACCTTCCTTTATTCAGAGCAGTTTTGAAACACTCTTTTTGTGGAATTAGGAAGTGGAGATTTCAAGCGAATTCAGGCCAATCTTAGACATGGAAACATCTTCGTATTAAAAGTACACAGAGTCATTCGCAGAAACTAGTTTGTGATGTGTGCCTTCAACTCACAGAGTTTAACCTTTCTTTTCATAGAGCAGTTTGGAAACACTCTATTTGTAAAGTCTGCAAGTGGATATTTGGACCTCTTTGAGGCCTTCGTTGGAAACGGGATTTCTTCATATAACGCTAGACAGAAGAATTCTCAGTAACTTCTTTGTGTTGTTTGTATTCAACACACAGATTTGAACCTTCCTTTAGAGAGAGCAGATTTGAAACACTCTGTTTTTGGAATTTGCAAGTACAGATTTCAAGTGCTTCTAGGCCTATGGCAGAAAAGGAAATATCTTCGTATAAAAACTGCACAGAATCATTCTCAGAAAACACTTTGTGATGTGTGTGTTCAACTCACAGAGTTTAACCTTTCTTTAATCGAGCAGTTTGGAAATACACTCTTTGTAAGTCTGCAGCTGGATAATTGTCCCTCTATGAGCCCTTCGTTGGAAACGGGATTTCCTCTTATAATGCTAGACAGAAGAATTCTCAGTAACTTCTTTGTGTTGTTTGTATTCAACTCACAGATTTGAACCTTCCTTTGGAGAGAGCAGATTTGAAACACTCTGTTTTTGGAATTTGCAAGTGCAGATTGCAAGCGCTTCTAGGCCTATGGCAGAAAAGGAAATATCTTCGTATAAAAACTACACAGAATCATTCTCAACAACTACTTTGTGAATGTGTGCGTTCAACTCACAGAGTTTTACCTTTCTTTTCATAGAGCAGTTTGGAAACACTCTGTTTGTAAAGTCTGCAGGTGCTTATTTGGACTTCTTTGAGGCCTTCGTTGGAAACGGGATTTCTTCGTATAATGCTAGACAGAAGAATTCTCAGTCACTTCTTTGTGTTGTGTGTATTCAAGTCACAGAGTTGAACCTTCCTTTACACAGAGCAGTTTTGAAAAACTCTTTCTGTGGAATTTGCAAGTGGAGATTTCAAGCGATTTGAGGCTAATCTTTGAAATGGAAATATCTTCGTGTAAAAACTACACAGAATCATTCTCAGAAACTGCTTTGTTATGTGTGCGTTCAGCTCACAGAGTTCCACCTTTCTTTTCATAGAGCAGTTTGGAAAGACTCTGTCTGTAAAGTCTGCAAGTGATTACTTGGACCCCTTTGAGGACTTCGTTGGAAGCGGGATTTTTTCATTTACTGCTAGACAGAAGAATTCTCAGTAAATCCTTTGTGTTGTGTGTATTCAACTCACAGAGTGGAACCTTCCTTTATTTAGAGCAGTTTTGAAACACTCTTTTTGTGGAATTTGCAAGTGGAGATTTCAAGCGAATTCACGCCAATCTTAGACATGGAAACATCTTCGTATTAAAAGTACACAGAGTCATTCGCAGAAACTAGTTTGTGATGTGTGAGTTCAATTCACAGAGTTTAATCTTTCTTTTCATAGAGCAGTTTGGAAACACTCTATTTGTAAAGTCTGCAAGTGGATATTTGGACCTCTTTGACGCCTTCTTTGGAAACGGGATTTCTTCGTATAACGCTAGACAGAAGAATTCTCAGTAACTTCTTTGTGTTGTGTGTATTCAACTCACAGAGTTGAACCTTTCTCTAGAGAGAGCAGATTTGAAACACTCTTTTTGTGGAATTTGCTAGTGCAGATTTCAAACGCTTCGAAGACAATGATAGAAAAGGATATATCTTCGTATTAAAACTAGACAAAATCATTCTCAGAAAACACTTTGTGATGTGTGTGTTCAACTCACAGAGTTTAACCTTTCTTTAATCGAGCAGTTTGGAAATACACTCTTTGTAAGTCTGCAGCTGGATAATTGTCCCTCTATGAGCCCTTCGTTGGAAACGGGATTTCCTCTTATAATGCTAGACAGAAGAATTCTCAGTAACTTCTTTGTGTTGTTTGTATTCAACTCACAGATTTGAACCTTCCTTTGGAGAGAGCAGATTTGAAACACTCTGTTTTTGGAATTTGCAAGTGCAGATTGCAAGCGCTTCTAGGCCTATGGCAGAAAAGGAAATATCTTCGTATAAAAACTACACAGAATCATTCTCAACAACTACTTTGTGATGTGTGCGTTCAACTCACAGAGTTTTACCTTTCTTTTCATAGAGCAGTTTGGAAACACTCTGTTTGTAAAGTCTGCAGGTGCTTATTTGGACTTCTTTGAGGCCTTCGTTGGAAACGGGATTTCTTCGTATAATGCTAGACAGAAGAATTCTCAGTCACTTCTTTGTGTTGTGTGTATTCAAGTCACAGAGTTGAACCTTCCTTTACACAGAGCAGTTTTGAAAAACTCTTTCTGTGGAATTTGCAAGTGGAGATTTCAAGCTATTTGAGGCTAATCTTTGAAATGGAAATATCTTCGTGTAAAAACTACACAGAATCATTCTCAGAAACTGCTTTGTTATGTGTGCGTTCAGCTCACAGAGTTCCACCTTTCTTTTCATAGAGCAGTTTGGAAAGACTCTGTCTGTAAAGTCTGCAAGTGATTACTTGGACCCCTTTGAGGACTTCGTTGGAAGCGGGATTTTTTCATTTACTGCTAGACAGAAGAATTCTCAGTAAATCCTTTGTGTTGTGTGTATTCAACCTTCCTTTATTCAGAGCAGTTTTGAAACACTCTTTTTGTGGAATTTGCAAGTGGAGATTTCAAGCGAATTCATGCCAATCTTAGACATGGAAACATCTTCGTATTAAAAGTACACAGAGTCATTCGTAGAAACTAGTTTGTGATGTGTGCCTTCAACTCACAGAGTTTGACCTTTCTTTTCATAGAGCAGTTCGGAAACACTCTATTTGTAAAGTCTGCAAGTGGATATTTGGACCTCTTTGAGGCCTTCGTTGGAAACGGGATTTCTTCATATAACGCTAGGCAGAAGAATTCTCAGTAACTTCTTTGTGTTGTGTGTATTCAACTCACAGAGTTGAACCCTTCTTTAGAGAGAGCAGAGTTGAGACACTCTTTTTGTGGAATTTGCTAGTGCAGATTTCAAACGCTTCGAAGACAGTGATAGAAAAGGATATATCTTCGTATTAAAACTAGACAAAATCATTCTCAGAAAACACTTTGTGATGTGTGTGTTCAACTCACAGAGTTTAACCTTTCTTTAATCGAGCAGTTTGGAAATACACTCTTTGTAAGTCTGCAGCTGGATAATTGTCCCTCTATGAGCCCTTCGTTGGAAACGGGATTTCCTCTTATAATGCTAGACAGAAGAATTCTCAGTAACTTCTTTGTGTTGTTTGTATTCAACTCACAGATTTGAACCTTCCTTTGGAGAGAGCAGATTTGAAACACTCTGTTTTTGGAATTTGCAAGTGCAGATTGCAAGCGCTTCTAGGCCTATGGCAGAAAAGGAAATATCTTCGTATAAAAACTACACAGAATCATTCTCAACAACTACTTTGTGATGTGTGCGTTCAACTCACAGAGTTTAACCTTTCTTTTCATAGAGCAGTTTGGAAACACTCTGTTTGTAAAGTCTGCAGGTGCTTATTTGGATTTCTTTGAGGCCTTCGTTGGAAACGGGATTTCTTCATATAATGCTAGACAGAAGAATTCTCAGTCACTTCTTTGTGTTGTGTGTATTCAAGTCACAGAGTTGAACCTTCCTTTACACAGAGCAGTTTTGAAAAACTCTTTCTGTGGAATTTGCAACTGGAGATTTCAAGCGATTTGAGGCTAATCTTTGAAATGGAAATATCTTCGTGTAAAAACTACACAGAATCATTCTCAGAAACTGCTTTGTTATGTGTGCGTTCAGCTCACAGAGTTCCACCTTTCTTTTCATAGAGCAGTTTGGAAAGACTCTGTCTGTAAAGTCTGCAAGTGATTACTTGGACCTCTTTGAGGACTTCGTTGGAAGCGGGATTTTTTCATTTACTGCTAGACAGAAGAATTCTCAGTAAATCCTTTGTGTTGTGTGTATTCAACTCACAGAGTGGAACCTTCCTTTATTCAGAGCAGTTTTGAAACACTCTTTTTGTGGAATTTGCAAGTGGAGATTTCAAGCGAATTCACGCCAATCTTAGACATGGAAACATCTTCGTATTAAAAGTACACAGAATCATTCTCAACAACTACTTTGTGATGTGTGCGTTCAACTCACAGAGTTTAACCTTTCTTTTCATAGAGCAGTTTGGAAACACTCTGTTTGTAAAGCCTGCAAGTGCTTTTTTGGACTTCATTGAGGCCTTCGTTGGAAACGGGATTTGTTCATACAACGCTAGACAGAAGATTTCTCAGTAACTTCTTTGTGTTGTGTGTATTCAACTCACAGAGTTGAACCTTTCTTTAGAGAGAGCAGAGTTGAAACACTCTGTTTTTGGAATTTGCAAGTGCAGATTTCAAGCGATTCTAGGCCTATGGCAGAAAAGGAAATATCTTCGTATAAAAACTACACAGAATCATTCTCAGAAAACACTTTGTGATGTGTGTGTTCAACTCACAGAGTTTAACCTTTCTTTAATCGAGCAGTTTGGAAATACACTCTTTGTAAGTCTGCAGCTGGATAATTGTCCCTCTATGAGCCCTTCGTTGGAAACGGGATTTCCTCTTATAATGCTAGACAGAAGAATTCTCAGTAACTTCTTTGTGTTGTTTGTATTCAACTCACAGATTTGAACCTTCCTTTGGAGAGAGCAGATTTGAAACACTCTGTTTTTGGAATTTGCAAGTGCAGATTGCTAGCACTTCTAGGCCTATGGCAGAAAATTAAATATCTTCGTATAAAAACTACACAGAATCATTCTCAACAACTACTTTGTGATGTGTGCGTTCAACTCACAGAGTTTAACCTTTCTTTTCATAGAGCAGTTTGGAAACACTCTGTTTGTAAAGTCTGCAGGTGCTTATTTGGACTTCTTTGAGGCCTTCGTTGGAAACGGGATTTCTTCATATAATGCTAGACAGAAGAATTCTCAGTCACTTCTTTGTGTTGTGTGTATTCAAGTCACAGAGTTGAACCTTCCTTTACACAGAGCAGTTTTGAAAAACTCTTTCTGTGGAATTTGCAAGTGGAGATTTCAAGCGATTTGAGGCTAATCTTTGAAATGGAAATATCTTCGTGTAAAAACTACACAGAATCATTGTCAGAAACTGCTTTGTTATGTGTGCGTTCAGCTCACAGAGTTCCACCTTTCTTTTCATAGAGCAGTTTGGAAAGACTCTGTCTGTAAAGTCTGCAAGTGATTACTTGGACCCCTTTGAGGACTTCGTTGGAAGCGGGATTTTTTCATTTACTGCTAGACAGAAGAATTCTCAGTAAATCCTTTGTGTTGTGTGTATTCAACTCACAGAGTGGAACCTTCCTTTATTCAGAGCAGTTTTGAAACACTCTTTTTGTGGAATTTGCAAGTGGAGATTTCAAGCGAATTCACGCCAATCTTAGACATGGAAACATCTTCGTATTAAAAGTACACAGAGTCATTCGCAGAAACTACTTTGTGATGTGTGCCTTCAACTCACAGAGTTTAACCTTTCTTTTCATAGAGCAGTTTGGAAACACTCTATTTGTAAAGTCTGCAAGTGGATATTTGGACCTCTTTGAGGCCTTCTTTGGAAACGGGATTTCTTCATGTAACGCTAGACAGAAGAATTCTCAGTAATTTCTTTGTGTTGGTTGTATTCAACTCACAGATTTGAACCTTCCTTTAGAGAGAGCAGATTTCAAACACTCTTTTTTTGGAATTTGCAAGTGCACATTTCAAGCGCTTCTAGGCCTATGGCAGAAAAGGGAATATCGTCGTATAAAAACTACACAGAATCATTCTCAGAAAACACTTTGTGATGTGTGTGTTCAACTCACAGAGTTTAACCTTTCTTTAATCGAGCAGTTTGGAAATACACTCTTTGTAAGTCTGCAGCTGGATAATTGTCCCTCTATGAGCCCTTCGTTGGAAACGGGATTTCCTCTTATAATGCTAGACAGAAGAATTCTCAGTAACTTCTTTGTGTTGTTTGTATTCAACTCACAGATGTGAACCTTCCTTTGGAGAGAGCAGATTTGAAACACTCTGTTTTTGGAATTTTCAAGTGCAGATTGCAAGCGCTTCTAGGCCTATGGCAGAAAAGGAAATATCTTCGTATAAAAACTACACAGAATCATTCTCAACAACTACTTTGTGATGTGTGCGTTCAACTCACAGAGTTTAACCTTTCTTTTCATAGAGCAGTTTGGAAACACTCTGTTTGTAAAGTCTGCAGGTGCTTATTTGGACTTCTTTGAGGCCTTCGTTGGAAACGGGATTTCTTCATATAATGCTAGACAGAAGAATTCTCAGTCACTTCTTTGTGTTGTGTGTATTCAAGTCACACAGTTGAACCTTCCTTTACACAGAGCAGTTTTGAAGAACTCTTTCTGTGGAATTTGCAAGTGGAGATTTCAAGGGATTTCAGGCTAATCTTTGAAATGGAAATATCTTCGTGTGAAAACTACACAGAATCATTCTCAGAAACTGCTTTGTTATGTGTGCGTTCAGCTCGCAGAGTTCCACCTTTCTTTTCATAGGGCAGTTTGGAAAGACTCTGTCTGTGAAGTCTGCAAGTGATAACTTGGACCCCTTTGAGGACTTCGTTGGAAGCGGGATTTTTTCATTTACTGCTAGACAGAAGAATTCTCATTAAATCCTTTGTGTTGGGTGTATTCAACTCACAGAGTTGAACCTTCCTTTATTCAGAGCAGTTTTGAAACACTCTTTTTGTGGAATTTGCAAGTGGAGATTTCAAGCGATTTGAGGCTAATCTTTGAAATGGAAATATCTTCGTGTAAAAACTGCACAGAATCATTCTCAGAAACTGCTTTGTTATGAGTGCGTTCAGTTCACAGAGTTTCACTTTTCTCTTCATAGAGCAGTTTGGAAAGACTCTGTCTGTAAAGTCTGCAAGTGATTAGTTAGACCCCTTTGAGGCCTTCGTTGGAAGCGGGATTTCTCATTTACTGCTAGACAGAAGAATTCTCAGTAAATCCTTTGTGTTGTGTGTATTCAACTCACAGAGTGGAACCTTCCTTTATTCAGAGCACTTTTGAAACACTCTTTTTGTGGAATTTGCAAGTGGAGATTTCAAGCGAATTCACGCCAATCTTAGACATGGAAACATCTTCGTATTAAAAGTACACAGAGTCATTCGCAGAAACTAGTTTGTGATGTGTGCCTTCAACTCACGGAGTTTAACCTTTCTTTTCATAGAGCAGTTTGGAAACACTCTATTTGTAAAGTCTGCAAGTGGATATTTGGACCTCTTTGAGGCCTTCGTTGGAAACGGGATTTCTTCATATAACGCTAGACAGAAGAATTCTCAGTAACTTCTTTGTGTTGTGTGTATTCAACTCACAGAGTTGAACCTTTCTTGAGAGAGAGCAGAGTTGAAACACTCTGTTTGTGGAATTTGCTAGTGCAGATTTCAAACGCTTCGAAGACAGTGATAGAAAAGGATATATCTTCGTATTAAAACTAGACAAAATCATTCTCAGAAAACACTTTGTGATGTGTGTGTTCAACTCACAGAGTTTAACCTTTCTTTAATCGAGCAGTTTGGAAATACACTCTTTGTAAGTCTGCAGCTGGATAATTGTCCCTCTATGAGCCCTTCGTTGGAAACGGGATTTCCTCTTATAATGCTAGACAGAAGAATTCTCAGTAACTTCTTTGTGTTGTTTGTATTCAACTCACAGATTTGAACCTTCCTTTAGAGAGAGCAGATTTGAAACACTCTGTTTTTGGAATTTGCAAGTGCAGATTACAAGCGCTTCTAGGCCTATGGCAGAAAAGGAAATATCTTCGTATAAAAACTACACAGAATCATTCTCAACAACTACTTTGTGATGTGTGCGTTCAACTCACAGAGTTTAACCTTTCTTTTCATAGAGCAGTTTGGAAACACTCTGTTTGTAAAGTCTGCAGGTGCTTATTTGGACTTCTTTGAGGCCTTCGTTGGAAACGGGATTTCTTCATATAATGCTAGACAGAAGAATTCTCAGTCACTTCTTTGTGTTGTGTGTATTCAAGTCACAGAGTTGAACCTTCCTTTACACAGAGCAGTTTTGAAAAACTCTTTCTGTGGAATTTGCAAGTGGAGATTTCAAGCGATTTGAGGCTAATCTTTGAAATGGAAATATCTTCGTGTAAAAACTACACAGAATCATTGTCAGAAACTGCTTTGTTATGTGTGCGTTCAGCTCACAGAGTTCCACCTTTCTTTTCATAGAGCAGTTTGGAAAGACTCTGTCTGTAAAGTCTGCAAGTGATTACTTGGACCCCTTTGAGGACTTCGTTGGAAGCGGGATTTTTTCATTTACTGCTAGACAGAAGAATTCTCAGTAAATCCTTTGTGTTGTGTGTATTCAACTCACAGAGTGGAACCTTCCTTTATTCAGAGCAGTTTTGAAACACTCTTTTTGTGGAATTTGCAAGTGGAGATTTCAAGCGAATTCACGCCAATCTTAGACATGGAAACATCTTCGTATTAAAAGTACACAGAGTCATTCGCAGAAACTAGTTTGTGATGTGTGCCTTCAACTCACGGAGTTTAACCTTTCTTTTCATAGAGCAGTTTGGAAACACTCTATTTGTAAAGTCTGCAAGTGGATATTTGGACGTCTTTGAGGCCTTCGTTGGAAACGGGATTTCTTCATATAACGCTAGACAGAAGAATTCTCAGTAACTTCTTTGTGTTGTGTGTATTCCACTCACAGAGTTGAACCTTTCTTGAGAGAGAGCAGAGTTGAAACACTCTGTTTGTGGAATTTGCTAGTGCCGATTTCAAACGCTTCGAAGACAGTGATAGAAAAGGATATATCTTCGTATTAAAACTAGACAAAATCATTCTCAGAAAACACTTTGTGATGTGTGTGTTCAACTCACAGAGTTTAACCTTTCTTTAATCGAGCAGTTTGGAAATACACTCTTTGTAAGTCTGCAGCTGGATAATTGTCCCTCTATGAGCCCTTCGTTGGAAACGGGATTTCCTCATATAATGCTAGACAGAAGAATTCTCAGTAACTTCTTTGTGTTGTTTGTATTCAACTCACAGATTTGAACCTTCCTTTAGAGAGAGCAGATTTGAAACACTCTGGTTTTGGAATTTGCAAGTGCAGATTACAAGCGCTTCTAGGCCTATGGCAGAAAAGGAAATATCTTCGTATAAAAACTACACAGAATCATTCTCAACAACTACTGTGTGATGTGTGCGTTCAACTCACAGAGTTTAACCTTTCTTTTCATAGAGCAGTTTGGAAACACTCTGTTTGTAAAGTCTGCAGGTGCTTATTTGGACTTCTTTGAGGCCTTCGTTGGAAACGGGATTTCTTCATATAATGCTAGACAGAAGAATTCTCAGTCACTTCTTTGTGTTGTGTGTATTCAAGTCACAGAGTTGAACCTTCCTTTACACAGAGCAGTTTTGAAAAACTCTTTCTGTGGAATTTGCAAGTGGAGATTTCAAGCGATTTGAGGCTAATCTTTGAAATGGAAATATCTTCGTGTAAAAACTACACAGAATCATTGTCAGAAACTGCTTTGTTATGTGTGCGTTCAGCTCACAGAGTTCCACCTTTGTTTTCATAGAGCAGTTTGGAAAGACTCTGTCTGTAAAGTCTGCAAGTGATTACTTGGACCCCTTTGAGGACTTCGTTGGAAGCGGGATTTTTTCATTTACTGCCAGACAGAAGAATTCTCAGTAAATCCTTTGTGTTGTGTGTACTCAACTCACAGAGTGGAACCTTCCTTTATTCAGAGCAGTTTTGAAACACTCTTTTTGTGGAATTTGCAAGTGGAGATTTCAAGCGAATTCACGCCAATCTTAGACATGGAAACATCTTCGTATTAAAAGTACACAGAGTCATTCGCAGAAACTAGTTTGTGATGTGTGCCTTCAACTCACGGAGTTTAACCTTTCTTTTCATAGAGCAGTTTGGAAACACTCTATTTGTAAAGTCTGCAAGTGGATATTTGGACCTCTTTGAGGCCTTCGTTGGAAACGGGATATCTTCATATAACGCTAGACAGAAGAATTCTCAGTAACTTCTTAGTGTTGTGTGTATTCCACTCACAGAGTTGAACCTTTCTTGAGAGAGAGCAGAGTTGAAACACTCTGTTTGTGGAATTTGCTAGTGCAGATTTCAAACGCTTCGAAGACAGTGATAGAAAAGGATATATCTTCGTATTAAAACTAGACAAAATCATTCTCAGAAAACACTTTGTGATGTGTGTGTTCAACTCACAGAGTTTAACCTTTCTTTAATCGAGCAGTTTGGAAATACACTCTTTGTAAGTCTGCAGCTGGATAATTGTCCCTCTATGAGCCCTTCGTTGGAAACGGGATTTCCTCATATAATGCTAGACAGAAGAATTCTCAGTAACTTCTTTGTGTTGTTTGTATTCAACTCACAGATTTGAACCTTCCTTTGGAGAGAGCAGATTTGAAACACTCTGTTTTTGGAATTTGCAAGTGCAGATTGCAAGCGCTTCTAGGCCTATGGCAGAAAAGGAAATATCTTCGTATAAAAACTACACAGAATCATTCTCAAAAACTACTTTGTGATGTGTGCGTTCAGCTCACAGAGTTTAACCTTTCTTTTCATAGAGCAGTTTGGAAACACTCTGTTTGTAAAGTCTGCAGGTGCTTATTTGGACTTCTTTGAGGCCTTCGTTGGAAACGGGATTTCTTCATATAATGCTAGACACAAGAATTCTCAGTCACTTCTTTGTGTTGTGTGTATTCAAGTCACAGAGTTGAACCTTCCTTTACACAGAGCAGTTTTGAAAAACTCTTTCTGTGGAATTTGCAAGTGGAGATGTCAAGCGATTTGAGGCTAATCTTTGAAATGGAAATATCTTCGTGTAAAAACTACACAGAATCATTCTCAGAAACTGCTTTGTTATGTGTGCGTTCAGCTCACAGAGTTCCACCTTTCTTTTCATAGAGCAGTTTGGAAAGACTCTGTCTGTAAAGTCTGCAAGTGATTACTTGGACCCCTTTGAGGACTTCGTTGGAAGCGGGATTTTTTCATTTACTGCTAGACAGAAGAATTCTCAGTAAATCCTTTGTGTTGTGTGTATTCAACTCACAGAGTGGAACCTTCCTTTATTCAGAGCAGTTTTGAAACACTCTTTTTGTGGAATTTGCAAGTGGAGATTTCAAGCGAATTCACGCCAATCTTAGACATGGAAACATCTTCGTATTAAAAGTACACAGAAGTCATTCGCAGAAACTAGTTTGTGATGTGTGCGTTCAACTCACAGAGTTTAACCTTTCTTTTCATAGAGCAGTTTGGAAACACTCTGTTTGTAAAGTCTGCAGGTGCTTATTTGGACTTCTTTGAGGCCTTCGTTGGATACGGGATTTCTTCATATAATGCTAGACAGAAGAATTCTCAGTCACTTCTTTGTGTTGTGTGTATTCAAGTCACAGAGTTGAACCTTCCTTTACACAGAGCAGTTTTGAAAAACTCTTTCTGTGGAATTTGCAAGTGGAGATTTCAAGCGATTTGAGGCTAATCTTTGAAATGGAAATAGCTTCGTGTAAAAACTACACAGAATCATTCTCAGAAACTGCTTTGTTATGTGTGCGTTCAGCTCACAGAGTTCCACCTTTCTTTTCATAGAGCAGTTTGGAAAGACTCTGTCTGTAAAGTCTGCAAGTGATTACTTGGACCCCTTTGAGGACTTCGTTGGAAGCGGGATTTTTTCATTTACTGCTAGACAGAAGAATTCTCAGTAAATCCTTTGTGTTGTGTGTATTCAACTCACAGAGTGGAACCTTCCTTTATTCAGAGCAGTTTTGAAACACTCTTTTTGTGGAATTTGCAAGTGGAGATTTCAAGCGAATTCACGCCAATCTTAGACATGGAAACATCTTCGTATTAAAAGTACACAGAGTCATTCGCAGAAACTAGTTTGTGATGTGTGCCTTCAACTCACGGAGTTTAACCTTTCTTTTCATAGAGCAGTTTGGAAACACTCTATTTGTAAAGTCTGCAAGTGGATATTTGGACCTCTTTGAGGCCTTCGTTGGAAACGGGATTTCTTCATATAACGCTAGACAGAAGAATTCTCAGTAACTTCTTTGTGTTGTGTGTATTCAACTCACAGAGTTGAACCTTTCTTGAGAGAGAGCAGAGTTGAAACACTCTGTTTGTGGAATTTGCTAGTGCAGATTTCAAACGCTTCGAAGACAGTGATAGAAAAGGATATATCTTCGTATTAAAACTAGACAAAATCATTCTCAGAAAACACTTTGTGATGTGTGTGTTCAACTCACAGAGTTTAACCTTTCTTTAATCGAGCAGTTTGGAAATACACTCTTTGTAAGTCTGCAGCTGGATAATTGTCCCTCTATGAGCCCTTCGTTGGAAACTGGATTTCCTCTTATAATGCTAGACAGAAGAATTCTCAGTAACTTCTTTGTGTTGTTTGTATTCAACTCACAGATTTGAACCTTCCTTTAGAGAGAGCAGATTTGAAAGACTCTGTTTTTGGAATTTGCAAGTGCAGATTGCAAGCGCTTCTAGGCCTATGGCAGAAAAGGAAATATCTTCGGTATAAAAACTACACAGAATCATTCTCAGAAACTGCTTTGTCATCTGTGCGTTCAGTTCACAGAGTTTCACCTTTCTCTTCATAGAGCAGTTTGGAAAGACTCTGTCTGTAAAGTCTGCAAGTGATTAGTTAGACCCCTTTGAGGCCTTCGTTGGAAGCGGGATTTCTCATTTACTGCTAGACAGAAGAATTCTCAGTAAATCCTTTGTGTTGTGTGTATTCAACTCACAGAGTGGAACCTTCCTTTATTCAGAGAAGTTTTGAAAAACACTTTTTGTGGAATTTGCAAGTGGAGATTTCAAGCGATTTGACGCCAATCTTAGACATGGAAATATCTTCATATTAAAAGTACACAGAGTCATTCGTAGAAACTAGTTTGTGATGTGTGCCTTCAACTCACAGAGTTTAACCTTTCTTTTCATAGAGCAGTTTGGAAACACTCTATTTGTAAAGTCTGCAAGTGGATATTTGGACCTCTTTGAGGCCTTCGTTGGAAACGGGATTTCTTCATACAACGCTAGACAGAAGAATTCTCAGTAACTTCTTTGTGTTGTGTGTATTCAACTCACAGAGTTGAACCTTTCTTTAGAGAGAGCAGAGTTGAAACACTCTGTTTTTGGAATTTGCAACTGCAGATTTCAAGCGATTCTAGGCCTATGGCAGAAAAGGAATTATCTTCGTATAAAAACTACACAGAATCATTCTCAACAACTACTTTGTGATGTGTGCGTTCAACTCACAGAGTTTAACCTTTCTTTTCATAGAGCAGTTTGGAAACACTCTGTTTGTAAAGCCTGCAAGTGCTTTTTTGGACTTCATTGAGGCCTTCGTTGGAAACGGGATTTCTTCATATAATGCTAGACAGAAGAATTCTCAGTCACTTCTTTGTGTTGTGTGTATTCAAGTCACAGAGTTGAACCTTCCTTTAGACAGAGCAGTTTTGAAAAATTCTTTCTGTGGAGTTTGCAAGTGGAGATTTCAAGCGATTTGAGGCTAATCTTTGAAATGGAAATATCTTCGTGTAAAAACTACACAGAATCATTCTCAGAAACTGCTTTGTCATCTGTGCGTTCAGTTCACAGAGTTTCACCTTTCTCTTCATAGAGCAGTTTGGAAAGACTCTGTCTGTAAAGTCTGCAAGTGATTAGTTAGACCCCTTTGAGGCCTTCGTTGGAAGCGGGATTTCTCATTTACTGCTAGACAGAAGAATTCTCAGTAAATCCTTTGTGTTGTGTGTATTCAACTCACAGAGTGGAACCTTCCTTTATTCAGAGCAGTTTTGAAACACTCTTTTTGTGGAATTTGCAAGTGGAGATTTCAAGCGATTTGACGCCAATCTTAGACATGGAAATATCTTCATATTAAAAGTACACAGAATCATTCGTAGAAACTAGTTTGTGATGTGTGCCTTCAACTCACAGAGTTTAACCTTTCTTTTCATAGAGCAGTTCGGAAACACTCTATTTGTAAAGTCTGCAAGTGGATATTTGGACCTCTTTAAGGCCTTCGTTGGAAAAGGGTTTTCTTCATATAACGCTAGACAGAAGAATTCTCAGTAACTTCTTTGTGTTGTGTGTATTCAACTCACAGAGTTGAACCTTTCTTTAGAGGGAGCAGAGGTGAAACAGTCTTTTTGTGGAATTTGCCAGTGTAGATTTCAAACGCTTCGAAGTCAGTGATAGAAAAGGATATATCTTCGTATTAAAAGTAGACAAATTCATTCTCAGAAAACTCTTTGTGATGTGTGTGTTCAACTCACAGAGTTTAACCTTTCTTTAATCGAGCAGTTTGGAAATACACTCTTTGTAAGTCTGCAGGTGGATATTTGGCCCTCTTTGAGCCCTTCTTTGGAAACGGGATTTCCTCTTATAATGCTAGACAGAAGAATTCTCAGTAACTTCTCTGTGTTGTTTGTATGCAACACACAGATTTGAACCTTCCTTTAGAGAGAGCAGATTTGAAACACTCTGTTTTTGGAATTTGCAAGTGCAGATTTCAAGCACTTCTAGGCCTATGGCAGAAAAGGAAATATCTTCGTATAAAAACTACACAGAATCATTCTCAGAAAACACTTTGTGATGTGTGTGTTCAACTCACAGAGTTTAACCTTTCTTTAATCGAGCAGTTTGGAAATACACTCTTTGTAAGTCTGCAGCTGGATAATTGTCCCTCTATGAGCCCTTCGTTGGAAACGGGATTTCCTCTTATAATGCTAGACAGAAGAATTCTCAGTAACTTCTTTGTGTTGTTTGTATTCAACTCACAGATTTGAACCTTCCTTTAGAGAGAGCAGATTTGAAACACTCTGTTTTCGGAATTTGCAAGTGCAGATTACAAGCGCTTCTAGGCCTATGGCAGAAAAGGAAATATCTTCGTATAAAAACTACACAGAATCATTCTCAACAACTACTTTTTGATGTGTGCGTTCAACTCACAGAGTTTAACCTTTCTTTTCATAGAGCAGTTTGGAAACACTCTGTTTGTAAAGTCTGCAGGTGCTTATTTGGACTTCTTTGAGGCCTTCGTTGGAAACGGGATTTCTTCATGTAATGCTAGACAGAAGAATTCTCAGTCACTTCTTTGTGTTGTGTGTATTCAAGTCACAGAGTTGAACCTTCCTTTACACAGAGCAGTTTTGAAAAACTCTTTCTGTGGAATTTGCAAGTGGAGATTTCAAGCGATTTGAGGCTAATCTTTGAAATGGAAATAGCTTCGTGTAAAAACTACACAGAATCATTCTCAGAAACTGCTTTGTTATGTGTGCGTTCAGCTCACAGAGTTCCACCTTTCTTTTCATAGAGCAGTTTGGAAAGACTCTGTCTGTAAAGTCTGCAAGTGATTACTTGGACCCCTTTGAGGACTTCGTTGGAAGCGGGATTTTTTCATTTACTGCTAGACAGAAGAATTCTCAGTAAATCCTTTGTATTGTGTGTATTCAACTCACAGAGTGGAACCTTCCTTTATTCAGAGCAGTTTTGAAACACTCTTTTTGTGGAATTTGCAAGTGGAGATTTCAAGCGAATTCACGCCAATCTTAGACATGGAAACATCTTCGTATTAAAAGTACACAGAGTCATTCGCAGAAACTAGTTTGTGATGTGTGCCTTCAACTCACGGAGTTTAACCTTTCTTTTCATAGAGCAGTTTGGAAACACTCTATTTGTAAAGTCTGCAAGTGGATATTTGGACCTCTTTGAGGCCTTCGTTGGAAATGGGATTTCTTCATATAACGCTAGACAGAAGAATTCTCAGTAACTTCTTTGTGTTGTGTGTATTCCACTCACAGAGTTGAACCTTTCTTGAGAGAGAGCAGAGTGGAAACACTCTGTTTGTGGAATTTGCTAGTGCAGATTTCAAACGCTTCGAAGACAGTGATAGAAAAGGATATATCTTCGTATTAAAACTAGACAAAATCATTCTCAGAAAACACTTTGTGATGTGTGTGTTCAACTCACAGAGTTTAACCTTTCTTTAATCGAGCAGTTTGGAAATACACTCTTTGTAAGTCTGCAGCTGGATAATTGTCCCTCTATGAGCCCTTCTTTGGAAACGGGATTTCCTCTTATAATGCTAGACAGAAGAATTCTCAGTAACTTCTTTGTGTTGTTTGTATTCAACTCACAGATTTGAACCTTCCTTTAGAGAGAGCAGATTTGAAACACTCTGTTTTTGGAATTTGCAAGTGCAGATTACAAGCGCTTCTAGGCCTATGGCAGAAAAGGAAATATCTTCGTATAAAAACTACACAGAATCATTCTCAACAACTACTTTGTGATGTGTGCGTTCAACTCACAGAGTTTAACCTTTCTTTTCATAGAGCAGTTTGGAAACACTCTGTTTGTAAAGTCTGCAGGTGCTTATTTGGACTTCTTTGAGGCCTTCGTTGGAAACGGGATTTCTTCATATAATGCTAGACAGAAGAATTCTCAGTCACTTCTTTGTGTTGTGTGTATTCAAGTCACAGAGTTGAACCTTCCTTTACACAGAGCAGTTTTGAGAAACTCTTTCTGTGGAATTTGCAAGTGGAGATTTCAAGCGATTTGAGGCTAATCCTTTGAAATGGAAATAGCTTCGTGCAAAAACTACACAGAATCATTCTCAGAAACTGCTTTGTTATGTGTGCGTTCAGCTCACAGAGTTCCACCTTTCTTTTCATAGAGCAGTTTGGAAGGACTCCGTCTGTAAAGTCTGCAAATGATTACTTGGACCCCTTTGAGGACTTCGTTGGAAGCGGGATTTTTTCATTTACTGCTAGACAGAAGAATTCTCAGTAAATCCTTTGTGTTGTGTGTATTCAACTCACAGAGTGGAACCTTCCTTTATTCAGAGCACTTTTGAAACACTCTTTTTGTGGAATTTGCAAGTGGAGATTTCAAGCGAATTCACGCCAATCTTAGACATGGAAACATCTTCGTATTAAAAGTACACAGAGTCATTCGCAGAAACTAGTTTGTGATGTGTGCCTTCAACTCACGGAGTTTAACCTTTCTTTTCATAGAGCAGTTTGGAAACACTCTATTTGTAAAGTCTGCAAGTGGATATTTGGACCTCTTTGAGGCCTTCGTTGGAAACGGGATTTCTTCATATAACGCTAGACAGAGAATTCTCATAACTTCTTTGTGTTGTTTGTATTCAACTCACAGATTTGAACCTTCCTTTAGAGAGAGCAGATTTGAAACACTCTGTTTTTGGAATTTGCAAGTGCAGATTACAAGCGCTTCTAGGCCTATGGCAGAAAAGGAAATATCTTCGTATAAAAACTACACAGAATCATTCTCAGAAACTACTTTGTGATGTGTGCGTTCAACTCACAGGATTTAACCTTTCTTTTCATAGAGCAGTTTGGAAACACTCTGGTTGTAAAGTCTGCAAGTGCATATTTGGACTTCTTTGAGGCCTTCGTTGGAAACGGGATTTCTTCATATAATGCTAGACAGAAGGAATTCTCAGTCACTTCTTTGTGTTGTGTGTATTCAAGTCACAGAGTTGAACCTTCCTTTAGACAGAGCAGTTTTGAAAAATTCTTTCTGTGGAGTTTGCAAGTGGAGATTTCAAGCGATTTGAGGCTAATCTTTGAAATGGAAATATCTTCGTGTAAAAACTACACAGAATCATTCTCAGAAACTGCTTTGTCATCTGTGCGTTCAGTTCACAGAGTTTCACCTTTCTCTTCATAGAGCAGTTTGGAAAGACTCTGTCTGTAAAGTCTGCAAGTGATTAGTTAGACCCCTTTGAGGCCTTCGTTGGAAGCGGGATTTCTCATTTACTGCTAGACAGAAGAATTCTCAGTAAATCCTTTGTGTTGTGTGTATTCAACTCACAGAGTGGAACCTTCCTTTATTCAGAGCAGTTTTGAAAAACACTTTTTGTGGAATTTGCAAGTGGAGATTTCAAGCGATTTGACGCCAATCTTAGACATGGAAATATCTTCATATTAAAAGTACACAGAGTCATTCGTAGAAACTAGTTTGTGATGTGTGCCTTCAATTCACAGAGTTTAACCTTTCTTTTCATAGAGCAGTTTGGAAACACTCTATTTGTAAAGTCTGCAAGTGGATATTTGGACCTCTTTGAGGCCTTCGTTGGAAACGGGATTTCTTCATACAACGCTAGACAGAAGAATTCTCAGTAACTTCTTTGTGTTGTGTGTATTCAACTCACAGAGTTGAACCTTACTTTAGAGAGAACAGAGTTGAAACACTCTGTTTTTGGAATTTGCAAGTGCAGATTTCAAGCGATTCTAGCCCTATGGCAGAAAAGAAATATCTTCGTATAAAAACTACACAGAATCATTCTCAGAAAACACTTTGTGATGTGTGTGTTCAACTCACAGAGTTTAACCTTTCTTTAATCGAGCAGTTTGGAAATACACTCTTTGTAAGTCTGCAGCTGGATAATTGTCCCTCTATGAGCCCTTCGTTGGAAACGGGATTTCCTCATATAATGCTAGACAGAAGAATTCTCAGTAACTTCTTTGTGTTGTTTGTATTCAACTCACAGATTTGAACCT
The DNA here is from genome assembly GCF_000001405.40 of Homo sapiens. Classification (NCBI taxonomy): domain Eukaryota; kingdom Metazoa; phylum Chordata; class Mammalia; order Primates; family Hominidae; genus Homo; species Homo sapiens. The sequence goes on from NC_000010.11 coordinate 40,025,499, forward strand.
TATCTTTAGAGAGAGCAGATTTGAAACACTCTGTTTTTGGAATTTGCAAGTGCAGATTACAAGCGCTTCTAGGCCTATGGCAGAAAAGGAAATATCTTCGTATAAAAACTACACAGAATCATTCTCAACAACTACTTTGGGATGTGTGCGTTCAGCTCACAGAGTTTAACCTTTCTTTTCATAGAGCAGTTTGGAAACACTCTGTTTGTAAAGTCTGCAGGTGCTTATTTGGACTTCTTTGAGGCCTTCGTTGGAAACGGGATTTCTTCATATAATGCTAGACAGAAGAATTCTCAGTCACTTCTTTGTGTTGTGTGTATTCAAGTCACAGAGTTGAACCTTCCTTTACACAGAGCAGTTTTGAAAAACTCTTTCTGTGGAATTTGCAAGTGGAGATTTCAAGCGATTTGAGGCTAATCTTTGAAATGGAAATATCTTCGTGTAAAAACTACACAGAATCATTCTCAGAAACTGCTTTGTTATGTGTGCGTTCAGCTCACAGAGTTCCACCTTTCTTTTCATAGAGCAGTTTGGAAAGACTCTGTCTGTAAAGTCTGCAAGTGATTACTTGGACCCCTTTGAGGACTTCGTTGGAAGCGGGATTTTTTCATTTACTGCCAGACAGAAGAATTCTCAGTAAATCCTTTGTGTTGTGTGTACTCAACTCACAGAGTGGAACCTTCCTTTATTCAGAGCAGTTTTGAAACACTCTTTTTGTGGAATTTGCAAGTGGAGATTTCAAGCGAATTCACGCCAATACTTAGACATGGAAACATCTTCGTATTAAAAGTACACAGAGTCATTTGCAGAAACTAGTTTGTGATGTGTGCCTTCAACTCACAGAGTTTAACCTTTCTTTTCATAGAGCAGTTTGGAAACACTCTATTTGTAAAGTCTGCAAGTGGATATTTGGACCTCTTTGAGGCCTTCGTTGGAAACGGGATTTCTTCATATAACGCTAGACAGAAGAATTCTCAGTAACTTCTTTGTGTTGTGTGTATTCCACTCACAGAGTTGAACCTTTCTTGAGAGAGAGCAGAGTTGAAACACTCCGTTTGTGGAATTTGCTAGTGCAGATTTCAAACGCTTCGAAGACAGTGATAGAAAAGGATATATCTTCGTATTAAAACTAGACAAAATCATTCTCAGAAAACACTTTGTGATGTGTGTGTTCAACTCACAGAGTTTAACCTTTCTTTAATCGAGCAGTTTGGAAATACACTCTTTGTAAGTCTGCAGCTGGATAATTGTCCCTCTATGAGCCCTTCGTTGGAAACGGGATTTCCTCTTATAATGCTAGACAGAAGAATTCACAGTAACTTCTTTGTGTTGTTTGTATTCAACTCACAGATTTGAACCTTCCTTTAGAGAGAGCAGATTTGAAACACTCTGTTTTTGGAATTTGCAAGTGCAGATTACAAGCGATTCTAGGCCTATGGCAGAAAAGGAAATATCTTCGTATAAAAACTACACAGAATCATTCTCAACAACTACTTTGTGATGTGTGCGTTCAACTCACAGAGTTTAACCTTTCTTTTCATAGAGCAGTTTGGAAACACTCTGTTTGTAAAGTCTGCAGGTGCTTATTTGGACTTCTTTGAGGCCTTCGTTGGAAACGGGATTTCTTCATGTAATGCTAGACAGAAGAATTCTCAGTCACTTCTTTGTGTTGTGTGTATTCAAGTCACAGAGTTGAACCTTCCTTTACACAGAGCAGTTTTGAAAAACTCTTTCTGTGGAATTTGCAAGTGGAGATTTCAAGCGATTTGAGGCTAATCTTTGAAATGGAAATAGCTTCGTGTAAAAACCACACAGAATCATTCTCAGAAACTGCTTTGTTATGTGTGCGTTCAGCTCACAGAGTTCCACCTTTCTTTTCATAGAGCAGTTTGGAAAGACTCTGTCTGTAAAGTCTGCAAGTGATTACTTGGACCCCTTTGAGGACTTCGTTGGAAGCGGGATTTTTTCATTTACTGCTAGACAGAAGAATTCTCAGTAAATCCTTTGTGTTGTGTGTATTCAACTCACAGAGTGGAACCTTCCTCTATTCAGAGCTGTTTTGAAACATTCTTTTTGTGGAATTTGCAGGTGGAGATTTCAAGCGAATTCACGCCAATCTTAGACATGGAAACATCTTCGTATTAAAAGTACACAGAGTCATTCGCAGAAACTAGTTTGTGATGTGTGCCTTCAACTCACGGAGTTTAACCTTTCTTTTCATAGAGCAGTTTGGAAACACTCTATCTGTAAAGTCTGCAAGTGGATATTTGGACCTCTTTGAGGCCTTCGTTGGAAACGGGATTTCTTCATATAACGCTAGACAGAAGAATTCTCAGTAACTTCTTTGTGTTGTGTGTATTCAACTCACAGAGTTGAACCTTTCTTGAGAGAGAGCAGAGTTGAAACACTCTTTCTGTGGAATTTGCTAGTGCAGATTTCAAACGCTTCGAAGACAGTGATAGAAAAGGATATATCTTCGTATTGAAACTAGACAAAATCATTCTCAGAAAACACTTTGTGATGTGTGTGTTCAACTCACAGAGTTTAACCTTTCTTTAATCGAGCAGTTTGGAAATACACTCTTTGTAAGTCTGCAGCTGGATAATTGTCCCTCTATGAGCCCTTCGTTGGAAACAGGATTTCCTCTTATAATGCTAGACAGAAGAATTCTCAGTAACTTCTTTGTGTTGTTTGTATTCAACTCACAGATTTGAACCTTCCTTTAGAGAGAGCAGATTTGAAACACTCTGTTTTTGGAATTTGCAAGTGCAGATTACAAGCGCTTCTAGGCCTATGGCAGAAAAGGAAATATCTTCGTATAAAAACTACACAGAATCATTCTCAACAACTACTTTGTGATGTGTGCGTTCAACTCACAGAGTTTAACCTTTCTTTTCATAGAGCAGTTTGGAAACACTCTGTTTGTAAAGTCTGCAGGTGCTTATTTGGACTTCTTTGAGGCCTTCGTTGGAAACGGGATTTCTTCATGTAATGCTAGACAGAAGAATTCTCAGTCACTTCTTTGTGTTGTGTGTATTCAAGTCACAGAGTTGAACCTTCCTTTACACAGAGCAGTTTTGAAAAACTCTTTCTGTGGAATTTGCAAGTGGAGATTTCAAGCGATTTGAGGCTAATCTTTGAAATGGAAATATCTTCGTGTAAAAACTACACAGAATCATTCTCAGAAACTGCTTTGTTATGTGTGCGTTCAGCTCACAGAGTTCCACCTTTCTTTTCATAGAGCAGTTTGGAAAGACTCTGTCTGTAAAGTCTGCAAGTGATTACTTGGACACCTTTGAGGACTTCGTTGGAAGCGGGATTTTTTCATTTACTGCTAGACAGAAGAATTCTCAGTAAATCCTTTGTGTTGTGTGTATTCAACTCACAGAGTGGAACCTTCCTTTATTCAGAGCACTTTTGAAACACACTTTTTGTGGAATTTGCAAGTGGAGATTTCAAGCGAATTCACGCCAATCTTAGACATGGAAACATCTTCGTATTAAAAGTACACAGAGTCATTCGCAGAAACTAGTTTGTGATGTGTGCCTTCAACTCACGGAGTTTAACCTTTCTTTTCATAGAGCAGTTTGGAAACACTCTATTTGTAAAGTCTGCAAGTGGATATTTGGACCTCTTTGAGGCCTTCGTTGGAAACGGGATTTCTTCATATAACGCTAGACAGAAGAATTCTCAGTAACTTCTTTGTGTTGTGTGTATTCCACTCACAGAGTTGAACCTTTCTTGAGAGAGAGCAGAGTTGAAACACTCTTTCTGTGGAGTTTGCTAGTGCAGATTTCAAACGCTTCGAAGACAGTGATAGAAAAGGATATATCTTCGTATTAAAACTAGACAAAATCATTCTCAGAAAACACTTTGTGATGTGTGTGTTCAACTCACAGAGTTTAACCTTTCTTTAATCGAGCAGTTTGGAAATACACTCTTTGTAAGTCTGCAGCTGGATAATTGTCCCTCTATGAGCCCTTCGTTGGAAACAGGATTTCCTCTTATAATGCTAGACAGAAGAATTCTCAGTAACTTCTTTGTGTTGTTTGTATTCAACTCACAGATTTGAACCTTCCTTTAGAGAGAGCAGATTTGAAACACTCTGTTTTTGGAATTTGCAAGTGCAGATTTCAAGCGCTTCTAGGCCTATGGCAGAAAAGGAAATATCTTCGTATAAAAACTACACAGAATCATTCTCAACAACTACTTTGTGATGTGTGCGTTCAACTCACAGAGTTTAACCTTTCTTTTCATAGAGCAGTTTGGAAACACCCTGTTTGTAAAGTCTGCAGTTGCTTATTTGGACTTCTTTGAGGCCTTCGTTGGAAACGGGATTTCTTCATATAATGCTAGACAGAGTAATTCTCAGTCACTTCTTTGTGTTGTGTGTATTCAAGTCACAGAGTTGAACCTTCCTTTACACAGAGCAGTTTTGAGAAACTCTTTCTGTGGAATTTGCAAGTGGAGATTTCAAGCGATTTGAGGCTAATCTTTGAAATGGAAATAGCTTCGTGCAAAAACTACACAGAATCATTCTCAGAAACTGCTTTGTTATGTGTGCGTTCAGCTCACAGAGTTCCACCTTTCTTTTCATAGAGCAGTTTGGAAAGACTCCGTCTGTAAAGTCTGCAAGTGATTACTTGGACCCCTTTGAGGACTTCGTTGGAAGCGGGATTTTTTCATTTACTGCTAGACAGAAGAATTCTCAGTAAATCCTTTGTGTTGTGTGTATTCAACTCACAGAGTGGAACCTTCCTTTATTCAGAGCAGTTTTGAAACACTCTTTTGGTGGAATTTGCAAGTGGAGATTTCAAGCGAATTCACGCCAATCTTAGACATGGAAACATCTTCGTATTAAAAGTACACAGAGTCATTCGCAGAAACTAGTTTGTGATGTGTGCCTTCAACTCACGGAGTTTAACCTTTCTTTTCATAGAGCAGTTTGGAAACACTCTATTTGTAAAGTCTGCAAGTGGATATTTGGACCTCTTTGAGGCCTTCGTTGGAAACGGGATTTCTTCATATAACGCTAGACAGAAGAATTCTCAGTTACTTCTTTGTGTTGTGTGTATTCAACTCACAGAGTTGAACATTTCTTTAGAGAGAGCAGATTTGAAACACTCTGTTTTTGGAATTTGCAAGTGCAGATTTTAAGCGCTTCTAGGCCTATGGCAGAAAAGGAAATATCTTCGTATAAAAACTACACAGAATCATTCTCAGAAAACACTTTGTGATGTGTGTGTTCAACTCACAGAGTTTAACCTTTCTTTAATCGAGCAGTTTGGAAATACACTCTTTGTAAGTCTGCAGCTGGATAATTGTCCCTCTAGGAGCCCTTCGTTGGAAACGGGATTTCCTCTTATAATGCTAGACAGAAGAATTCTCAGTAACTTCTTTGTGTTGTTTGTATTCAACTCACAGATTTGAACCTTCCTTTGGAGAGAGCAGATTTGAAACACTCTGTTTTTGGAATTTGCAAGTGCAGATTGCAAGCGCTTCTAGGCCTATGGCAGAAAAGGAAATATCTTCGTATAAAAACTACACAGAATCATTCTCAACAACTACTTTGTGATGTGTGCGTTCAACTCACAGAGTTTAACCTTTCTTTTCATAGAGCAGTTTGGAAACACTCTGTTTGTAAAGTCTGCAGGTGCTTATTTGGACTTCTTTGAGGCCTTCGTTGGAAACGGGATTTCTTCATATAATGCTAGACAGAAGAATTCTCAGTCACTTCTTTGTGTTGTGTGTATTCAAGTCACAGAGTTGAACCTTCCTTTACACAGAGCAGTTTTGAAAAACTCTTTCTGTGGAATTTGCAAGTGGAGATTTCAAGCGATTTGAGGCTAATCTTTGAAATGGAAATATCTTCGTGTATAAACTACACAGAATCATTCTCAGAAACTGCTTTGTTATGTGTGCGTTCAGCTCACAGAGTTCCACCTTTCTTTTCATAGAGCAGTTTGGAAAGACTCTGTCTGTAAAGTCTGCAAGTGATTACTTGGACCCCTTTGAGGACTTCGTTGGAAGCGGGATTTTTTCATTTACTGCTAGACAGAAGAATTCTCAGTAAATCCTTTGTGTTGTGTGTATTCAACTCACAGAGTGGAACCTTCCTTTATTCAGAGCACTTTTGAAACACTCTTTTTGTGGAATTTGCAAGTGGAGATTTCAAGCGAATTCACGCCAATCTTAGACATGGAAACATCTTCGTATTAAAAGTACACAGAGTCATTCGCAGAAACTAGTTTGTGATGTGTGCCTTCAACTCACAGAGTTTAAACTTTCTTTTCATAGAGCAGTTTGGAAACACTCTATTTGTAAAGTCTGCAAGTGGATATTTGGACCTCTTTGAGGCCTTCGTTGGAAACGGGATTTCTTCATATAACGCTAGACAGAAGAATTCTCAGTAACTTCTTTGTGTTGTGTGTATTCCACTCACAGAGTTGAACCTTTCTTGAGAGAGAGCAGAGTTGAAACACTCTTTCTGTGGAATTTGCTAGTGCAGATTTCAAACGCTTCGAAGACAGTGATAGAAAAGGATATATCTTCGTATTAAAACTAGACAAAATCATTCTCAGAAAACACTTTGTGATGTGTGTGTTCAACTCACAGAGTTTAACCTTTCTTTAATCGAGCAGTTTGGAAATACACTCTTTGTAAGTCTGCAGCTGGAAAATTGTCCCTCTAGGAGCCCTTCGTTGGAAACGGGATTTCCTCTTATAATGCTAGACAGAAGAATTCTCAGTAACTTCTTTGTGTTGTTTGTATTCAACTCACAGATTTGAACCTTCCTTTAGAGAGAGCAGATTTGAAACACTCTGTTTTTGGAATTTGCAAGTGCAGATTACAAGCGCTTCTAGGCCTATGGCAGAAAAGGAAATATCTTCGTATAAAAACTACACAGAATCATTCTCGACAACTACTTTGTGATGTGTGCGTTCAACTCACAGAGTTTAACCTTTCTTTTCATAGAGCAGTTTGGAAACACTCTGTTTGTAAAGTCTGCAGGTGCTTATTTGGACTTCTTTGAGGCCTTCGTTGGAAACGGGATTTCTTCATATAATGCTAGACAGAAGAATTCTCAGTCACTTCCTTGTGTTGTGTGTATTCAAGTCACAGAGTTGAACCTTCCTTTACACAGAGCAGTTTTGAAAAACTCTTTCTGTGGAATTTGCAAGTGGAGATTTCAAGCGATTTGAGGCTAATCTTTGAAATGGAAATATCTTCGTGTAAAAACTACACAGAATCATTCTCAGAAACTGCTTTGTTATGTGTGCGTTCAGCTCACAGAGTTCCACCTTTCTTTTCATAGAGCAGTTTGGAAAGACTCTGTCTGTAAAGTCTGCAAGTGATTACTTGGACCCCTTTGAGGACTTCGTTGGAAGCGGGATTTTTTCATTTACTGCTAGACAGAAGAATTCTCAGTAAATCCTTTGTGTTGTGTGTATTCAACTCACAGAGTGGAACCTTCCTTTATTCAGAGCACTTTTGAAACACTCTTTTTGTGGAATTTGCAAGTGGAGATTTCAAGCGAATTCACGCCAATCTTAGACATGGAAACATCTTCGTATTAAAAGTACACAGAGTCATTCGCAGAAACTAGTTTGTGATGTGTGCCTTCAACTCACGGAGTTTAACCTTTCTTTTCATAGAGCAGTTTGGAAACACTCTATTTGTAAAGTCTGCAAGTGGATATTTGGACCTCTTTGAGGCCTTCGTTGGAAACGGGATTTCTTCATATAACGCTAGACAGAAGAATTCTCAGTAACTTCTTTGTGTTGTGTGTATTCAACTCACAGAGTTGAACCTTTCTTGAGAGAGAGCAGAGTTGAAACACTCTGTTTGTGGAATTTGCTAGTGCAGATTTCAAACGCTTCGAAGACAGTGATAGAAAAGGATATATCTTCGTATTAAAACTAGACAAAATCATTCTCAGAAAACACTTTGTGATGTGTGTGTTCAACTCACAGAGTTTAACCTTTCTTTAATCGAGCAGTTTGGAAATACACTCTTTGTAAGTCTGCAGCTGGATAATTGTCCCTCTATGAGCCCTTCGTTGGAAACGGGATTTCCTCTTATAATGCTAGACAGAAGAATTCTCAGTAACTTCTTTGTGTTGTTTGTATTCAACTCACAGATTTGAACCTTCCTTTAGAGAGAGCAGATTTGAAACACTCTGTTTTTGGAATTTGCAAGTGCAGATTACAAGCGCTTCTAGGCCTATAGCAGAAAAGGAAATATCTTCGTATAAAAACTACACAGAATCATTCTCGACAACTACTTTGTGATGTGTGCGTTCAACTCACAGAGTTTAACCTTTCTTTTCATAGAGCAGTTTGGAAACACTCTGTTTGTAAAGTCTGCAGGTGCTTATTTGGACTTCTTTGAGGCCTTCGTTGGAAACGGGATTTATTCATGTAATGCTAGACAGAAGAATTCTCAGTCACTTCTTTGTGTTGTGTGTATTCAAGTCACAGAGTTGAACTTTCCTTTACACAGAGCAGTTTTGAAAAACTCTTTCTGTGGAATTTGCAAGTGGAGATTTCAAGCGATTTGAGGCTAATCTTTGAAATGGAAATAGCTTCGTGTAAAAACTACACAGAATCATTCTCAGAAACTGCTTTGTTATGTGTGCGTTCAGCTCACAGAGTTCCACCTTTCTTTTCATAGAGCAGTTTGGAAAGACTCTGTCTGTAAAGTCTGCAAGTGATTACTTGGACCCCTTTGAGGACTTCGTTGGAAGCGGGATTTTTTCATTTACTGCTAGACAGAAGAATTCTCAGTAAATCCTTTGTGTTGTGTGTATTCAACTCACAGAGTGGAACCTTCCTTTATTCAGAGCACTTTTGAAACACTCTTTTTGTGGAATTTGCAAGTGGAGATTTCAAGCGAATTCACGCCAATCTTAGACATGGAAACATCTTCGTATTAAAAGTACACAGAGTCATTCGCAGAAACTAGTTTGTGATGTGTGCCTTCAACTCACGGAGTTTAACCTTTCTTTTCATAGAGCAGTTTGGAAACACTCTATTTGTAAAGTCTGCAAGTGGATATTTGGACCTCTTTGAGGCCTTCGTTGGAAACGGGATTTCTTCATATAACGCTAGACAGAAGAATTCTCTGTAACTTCTTTGTGTTGTGTGTATTCCACTCACAGAGTTGAACCATTCTTCAGAGAGAGCAGAGTTGAAACACTCTGTTTGTGGAATTTGCTAGTGCAGATTTCAAACGCTTCGAAGACAGTGATAGAAAAGGATATATCTTCGTATTAAAACTAGACAAAATCATTCTCAGAAAACACTTTGTGATGTGTGTGTTCAACTCACAGAGTTTAACCTTTCTTTAATCGAGCAGTTTGGAAATACACTCTTTGTAAGTCTGCAGCTGGATAATTGTCCCTCTATGAGCCCTTCGTTGGAAACGGGATTTCCTCATATAATGCTAGACAGAAGAATTCTCAGTAACTTCTTTGTGTTGTTTGTATTCAACTCACAGATTTGAACCTTCCTTTGGAGAGAGCAGATTTGAAACACTCTGTTTTTGGAATTTGCAAGTGCAGATTGCAAGCGCTTCTAGGCCTATGGCAGAAAAGGAAATATCTTCGTATAAAAACTACACAGAATCATTCTCAACAACTACTTTGTGATGTGTGCGTTCAGCTCACAGAGTTTAACCTTTTTTTTCATAGAGCAGTTTGGAAACACTCTGTTTGTAAAGTCTGCAGGTGCTTATTTGGACTTCTTTGAGGCCTTCGTTGGAAACGGGATTTCTTCATATAATGCTAGACAGAAGAATTCTCAGTCACTTCTTTGTGTTGTGTGTATTCAAGTCACAGAGTTGAACCTTCCTTTACACAGAGCAGTTTTGAAAAACTCTTTCTGTGGAATTTGCAAGTGGAGATTTCAAGCGATTTGAGGCTAATCTTTGAAATGGAAATAGCTTCGTGTAAAAACTACACAGAATCATTCTCAGAAACTGCTTTGTTATGTGTGCGTTCAGCTCACAGAGTTCCACCTTTCTTTTCATAGAGCAGTTTGGAAAGACTCTGTCTGTAAAGTCTGCAAGTGATTACTTGGACCCCTTTGAGGACTTCGTTGGAAGCGGGATTTTTTCATTTATTGCCAGACAGAAGAATTCTCAGTAAATCCTTTGTGTTGTGTGTATTCAACTCACAGAGTGGAACCTTCCTTTATTCAGAGCAGTTTTGAAACACTCTTTTTGTGGAATTTGCAAGTGGAGATTTCAAGCGAATTCACGCCAATCTTAGACATGGAAACATCTTCGTATTAAAAGTACACAGAGTCATTCGCAGAAACTCGTTTGTGATGTGTGCCTTCAACTCACAGAGTTTAACCTTTCTTTTCATAGAGCAGTTTGGAAACACTCTATTTGTAAAGTCTGCAAGTGGATATTTGGACCTCTTTGAGGCCTTCGTTGGAAACGGGATTTCTTCATATAACGCTAGACAGAAGAATTCTCAGTAACTTCTTTGTGTTGTTTGTATTCAACTCACAGATTTGAACCTTCCTTTAGAGAGAGCAGATTTGAAACACTCTGTTCTTGGAATTTGCAAGTGCAGATTTCAAGCGCTTCTAGGCCTATGGCAGAAAAGGGAATATCTTCGTATAAAAACTACACAGAATCATTCTCAGAAAACACTTTGTGATGTGTGTGTTCAACTCACAGAGTTTAACCTTTCTTTAATCGAGCAGTTTGGAAATACACTCTTTGTAAGTCTGCAGCTGGATAATTGTCCCTCTATGAGCCCTTCGTTGGAAACGGGATTTCCTCATATAATGCTAGACAGAAGAACTCTCAGTAACTTCTTTGTGTTGTTTGTATTCAACTCACAGATTTGAACCTTCCTTTGGAGAGAGCAGATTTGAAACACTCTGTTTTTGGAATTTGCAAGTGCAGATTGCAAGCGCTTCTAGGCCTATGGCAGAAAAGGAAATATCTTCGTATAAAAACTACACAGAATCATTCTCAACAACTACTTTGTGATGTGTGCGTTCAGCTCACAGAGTTTAACCTTTCTTTTCATAGAGCAGTTTGGAAACACTCTGTTTGTAAAGTCTGCAGGTGCTTATTTGGACTTCTTTGAGGCCTTCGTTGGAAACGGGATTTCTTCATATAATGCTAGACAGAAGAATTCTCAGTCACTTCTTTGTGTTGTGTGTATTCAAGTCACAGAGTTGAACCTTCCTTTACACAGAGCAGTTTTGAAAAACTCTTTCTGTGGAATTTGCAAGTGGAGATTTCAAGCGATTTGAGGCTAATCTTTGAAATGGAAATATCTTCGTGTAAAAACTACACAGAATCATTCTCAGAAACTGCTTTGTTATGTGTGCGTTCAGCTCACAGAGTTCCACCTTTCTTTTCATAGAGCAGTTTGGAAAGACTCTGTCTGTAAAGTCTGCAAGTGATTACTTGGACCCCTTTGAGGACTTCGTTGGAAGCGGGATTTTTTCATTTACTGCCAGACAGAAGAATTCTCAGTAAATCCTTTGTGTTGTGTGTATTCAACTCACAGAGTGGAACCTTCCTTTATTCAGAGCAGTTTTGAAACACTCTTTTTGTGGAATTTGCAAGTGGAGATTTCAAGCGAATTCACGCCAATCTTAGACATGGAAACATCTTCGTATTAAAAGTACACAGAGTCATTCGCAGAAACTAGTTTGTGATGTGTGCCTTCAACTCACAGAGTTTAACCTTTCTTTTCATAGAGCAGTTTGGAAACACTCTATTTGTAAAGTCTGCAAGTGGATATTTGGACCTCTTTGAGGCCTTCGTTGGAAACGGGATTTCTTCATATAACGCTAGACAGAAGAATTCTCAGTAACTTCTTTGTGTTGTGTGTATTCCACTCACAGAGTTGAACCTTTCTTGAGAGAGAGCAGAGTTGAAACACTCTGTTTGTGGAATTTGCCAGTGCAGATTTCAAACGCTTCGAAGACAATGATAGAAAAGGATATATCTTCGTATTAAAACTAGACAAAATCATTCTCAGAAAACACTTTGTGATGTGTGTGTTCAACTCACAGAGTTTAACCTTTCTTTAATCGAGCAGTTTGGAAATACACTCTTTGTAAGTCTGCAGCTGGATAATTATCCCTCTATGAGCCCTTCGTTGCAAACGGGATTTCCTCATATAATGCTAGACAGAAGAATTCTCAGTAACTTCTTTGTGTTGTTTGTATTCCACTCACAGATTTGAACCTTCCTTTGGAGAGAGCAGATTTGAAACACTCTGTTTTTGCAATTTGCAAGTGCAGATTGCAAGCGCTTCTAGGCCTATGGCAGAAAAGGAAATATCTTCGTATAAAAACTACACAGAATCATTCTCAACAACTACTTTGTGATGTGTGCGTTCAACTCACAGAGTTTAACCTTTCTTTTCATAGAGCAGTTTGGAAACACTCTGTTTGTAAAGTCTGCAGGTGCTTATTTGGACTTCTTTGAGGCCTTCGTTGGAAACGGGATTTCTTCATATAATGCTAGACAGAAGAATTCTCAGTCACTTCTTTGTGTTGTGTGTATTCAAGTCACAGAGTTGAACCTTCCTTTACACAGAGCAGTTTTGAAAAACTCTTTCTGTGGAATTTGCAAGTGGAGATTTCAAGCGATTTGAGGCTAATCTTTGAAATGGAAATATCTTCGTGTAAAAACTACACAGAATCATTGTCAGAAACTGCTTTGTTATGTGTGCGTTCAGCTCACAGAGTTCCACCTTTCTTTTCATAGAGCAGTTTGGAAAGACTCTGTCTGTAATGTCTGCAAGTGATTACTTGGACCCCTTTGAGGACTTCATTGGAAGCGGGATTTTTTCATTTACTGCTAGACAGAAGAATTCTCAGTAAATCCTTTGTGTTGTGTGTATTCAACTCACAGAGTGGAACCTTCCTTTATTCAGAGCAGTTTTGAAACACTCTTTTTGTGGAATTTGCAAGTGGAGATTTCAAGCGAATTCACGCCAATCTTAGACATGGAAACATCTTCGTATTAAAAGTACACAGAGTCATTCGCAGAAACTAGTTTGTGATGTGTGCCTTCAACTCACGGAGTTTAACCTTTCTTTTCATAGAGCAGTTTGGAAACACTCTATTTGTAAAGTCTGCAAGTGGATATTTGGACCTCTTTGAGGCCTTCGTTGGAAACGGGATTTCTTCATATAACGCTAGACAGAAGAATTCTCAGTAACTTCTTTGTGTTGTGTGTATTCAACTCACAGAGTTGAACCTTTCTTGAGAGAGAGCAGAGTTGAAACACTCTGTTTGTGGAATTTGCTAGTGCAGATTTCAAACGCTTCGAAGACAGTGATAGAAAAGGATATATCTTCGTATTAAAACTAGACAAAATCATTCTCAGAAAACACTTTGTGATGTGTGTGTTCAACTCACAGAGTTTAACCTTTCTTTAATCGAGCAGTTTGGAAATACACTCTTTGTAAGTCTGCAGCTGGATAATTGTCCCTCTATGAGCCCTTCGTTGGAAACGGGATTTCCTCTTATAATGCTAGACAGAAGAATTCTCAGTAACTTCTTTGTGTTGTTTGTATTCAACTCACAGATTTGAACCTTCCTTTAGAGAGAGCAGATTTGAAAGACTCTGTTTTTGGAATTTGCAAGTGCAGATTGCAAGCGCTTCTAGGCCTATGGCAGAAAAGGAAATATCTTCGTATAAAAACTACACAGAAATCATTCTCAACAACTACTTTGTGATGTGTGCGTTCAACTCACAAAGTTTAACCTTTCTTTTCATAGCGCAGTTTGGAAACACTCTGTTTGTAAAGCCTGCAATTGCTTTTTTGGACTTCATTGAGGCCTTCGTTGGAAACGGGATTTCTTCATATAATGCTAGACAGAAGAATTCTCAGTCACTTCTTTGTGTTGTGTGTATTCAAGTCACAGAGTTGAACCTTCCTTTACACAGAGCAGTTTTGAAAAACTCTTTCTGTGGAATTTGCAAGTGGAGATTTCAAGCGATTTGAGGCTAATCTTTGGAATGGAAATAGCTTCGTGTAAAAACTACACAGAATCATTCTCAGAAACTGCTTTGTTATGTGTGCGTTCAGCTCACAGAGTTCCACCTTTCTTTTCATAGAGCAGTTTGGAAAGACTCTGTCTGTAAAGTCTGCAAGTGATTACTTGGACCCCTTTGAGGACTTCGTTGGAAGCGGGATTTTTTCATTTACTGCTAGACAGAAGAATTCTCAGTAAATCCTTTGTGTTGTGTGTATTCAACTCACAGAGTGGAACCTTCCTTTATTCAGAGCACTTTTGAAACACTCTTTTTGTGGAATTTGCAAGTGGAGATTTCAAGCGAATTCACGCCAATCTTAGACATGGAAACATCTTCGTATTAAAAGTACACAGAGTCATTCGCAGAAACTAGTTTGTGATGTGTGCCTTCAACTCACAGAGTTTAAACTTTCTTTTCATAGAGCAGTTTGGAAACACTCTATTTGTAAAGTCTGCAAGTGGATATTTGGACCTCTTTGAGGCCTTCGTTGGAAACGGGATTTCTTCATATAACGCTAGACAGAAGAATTCTCAGTAACTTCTTTGTGTTGTGTGTATTCCACTCACAGAGTTGAACCTTTCTTGAGAGAGAGCAGAGTTGAAACACTCTGTTTGTGGAATTTGCCAGTGCAGATTTCAAACGCTTCGAAGACAGTGATAGAAAAGGATATATCTTCGTATTAAAACTAGACAAAATCATTCTCAGAAAACACTTTGTGATGTGTGTGTTCAACTCACAGAGTTTAACCTTTCTTTAATCGAGCAGTTTGGAAATACACTCTTTGTAAGTCTGCAGCTGGATAATTATCCCTCTATGAGCCCTTCGTTGCAAACGGGATTTCCTCATATAATGCTAGACAGAAGAATTCTCAGTAACTTCTTTGTGTTGTTTGTATTCCACTCACAGATTTGAACCTTCCTTTGGAGAGAGCAGATTTGAAACACTCTGTTTTTGGAATTTGCAAGTGCAGATTGCAAGCGCTTCTAGGCCTATGGCAGAAAAGGAAATATCTTCGTATAAAAACTACACAGAATCATTCTCAACAACTACTTTGTGATGTGTGCGTTCAGCTCACAGAGTTTAACCTTTCTTTTCATAGAGCAGTTTGGAAACACTCTGTTTGTAAAGTCTGCAGGTGCTTATTTGGACTTCTTTGAGGCCTTCGTTGGAAACGGGATTTCTTCATATAATGCTAGACAGAAGAATTCTCAGTCACTTCTTTGTGTTGTGTGTATTCAAGTCACAGAGTTGAACCTTCCTTTACACAGAGCAGTTTTGAAAAACTCTTTCTGTGGAATTTGCAAGTGGAGATTTCAAGCGATTTGAGGCTAATCTTTGAAATGGAAATATCTTCGTGTAAAAACTACACAGAATCATTGTCAGAAACTGCTTTGTTATGTGTGCGTTCAGCTCACAGAGTTCCACCTTTCTTTTCATAGAGCAGTTTGGAAAGACTCTGTCTGTAAAGTCTGCAAGTGATTACTTGGACCCCTTTGAGGACTTCGTTGGAAGCGGGATTTTTTCATTTACTGCTAGACAGAAGAATTCTCAGTAAATCCTTTGTGTTGTGTGTATTCAACTCACAGAGTGGAACCTTCCTTTATTCAGAGCAGTTTTGAAACACTCTTTTTGTGGAATTAGGAAGTGGAGATTTCAAGCGAATTCAGGCCAATCTTAGACATGGAAACATCTTCGTATTAAAAGTACACAGAGTCATTCGCAGAAACTAGTTTGTGATGTGTGCCTTCAACTCACAGAGTTTAACCTTTCTTTTCATAGAGCAGTTTGGAAACACTCTATTTGTAAAGTCTGCAAGTGGATATTTGGACCTCTTTGAGGCCTTCGTTGGAAACGGGATTTCTTCATATAACGCTAGACAGAAGAATTCTCAGTAACTTGTTTGTGTTGTGTGTATTCCACTCACAGAGTTGAACCTTTCTTGAGAGAGAGCAGAGTTGAAACACTCTGTTTGTGGAATTTGCTAGTGCAGATTTCAAACGCTTCGAAGACAGTGATAGAAAAGGATATATCTTCGTATTAAAACTAGACAAAATCATTCTCAGAAAACACTTTGTGATGTGTGTGTTCAACTCACAGAGTTTAACCTTTCTTTAATCGAGCAGTTTGGAAATACACTCTTTGTAAGTCTGCAGCTGGATAATTGTCCCTCTATGAGCCCTTCGTTGGAAACGGGATTTCCTCTTATAATGCTAGACAGAAGAATTCTCAGTAACTTCTTTGTGTTGTTTTCATTCAACTCACAGATTTGAACCTTCCTTTGGAGAGAGCAGATTTGAAACACTCTGTTTTTGGAATTTGCAAGTGCAGATTGCAAGCGCTTCTAGGCCTATGGCAGAAAAGGAAATATCTTTGTATAAAAACTACACAGAATCATTCTCAACAACTAGTTTGTGATGTGTGCGTTCAACTCACAGAGTTTAACCTTTCTTTTCATAGAGCAGTTTGGAAACACTCTGTTTGTAAAGTCTGCAGGTGCTTATTTGGACTTCTTTGAGGCCTTCGTTGGAAACGGGATTTCTTCATATAATGCTAGACAGAAGAATTCTCAGTCACTTCTTTGTGTTGTGTGTATTCAAGTCACAGAGTTGAACCTTCCTTTACACAGAGCAGTTTTGAAAAACTCTTTCTGTGGAATTTGCAAGTGGAGATTTCAAGCGATTTGAGGCTAATCTTTGAAATGGAAATATCTTCGTGTAAAAACTACACAGAATCATTCTCAGAAACTGCTTTGTTATGTGTGCGTTCAGCTCACAGAGTTCCACCTTTCTTTTCATAGAGCAGTTTGGAAAGACTCTGTCTGTAAAGTCTGCAAGTGATTACTTGGACCCCTTTGAGGACTTCGTTGGAAGCGGGATTTTTTCATTTACTGCTAGACAGAAGAATTCTCAGTAAATCCTTTGTGTTGTGTGTATTCAACTCACAGAGTGGAACCTTCCTTTATTCAGAGCAGTTTTGAAACACTCTTTTTGTGGAATTTGCAAGTGGAGATTTCAAGCGAATTCACGCCAATCTTAGACATGGAAACATCTTCGTATTAAAAGTACACAGAGTCATTCGCAGAAACTAGTTTGTGATGTGTGCCTTCAACTCACGGAGTTTAACCTTTCTTTTCATAGAGCAGTTTGGAAACACTCTATTTGTAAAGTCTGCAAGTGGATATTTGGACCTCTTTGAGGCCTTCGTTGGAAACGGGATTTCTTCATATAACGCTAGACAGAAGAATTCTCAGTAACTTCTTTGTGTTGTGTGTATTCAACTCACAGAGTTGAACCTTTCTTGAGAGAGAGCAGAGTTGAAACACTCTTTCTGTGGAATTTGCTAGTGCAGATTTCAAACGCTTCGAAGACAGTGATAGAAAAGGGTATATCTTCGTATTAAAACTAGACAAAATCATTCTCAGAAAACACTTTGTGATGTGTGTGTTCAACTCACAGAGTTTAACCTTTCTTTAATCGAGCAGTTTGGAAATACACTCTTTGTAAGTCTGCGGCTGGATAATTGTCCATCTATGAGCCCTTCGTTGGAAACGGGATTTCCTCTTATAATGCTAGACAGAAGAATTCTCAGTAACTTCTTTGTGTTGTTTGTATTCAACTCACAGATTGAACCTTCCTTTAGAGAGAGCAGATTTGTAACACTCTGTTTTTGGAATTTGCAAGTGCAGATTACAAGCGCTTCTAGGCCTATGGCAGAAAAGGAAATATCTTCGTATAAAAACTACACAGAATCATTCTCAACAACTACTTTGTGATGTGTGCGTTCAACTCACAGAGTTTAACCTTTCTTTTCATAGAGCAGTTTGGAAACACTCTGTTTGTAAAGTCTGCAGGTGCTTATTTGGACTTCTTTGAGGCCTTCGTTGGAAACGGGATTTCTTCATGTAATGCTAGACAGAAGAATTCTCAGTCACTTCTTTGTGTTGTGTGTATTCAAGTCACAGAGTTGAACCTTCCTTTACACAGAACAGTTTTGAAAAACTCTTTCTGTGGAATTTGCAAGTGGAGATTTCAAGCGATTTGAGGCTAATCTTTGAAATGGAAATAGCTTCGTGTAAAAACTACACAGAATCATTCTCAGAAACTGCTTTGTTATGTGTGCGTTCAGCTCACAGAGTTCCACCTTTCTTTTCATAGAGCAGTTTGGAAAGACTCTGTCTGTAAAGTCTGCAAGTGATTACTTGGACCCCTTTGAGGACTTCGTTGGAAGCGGGATTTTTTCATTTACTGCTAGACAGAAGAATTCTCAGTAAATCCTTTGTGTTGTGTGTATTCAACTCACAGAGTGGAACCTTCCTTTATTCAGAGCAGTTTTGAAACACTCTTTTTGTGGAATTTGCAAGTGGAGATTTCAAGCGAATTCACGCCAATCTTAGACATGGAAACATCTTCGTATTAAAAGTACACAGAATCATTCTCAGAAAACACTTTGTGATGTGTGTGTTCAACTCATAGAGTTTAACCTTTCTTTAATTGAGCAGTTTGGAAATACACTCTTTGTAAGTCTGCAGGTGGATAATTGGCCCTCTTTGAGCCCTTCGTTGGAAACGGGATTTCCTCATATAGTGCTAGACAGAAGAATTCTCAGTAACTTCTTTGTGTTGTTTGTATTCAAAGCACAGATTTGAACCTTCCTTTAGAGAGGGCAGATTGCAAACACTCTTTTTTTGGAATTTGCAAGTGCAGGTTTCAAGCTCTTCTAGGCGTATGGCAGAAAAGGGAATATCTTCGTATAAAAACTACACAGAATCATTCTCAGAAAACACTTTGTGATGTGTGCGTTCAACTCACAGAGTTTAACCTTTC
The DNA here is from genome assembly GCF_000001405.40 of Homo sapiens. Lineage (NCBI taxonomy): Eukaryota > Metazoa > Chordata > Mammalia > Primates > Hominidae > Homo > Homo sapiens. The sequence goes on from NC_000010.11 coordinate 40,044,347, forward strand.
TTTAATCGAGCAGTTTGGAAATACACTCTTTGTAAGTCTGCAGCTGGATAATTGTCCCTCTATGAGCCCTTCGTTGGAAACGTGATTTCCTCTTATAATGCTAGACAGAAGAATTCTCAGTAACTTCTTTGTGTTGTTTGTATTCAACTCACAGATTTGAACCTTCCTTTAGAGAGAGCAGATTTGAAACACTCTGTTTTTGGAATTTGCAAGTGCAGATTACAAGCGCTTCTAGGCCTATGGCAGAAAAGGAAATATCTTCGTATAAAAACTACACAGAATCATTCTCAACAACTACTTTGTGATGTGTGCGTTCAACTCACAGAGTTTAACCTTTCTTTTCATAGAGCAGTTTGGAAACACTCTGTTTGTAAAGTCTGCAGGTGCTTATTTGGACTTCTTTGAGGCCTTCGTTGGAAACGGGATTTCTTCATATAATGCTAGACAGAAGAATTCTCAGTCACTTCTTTGTGTTGTGTGTATTCAAGTCACAGAGTTGAACCTTCCTTTACACAGAGCAGTTTTGAAAAACTCTTTCTGTGGAATTTGCAAGTGGAGATTTCAAGCGATTTGAGGCTAATCTTTGAAATGGAAATAGCTTCGTGTAAAAACTACACAGAATCATTCTCAGAAACTGCTTTGTTATGTGTGCGTTCAGCTCACAGAGTTCCACCTTTCTTTTCATAGAGCAGTTTGGAAAGACTCTGTCTGTAAAGTCTGCAAGTGATTACTTGGACCCCTTTGAGGACTTCGTTGGAAGTGGGATTTTTTCATTTACTGCCAGACAGAAGAATTCTCAGTAAATCCTTTGTGTTGTGTGTATTCAACTCACAGAGTGGAACCTTCCTTTATTCAGAGCAGTTTTGAAACACTCTTTTTGTGGAATTTGCAAGTGGAGATTTCAAGCGAATTCACGCCAATCTTAGACATGGAAACATCTTCGTATTAAAAGTACACAGAGTCATTCGCAGAAACTAGTTTGTGATGTGTGCCTTCAACTCACAGAGTTTAAGCTTTCTTTTCATAGAGCAGTTTGGAAACACTCTATTTGTAAAGTCTGCAAGTGGATATTTGGACCTCTTTGAGGCCTTCGTTGGAAACGGGATTTCTTCATATAACGCTAGACAGAAGAATTCTCAGTAACTTCTTTGTGTTGTGTGTATTCCACTCACAGAGTTGAACCTTTCTTGAGAGAGAGCAGAGTTGAAACACTCTGTTTCTGGAATTTGCTAGTGCAGATTTCAAACGCTTCGAAGACAGTGATAGAAAAGGATATATCTTCGTATTAAAACTAGACAAAATCATTCTCAGAAAACACTTTGTGATGTGTGTGTTCAACTCACAGAGTTTAACCTTTCTTTAATCGAGCAGTTTGGAAATACACTCTTTGTAAGTCTGCAGCTGGATAATTTTCCCTCTATGAGCCCTTCGTTGGAAACGGGATTTCCTCATATAATGCTAGACAGAAGAATTCTCAGTAAGTTCCTTGTATTGTTTGTATTCAACTCACAGATTTCAACCTTCCTTTAGAGAGAGCAGATTTGAAACACTCTGTTTTTGGAATTTGCAAGTGCAGATTGCAAGCGCTTCTAGGCCTATGGCAGAAAAGGAAATATCTTCGTATAAAAACTACACAGAATCATTCTCAACAACTACTTTGTGATGTGTGCGTTCAACTCACAGAGTTCAACCTTTCTTTTCATAGAGCAGTTTGGAAACACTCTGTTTGTAAAGTCTGCAGGTGCTTATTTGGACTTCTTTGAGGCCTTCGTTGGAAACGGGATTTCTTCATATAATGCTAGACAGAAGAATTCTCAGTCACGTCTTTGTGTTGTGTGTATTCAAGTCACAGAGTTGAACCTTCCTTTACACAGAGAAGTTTTGAAAAACTCTTTCTGTGGAATTTGCAAGTGGAGATTTCAAGCGATTTGAGGCTAATCTTTGAAATGGAAATATCTTCGTGTAAAAACTACACAGAATCATTCTCAGAAACTGCTTTGTTATGTGTGCGTTCAGCTCACACAGTTCCACCTTTCTTTTCATAGGGCAGTTTGGAAAGACTCTGTCTGTGAAGTCTGCAAGTGATTACTTGGACCACTTTGAGGACTTCGTTGGAAGCGGGATTTTTTCATTTACTGCTAGACAGAAGAATTCTCAGTAAATCCTTGGTGTTGTGTGTATTCAACTCACAGAGTGGAACCTTCCTTTATTCAGAGCAGTTTTGAAAGACTCTTTTTGTGGAATTTGCAAGTGGAGATTTCAAGCGATTTGACGCCAATCTTAGACATGGAAATATCTTCATATTAAAAGTACACAGCGTCATTCGTAGAAACTAGTTTGTGATGTGTGCCTTCAACTCACAGAGTTTAACCTTTCTTTTCATAGAGCAGTTGGGAAACACTGTATTTGTAAAGTCTGCAAGTGGATATTTGGACCTCTTTGAGGCCTTCGTTGGAAACGGGATTTCTTCATATAACGCTAGACAGAAGAATTCTCAGTAACTTCTTTGTGTTGTGTGTATTCAACTCACAGAGTTGAACCTTTCTTTAGAGGGAGCAGAGGTGAAACACTCTTTTTGTGGAATTTGCTAGTGCAGATTTCAAACGCTTCGAAGACAGTGATAGAAAAGGATATATCTTCGTATTAAAAGTAGACAAAATCATTCTCAGAAAACTCTTTGTGATGTGTGTGTTCAACTCACAGAGTTTAACCTTTCTTTTCATAGAGCAGTTTGGAAACACTCTGTTTGTAAAGCCTGCAAGTGCTTTTTTGGACTTCATTGAGGCCTTCGTTGGAAACGCGATTTCTTCATACAACGCTAGTCAGAAGAATTCTCAGTAACTTCTTTGTGTTGTGTGTATTCAACTCACAGAGTTGAACCTTTCTTTAGAGAGAGCATAGTTGAAACACTCTGTTTTTGGAATTTGCAAGTGCAGATTTCAAGCGCTTCTAGGCCTAAGGCAGAAAAGGAAATATCTTCGTATAAAAACTACACAGAATCATTCTCAACAACTACTTTGTGATGTGTGCGTTCAACTCACAGAGTTTAACCTTTCTTTTCATAGAGCAGTTTGGAAACACTCTGTTTGTAAAGCCTGCAAGTGCATTTTTGGACTTCATTGAGGCCTTCGTTGGAAACGGGATTTCTTCATATAACGCTAGACAGAAGAATTCTCAGTCACTTCTTTGTGTTGTGTGTATTCAAGTCACAGAGTTGAACCTTCCTTTAGACAGAGCAGTTTTGAAAAATTCTTTCTGTGGAATTTGCAAGTGGAGATTTCAAGCGATTTGAGGCTAATCTTTGAAATGGAAATATCTTCGTGTAAAAACTACACAGAATCATTCTCAGAAACTGCTTTGTCATCTGTGCGTTCAGTTCACAGAGTTTCACCTTTCTCTTCATAGAGCAGTTTGGAAAGACTCTGTCTGTAAAGTCTGCAAGTGATTAGTTAGACCCCTTTGAGGCCTTCGTTGGAAGCGGGATTTCTCATTTACTGCTAGACAGAAGAATTCTCAGTAAATCCTTTGTGTTGTGTGTATTCAACTCACAGAGTGGAACCTTCCTTTATTCAGAGCAGTTTTGAAACACTGTTTTTGTGGAATTTGCAAGTGGAGATTTCAAGCGATTTGACGCCAATCTTAGACATGGAAATATCTTCATATTAAAAGTACACAGAGTCATTCGCAGAAACTAGTTTGTGATGTGTGCCTTCAACTCACGGAGTTTAACCTTTCTTTTCATAGAGCAGTTTGGAAACACTCTCTTTGTAAAGTCTGCAAGTGGATATTTGGACCTCTTTGAGGCCTTCGTTGGAAACGGGATTTCTTCATATAACGCTAGACAGAAGAATTCTCAGTAACTTCTTTGTGTTGTGTGTATTCCACTCACAGAGTTGAACCTTTCTTGAGAGAGAGCAGAGTTGAAACACTCTTTCTGTGGAATTTGCTAGTGCAGATTTCAAACGCTTCGAAGACAGTGATAGAAAAGGATATATCTTCGTATTAAAACTAGACAAAATCATTCTCAGAAAACACTTTGTGATGTGTGTGTTCAACTCACAGAGTTTAACCTTTCTTTAATCGAGCAGTTTGGAAATACACTCTTTGTAAGTCTGCAGCTGGATAATTGTCCCTCTAGGAGCCCTTCGTTGGAAACGGGATTTCCTCTTATAATGCTAGACAGAAGAATTCTCAGTAACTTCTTTGTGTTGTTTGTATTCAACTCACAGATTTGAACCTTCCTTTAGAGAGAGCAGATTTGAAACACTCTGTTTTTGGAATTTGCAAGTGCAGATTACAAGCGCTTCTAGGCCTATGGCAGAAAAGGAAATATCTTCGTATAAAAACTACACAGAATCATTCTCAACAACTACTTTGTGATGTGTGCGTTCAACTCACAGAGTTTAACCTTTCTTTTCATAGAGCAGTTTGGAAACACTCTGTTTGTAAAGTCTGCAGGTGCTTATTTGGACTTCTTTGAGGCCTTCGTTGGAAACGGGATTTCTTCATATAATGCTAGACAGAAGAATTCTCAGTCACTTCTTTGTGTTGTGTGTATTCAAGTCACAGAGTTGAACCTTCCTTTACACAGAGCAGTTTTGAAAAACTCTTTCTGTGGAATTTGCAAGTGGAGATTTCAAGTGATTTGAGGCTAATCTTTGAAATGGAAATAGCTTCGTGTAAAAACTACACAGAATCATTGTCAGAAACTGCTTTGTTATGTGTGCGTTCAGCTCACAGAGTTCCACCTTTCTTTTCATAGAGCAGTTTGGAAAGACTCTGTCTGTAAAGTCTGCAAGTGATTACTTGGACCCCTTTGAGGACTTCGTTGGAAGCGGGATTTTTTCATTTACTGCTAGACAGAAGAATTCTCAGTAAATCCTTTGTGTTGTGTGTATTCAACTCACAGAGTGGAACCTTCCTTTATTCAGAGCAGTTTTGAAACACTCTTTTTGTGGAATTTGCAAGTGGAGATTTCAAGCGAATTCACGCCAATCTTAGACATGGAAACATCTTCGTATTAAAAGTACACAGAGTCATTCGCAGAAACTAGTTTGTGATGTGTGCCTTCAACTCACGGAGTTTAACCTTTCTTTTCATAGAGCAGTTTGGAAACACTCTATTTGTAAAGTCTGCAAGTGGATATTTGGACCTCTTTGAGGCCTTCGTTGGAAACGGGATTTCTTCATATAACGCTAGACAGAAGAATTCTCAGTAACTTCTTTGTGTTGTGTGTATTCCACTCACAGAGTTGAACCTTTCTTGAGAGAGAGCAGAGTGGAAACACACTGTTTGTGGAATTTGCTAGTGCAGATTTCAAACGCTTCGAAGACAGTGATAGAAAAGGATATATCTTCGTATTAAAACTAGACAAAATCATTCTCAGAAAACACTTTGTGATGTGTGTGTTCAACTCACAGAGTTTAACCTTTCTTTAATCGAGCAGTTTGGAAATACACTCTTTGTAAGTCTGCAGCTGGATAATTGTCCCTCTATGAGCCCTTCGTTGGAAACGGGATTTCCTCTTATAATGCTAGACAGAAGAATTCTCAGTAACTTCTTTGTGTTGTTTGTATTCAACTCACAGATTTGAACCTTCCTTTAGAGAGAGCAGATTTGAAACACTCTGTTTTTGGAATTTGCAAGTGCAGATTACAAGCCCTTCTAGGCCTATGGCAGAAAAGGAAATATCTTCGTATAAAAACTACACAGAATCATTCTCAACAACTACTTTGTGATGTGTGCGTTCAACTCACAGAGTTTAACCTTTCTTTTCATAGAGCAGTTTGGAAACACTCTGTTTGTAAAGTCTGCAGGTGCTTATTTGGACTTCTTTGAGGCCTTCGTTGGAAACGGGATTTCTTCATATAATGCTAGACAGAAGAATTCTCAGTCACTTCTTTGTGTTGTGTGTATTCAAGTCACAGAGTTGAACCTTCCTTTACACAGAGCAGTTTTGAAAAACTCTTTCTGTGGAATTTGCAAGTGGAGATTTCAAGCGATTTGAGGCTAATCTTTGAAATGGAAATATCTTCGTGTAAAAACTACACAGAATCATTGTCAGAAACTGCTTTGTTATGTGTGCGTTCAGCTCACAGAGTTCCACCTTTCTTTTCATAGAGCAGTTTGGAAAGACTCTGTCTGTAAAGTCTGCAAGTGATTACTTGGACCCCTTTGAGGACTTCGTTGGAAGCGGGATTTTTTCATTTACTGCTAGACAGAAGAATTCTCAGTAAATCCTTTGTGTTGTGTGTATTCAACTCACAGAGTGGAACCTTCCTTTATTCAGAGCAGTTTTGAAACACTCTTTTTGTGGAATTTGCAAGTGGAGATTTCAAGCGAATTCACGCCCATCTTAGACATGGAAACATCTTCGTATTAAAAGTACACAGAGTCATTCGCAGAAACTAGTTTGTGATGTGTGCCTTCAACTCACAGAGTTTAACCTTTCTTTTCATAGAGCAGTTTGGAAACACTCTATTTGTAAAGTCTGCAAGTGGATATTTGGACCTCTTTGAGGCCTTCGTTGGAAACGGGATTTCTTCATATAACGCTAGACAGAAGAATTCTCAGTAACTTCTTTGTGTTGTGTGTATTCCACTCACAGAGTTGAACCTTTCTTGAGAGAGAGCAGAGTTGAAACACTCTGTTTGTGGAATTTGCTAGTGCAGATTTCAAACGCTTCGAAGACAGTGATAGAAAAGGATATATCTTCGTATTAAAACTAGACAAAATCATTCTCAGAAAACACTTTGTGATGTGTGTGTTCAACTCACAGAGTTTAACCTTTCTTTAATCGAGCAGTTTGGAAATACACTCTTTGTAAGTCTGCAGCTGGATAATTGTCCCTCTATGAGCCCTTCGTTGGAAACGGGATTTCCTCATATAATGCTAGACAGAAGAATTCTCAGTAACTTCTTTGTGTTGTTTGTATTCAACTCACCGATTTGAACCTTCCTTTGGAGAGAGCAGATTTGAAACACTCTGTTTTTGGAATTTGCAAGTGCAGATTGCAAGCGCTTCTAGGCCTATGGCAGAAAAGGAAATATCTTCGTATAAAAACTACACAGAATCATTCTCAACAACTACTTTGTGATGTGTGCGTTCAGCTCAGAGAGTTTAACGTTTCTTTTCATAGAGCAGTTTGGAAACACTCTGTTTGTAAAGTCTGCAGGTGCTTATTTGGACTTCTTTGAGGCCTTCGTTGGAAACGGGATTTCTTCATATAATGCTAGACAGAAGAATTCTCAGTCACTTCTTTGTGTTGTGTGTATTCAAGTCACAGAGTTGAACCTTCCTTTACACAGAGCAGTTTTGAAAAACTCTTTCTGTGGAATTTGCAAGTGGAGATTTCAAGCGATTTGAGGCTAATCTTTGAAATGGAAATATCTTCGTGTAAAAACTACACAGAATCATTCTCAGAAACTGCTTTGTTATGTGTGCGTTCAGCTCACAGAGTTCCACCTTTCTTTTCATAGAGCAGTTTGGAAAGACTCTGTCTGTAAAGTCTGCAAGTGATTACTTGGACCCCTTTGAGGACTTCGTTGGAAGCGGGATTTTTTCATTTACTGCTAGACAGAAGAATTCTCAGTAAATCCTTCGTGTTGTGTGTATTCAACTCACAGAGTGGAACCTTCCTTTATTCAGAGCAGTTTTGAAACACTCTTTTTGTGGAATTTGCAAGTGGAGATTTCAAGCGAATTCACGCCAATCTTAGACATGGAAACATCTTCGTATTAAAAGTACACAGAGTCATTCGCAGAAACTAGTTTGTGATGTGTGCCTTCAACTCACAGAGTTTAAGCTTTCTTTTCATAGAGCAGTTTGGAAACACTCTATTTGTAAAGTCTGCAAGTGGATATTTGGACCTCTTTGAGGCCTTCGTTGGAAACGGGATTTCTTCATATAACGCTAGACAGAAGAATTCTCTGTAACTTCTTTGTGTTGTGTGTATTCCACTCACAGAGTTGAACCTTTCTTGAGAGAGAGCAGAGTTGAAACACTCTTTCTGTGGAATTTGCTAGTGCAGATTTCAAACGCTTCGAAGACAGTGATAGAAAAGGATATATCTTCGTATTAAAACTAGACAAAATCATTCTCAGAAAACACTTTGTGATGTGTGTGTTCAACTCACAGAGTTTAACCTTTCTTTAATCGAGCAGTTTGGAAATACACTCTTTGTAAGTCTGCAGCTGGATAATTGTCCCTCTATGAGCCCTTCGTTGGAAACAGGATTTCCTCTTATAATGCTAGACAGAAGAATTCTCAGTAACTTCTTTGTGTTGTTTGTATTCAACTCACAGATTTGAACCTTCCTTTAGAGAGAGCAGATTTGAAACACTCTGTTTTTGGAATTTGCAAGTGCAGATTACAAGCGCTTCTAGGCCTATGGCAGAAAAGGAAATATCTTCGTATAAAAACTACACAGAATCATTCTCAACAACTACTTTGTGATGTGTGCGTTCAACTCACAGAGTTAACCTTTCTTTTCATAGAGCAGTTTGGAAACACTCTGTTTGTAAAGTCTGCAGGTGCTTATTTGGACTTCTTTGAGGCCTTCGTTGGAAACGGGATTTCTTCATGTAATGCTAGACAGAAGAATTCTCAGTCACTTCTTTGTGTTGTGTGTATTCAAGTCACAGAGTTGAACCTTCCTTTACACAGAGCAGTTTTGAAAAACTCTTTCTGTGGAATTTGCAAGTGGAGATTTCAAGCGATTTGAGGCTAATCTTTGAAATGGAAATAGCTTCGTGTAAAAACTACACAGAATCATTCTCAGAAACTGCTTTGTTATGTGTGCGTTCAGCTCACAGAGTTCCACCTTTCTTTTCATAGAGCAGTTTGGAAAGACTCTGTCTGTAAAGTCTGCAAGTGATTACTTGGACCCCTTTGAGGACTTCGTTGGAAGCGGGATTTTTTCATTTACTGCTAGACAGAAGAATTCTCAGTAAATCCTTTGTGTTGTGTGTATTCAACTCACAGAGTGGAACCTTCCTTTATTCAGAGCACTTTTGAAACACTCTTTTTGTGGAATTTGCAAGTGGAGATTTCAAGCGAATTCACGCCAATCTTAGACATGGAAACATCTTCGTATTAAAAGTACACAGAGTCATTCGCAGAAACTAGTTTGTGATGTGTGCCTTCAACTCACGGAGTTTAACCTTTCTTTTCATAGAGCAGTTTGGAAACACTCTATTTGTAAAGTCTGCAAGTGGATATTTGGACCTCTTTGAGGCCTTCGTTGGAAACGGGATTTCTTCATATAACGCTAGACAGAAGAATTCTCAGTAACTTCTTTGTGTTGTGTGTATTCAACTCACAGAGTTGAACCTTTCTTGAGAGAGAGCAGAGTTGAAACACTCTGTTTGTGGAATTTGCTAGTGCAGATTTCAAACGCTTCGAAGACAGTGATAGAAAAGGATATATCTTTCGTATTAAAACTAGACAAAATCATTCTCAGAAAACACTTTGTGATGTGTGTGTTCAACTCACAGAGTTTAACCTTTCTTTAATCGAGCAGTTTGGAAATACACTCTTTGTAAGTCTGCAGCTGGATAATTGTCCCTCTATGAGCCCTTCGTTGGAAACGGGATTTCCTCTTATAATGCTAGACAGAAGAATTCTCAGTAACTTCTTTGTGTTGTTTGTATTCAACTCACAGATTTGAACCTTCCTTTAGAGAGAGCAGATTTGAAACACTCTGTTTTTGGAATTTGCAAGTGCAGATTACAAGCGCTTCTAGGCCTATGGCAGAAAAGGAAATATCTTCGTATAAAAACTACACAGAATCATTCTCAACAACTACTTTGTGATGTGTGCGTTCAACTCACAGAGTTTAACCTTTCTTTTCATAGAGCAGTTTGGAAACACTCTGTTTGTAAAGTCTGCAGGTGCTTATTTGGACTTCTTTGAGGCCTTCGTTGGAAACGGGATTTCTTCATATAATGCTAAACAGAAGAATTCTCAGTCACTTCTTTGTGTTGTGTGTATTCAAGTCACAGAGTTGAACCTTCCTTTACACAGAGCAGTTTTGAAAAACTCTTTCTGTGGAATTTGCAAGTGGAGATTTCAAGCGATTTGAGGCTAATCTTTGAAATGGAAATATCTTCGTGTAAAAACTACACAGAATCATTCTCAGAAACTGCTTTGTTATGTGTGCGTTCAGCTCAGAGAGTTTCACCTTTCTATTCATAGAGCAGTTTGGAAAGACTCTGTCTGTAAAGTCTGCAAGTGATTACTTGGACCCCTTTGAGGACTTCGTTGGAAGCGGGATTTTTTCATTTACTGCTAGACAGAAGAATTCTCAGTAAATCCTTTGTGTTGTGTGTATTCAACTCACAGAGTGGAACCTTCCTTTATTCAGAGCAGTTTTGAAACACTCTTTTTGTGGAATTTGCAAGTGGAGATTTCAAGCGAATTCACGCCAATCTTACACATGGAAACATCTTCGTATTAAAAGTACACAGAGTCATTCGCAGAAACTAGTTTGTGATGTGTGCCTTCAACTCACGGAGTTTAACCTTTCTTTTCATAGAGCAGTTTGGAAACACTCTATTTGTAAAGTCTGCAAGTGGATATTTGGACCTCTTTGAGGCCTTCGTTGGAAACGGGATTTCTTCATATAACGCTAGACAGAAGAATTCTCAGTAACTTCTTTGTGTTGTGTGTATTCAACTCACAGAGTTGAACCTTTCTTGAGAGAGAGCAGAGTTGAAACACTCTGTTTGTGGAATTTGCTAGTGCAGATTTCAAACGCTTCGAAGACAGTGATAGAAAAGGATATATCTTCGTATTAAAACTAGACAAAATCATTCTCAGAAAACACTTTGTGATGTGTGTGTTCAACTCACAGAGTTTAACCTTTCTTTAATCGAGCAGTTTGGAAATACACTCTTTGTAAGTCTGCAGCTGGATAATTGTCCCTCTATGAGCCCTTCGTTGGAAACAGGATTTCCTCTTATAATGCTAGACAGAAGAATTCTCAGTAACTTCTTTGTGTTGTTTGTATTCAACTCACAGATTTGAACCTTCCTTTAGAGAGAGCAGATTTGAAACACTCTGTTTTTGGAATTTGCAAGTGCAGATTACAAGCGCTTCTAGGCCTATGGCAGAAAAGGAAATATCTTCGTATAAAAACTACACAGAATCATTCTCAACAACTACTTTGTGATGTGTGCGTTCAACTCACAGAGTTTAACCTTTCTTTTCATAGAGCAGTTTGGAAACACTCTGTTTGTAAAGTCTGCAGGTGCTTATTTGGACTTCTTTGAGGCCTTCGTTGGAAACGGGATTTCTTCATGTAATGCTAGACAGAAGAATTCTCAGTCACTTCTTTGTGTTGTGTGTATTCAAGTCACAGAGTTGAACCTTCCTTTACACAGAGCAGTTTTGAAAAACTCTTTCTGTGGAATTTGCAAGTGGAGATTTCAAGCGATTTGAGGCTAATCTTTGAAATGGAAATAGCTTCGTGTAAAAACTACACAGAATCATTCTCAGAAACTTCTTTGTTATGTGTGCGTTCAGCTCACAGAGTTCCACCTTTCTTTTCATAGAGCAGTTTGGAAAGACTCTGTCTGTAAAGTCTGCAAGTGATTACTTGGACCCCTTTGAGGACTTCGTTGGAAGCGGTATTTTTTCATTTACTGCTAGACAGAAGAATTCTCAGTAAATCCTTTGTGTTGTGTGTATTCAACTCACAGAGTGGAACCTTCCTTTATTCAGAGCAGTTTTGAAGCACTCTTTTTGTGGAATTTGCAAGTGGAGATTTCAAGCGAATTCACGCCAATCTTAGACATGGAAACAACTTCGTATTAAAAGTACACAGAGTCATTCGCAGAAACTAGCTTGTAATGTGTGCCTTCAACTCACGGAGTTTAACCTTTCTTTTCATAGAGCAGTTTGGAAACACTCTATTTGTAAAGTCTGCAAGTGGATATTTGGACCTCTTTGAGGCCTTCGTTGGAAACGGGATTTCTTCATATAACGCTAGACAGAAGAATTCTCAGTAACTTCTTTGTGTTGTGTGTATTCAACTCACAGAGTTGAACCTTTCTTGAGAGAGAGCAGAGTTGAAACACTCTTTCTGTGGAATTTGCTAGTGCAGATTTCAAACGCTTCGAAGACAGTGATAGAAAAGGATATATCTTCGTATTAAAACTAGACAAAATCATTCTCAGAAAACACTTTGTGATGTGTGTGTTCAACTCACAGAGGTTAACCTTTCTTTAATCGAGCAGTTTCGAAATACACTCTTTGTAAGTCTGCAGCTGGATAATTGTCCCTCTATGAGCCCTTCGTTGGAAACGGGATTTCCTCTTATAATGCTAGACAGAAGAATTCTCAGTAACTTCTTTGTGTTGTTTGTATTCAACTCACAGATTTGAACCTTCCTTTAGAGAGAGCAGATTTGAAACACTCTGTTTTCGGAATTTGCAAGTGCAGATTACAAGCGCTTCTAGGCCTATGGCAGAAAAGGAAATATCTTCGTATAAAAACTACACAGAATCATTCTCAACAACTACTTTGTGATGTGTGCGTTCAACTCACAGAGTTTAACCTTTCTTTTCATAGAGCAGTTTGGAAACACTCTGTTTGTAAAGTCTGCAGGTGCTTATTTGGACTTCTTTGAGGCCTTCGTTGGAAACGGGATTTCTTCATATAATGCTAGACAGAAGAATTCTCAGTCACTTCTTTGTGTTGTGTGTATTCAAGTCACAGAGTTGAACCTTCCTTTACACAGAGCAGTTTTGAAAAACTCTTTCTGTGGAATTTGCAAGTGGAGATTTCAAGCGATTTGAGGCTAATCTTTGAAATGGAAATAGCTTCGTGTAAAAACTACACAGAATCATTGTCAGAAACTGCTTTGTTATGTGTGCGTTCAGCTCACAGAGTTCCACCTTTCTTTTCATAGAGCAGTTTGGAAAGACTCTGTCTGTAAAGTCTGCAAGTGATTACTTGGACCCCTTTGAGGACTTCGTTGGAAGCGGGATTTTTTCATTTACTGCTAGACAGAAGAATTCTCAGTAAATCCTTTGTGTTGTGTGTATTCAACTCACAGAGTGGAACCTTCCTTTATTCAGAGCAGTTTTGAAACACTCTTTTTGTGGAAATTGCAAGTGGAGATTTCAAGCGAATTCACGCCAATCTTAGACGTGGAAACATCTTCGTATTAAAAGTACACAGAGTCATTCGCAGAAACTAGTTTGTGATGTGTGCCTTCAACTCACGGAGTTTAACCTTTCTTTTCATAGAGCAGTTTGGAAACACTCTATTTGTAAAGTCTGCAAGTGGATATTTGGACCTCTTTGAGGCCTTCGTTGGAAACGGGATTTCTTCATATAACGCTAGACAGAAGAATTCTCAGTAACTTCTTTGTGTTGTGTGTATTCCACTCACAGAGTTGAACCTTTCTTGAGAGAGAGCAGAGTTGAAACACTCTTTCTGTGGAATTTGCTAGTGCAGATTTCAAACGCTTCGAAGACAGTGATAGAAAAGGATATATCTTCGTATTAAAACTAGACAAAATCATTCTCAGAAAACACTTTGTGATGTGTGTGTTCAACTCACAGAGTTTAACCTTTCTTTAATCGAGCAGTTTGGAAATGCACTCTTTGTAAGTCTGCAGCTGGATAATTGTCCCTCTATGAGCCCTTCGTTGGAAACGGGATTTCCTCTTATAATGCTAGACAGAAGAATTCTCAGTAACTTCTTTGTGTTGTTTGTATTCAACTCACAGATTTGAACCTTCCTTTAGAGAGAGCAGATTTGAAACACTCTGTTTTTGGAATTTGCAAGTGCAGATTACAAGCGCTTCTAGGCCTATGGCAGAAAAGGAAATATCTTCGTATAAAAACTACACAGAATCATTCTCGACAACTACTTTGTGATGTGTGCGTTCAACTCACAGAGTTTAACCTTTCTTTTCATAGAGCAGTTTGGAAACACTCTGTTTGTAAAGTCTGCAGGTGCTTATTTGGACTTCTTTGAGGCCTTCGTTGGAAACGGGATTTATTCATGTAATGCTAGACAGAAGAATTCTCAGTCACTTCTTTGTGTTGTGTGTATTCAAGTCACAGAGTTGAACTTTCCTTTACACAGAGCAGTTTTGAAAAACTCTTTCTGTGGAATTTGCAAGTGGAGATTTCAAGCGATTTGAGGCTAATCTTTGAAATGGAAATAGCTTCGTGTAAAAACTACACAGAATCATTCTCAGAAACTGCTTTGTTATGTGTGCGTTCAGCTCACAGAGTTCCACCTTTCTTTTCATAGAGCAGTTTGGAAAGACTCTGTCTGTAAAGTCTGCAAGTGATTACTTGGACCCCTTTGAGGACTTCGTTGGAAGCGGGATTTTTTCATTTACTGCTAGACAGAAGAATTCTCAGTAAATCCTTTGTGTTGTGTGTATTCAACTCACAGAGTGGAACCTTCCTTTGTTCAGAGCACTTTTGAAACACTCTTTTTGTGGAATTTGCAAGTGGAGATTTCAAGCGAATTCACGCCAATCTTAGACATGGAAACATCTTCGTATTAAAAGTACACAGAGTCATTTGCAGAAACTAGTTTGTGATGTGTGCCTTCAACTCACGGAGTTTAACCTTTCTTTTCATAGAGCAGTTTGGAAACACTCTATTTGTAAAGTCTGCAAGTGGATATTTGGACCTCTTTGAGGCCTTCGTTGGAAACGGGATTTCTTCATATAACGCTAGACAGAAGAATTCTCAGTAACTTCTTTGTGTTGTGTGTATTCAAGTCACAGAGTTGAACCTTCCTTTACACAGAGCAGTTTTGAAAAACTCTTTCTGTGGAATTTGCAAGTGGAGATTTCAAGCGATTTGAGGCTAATCTTTGAAATGGAAATAGCTTCGTGTAAAAACTACACAGAATCATTCTCAGAAACTGCTTTCTTATGTGTGCGTTCAGCTCACAGAGTTCCACCTTTCTTTTCATAGAGCAGTTTGGAAAGACTCTGTCTGTAAAGTCTGCAAGTGATTACTTGGACCCCTTTGAGGACTTCGTTGGAAGCGGGATTTTTTCATTTACTGCTAGACAGAAGAATTCTCAGTAAATCCTTTGTGTTGTGTGTATTCAACTCACAGAGTGGAACCTTCCTTTATTCAGAGCAGTTTTGAAACACTCTTTTTGTGGAATTTGCAAGTGGAGATTTCAAGCGAATTCACGCCAATCTTAGACATGGAAACATCTTCGTATTAAAAGTACACAGAGTCATTCGCAGAAACTAGTTTGTGATGTGTGCCTTCAACTCACGGAGTTTAACCTTTCTTTTCATAGAGCAGTTTGGAAACACTCTATTTGTAAAGTCTGCAAGTGGATATTTGGACCTCTTTGAGGCCTTCGTTGGAAACGGGATTTCTTCATATAACGCTAGACAGAAGAATTCTCAGTCACTTCTTTGTGTTGTGTGTATTCAAGTCACAGAGTTGAACCTTCCTTTACACAGAGCAGTTTTGAAAAACTCTTTCTGTGGAATTTGCAAGTGGAGATTTCAAGCGATTTGAGGCTAATCTTTGAAATGGAAATAGCTTCGTGTAAAAACTACACAGAATCATTCTCAGAAACTGCTTTGTTATGTGTGCGTTCAGCTCACAGAGTTCCACCTTTCTTTTCATAGAGCAGTTTGGAAAGACTCTGTCTGTAAAGTCTGCAAGTGATTACTTGGACCCCTTTGAGGACTTCGTTGGAAGCGGGATTTTTTCATTTACTGCTAGACAGAAGAATTCTCAGTAAATCCTTTGTGTTGTGTGTATTCAACTCACAGAGTGGAACCTTCCTTTATTCAGAGCAGTTTTGAAACACTCTTTTTGTGGAACTTGCAAGTGGAGATTTCAAGCGAATTCACGCCAATCTTAGACATGGAAACAACTTCGTATTAAAAGTACACAGAGTCATTCGCAGAAACTAGCTTGTGATGTGTGCCTTCAACTCACGGAGTTTAACCTTTCTTTTCATAGAGCAGTTTGGAAACACTCTATTTGTAAAGTCTGCAAGTGGATATTTGGACCTCTTTGAGGCCTTCGTTGGAAACGGGATTTCTTCATATAACGCTAGACAGAAGAATTCTCAGTAACTTCTTTGTGTTGTGTGTATTCAACTCACAGAGTTGAACCTTTCTTGAGAGAGAGCAGAGTTGAAACACTCTTTCTGTGGAATTTGCTAGTGCAGATTTCAAACGCTTCGAAGACAGTGATAGAAAAGGATATATCTTCGTATTAAAACTAGACAAAATCATTCTCAGAAAACACTTTGTGATGTGTGTGTTCAACTCACAGAGTTTAACCTTTCTTTAATCGAGCAGTTTGGAAATACACTCTTTGTAAGTCTGCAGCTGGATAATTGTCCCTCTATGAGCCCTTCGTTGGAAACGGGATTTCCTCTTATAATGCTAGACAGAAGAATTCTCAGTAACTTCTTTGTGTTGTTTGTATTCAACTCACAGATTTGAACCTTCCTTTAGAGAGAGCAGATTTGAAACACTCTGTTTTTGGAATTTGCAAGTGCAGATTTCAAGCGCTTCTAGGCCTATGGCAGAAAAGGAAATATCTTCGTATAAAAACTACACAGAATCATTCTCAACAACTACTTTGTGATGTGTGCGTTCAACTCACAGAGTTTAACCTTTCTTTTCATAGAGCAGTTTGGAAACACTCTGTTTGTAAAGTCTGCAGGTGCTTATTTGGACTTCTTTGAGGCCTTCGTTGGAAACGGGATTTCTTCATATAATGCTAGACAGAAGAATTCTCAGTCACTTCTTTGTGTTGTGTGTATTCAAGTCACAGAGTTGAACCTTCCTTTACACAGAGCAGTTTTGAAAAACTCTTTCTGTGGAATTTGCAAGTGGAGATTTCAAGCGATTTGAGGCTAATCTTTGAAATGGAAATATCTTCGTGTAAAAACTACACAGAATCATTGTCAGAAACTGCTTTGTTATGTGTGCGTTCAGCTCACAGAGTTCCACCTTTCTTTTCATAGAGCAGTTTGGAAAGACTCTGTCTGTAAAGTCTGCAAGTGATTACTTGGACCCCTTTGAGGACTTCGTTGGAAGCGGGATTTTTTCATTTACTGCTAGACAGAAGAATTCTCAGTAAATCCTTTGTGTTGTGTGTATTCAACTCACAGAGTGGAACCTTCCTTTATTCAGAGCAGTTTTGAAACACTCTTTTTGTGGAATTTGCAAGTGGAGATTTCAAGCGAATTCACGCCAATCTTAGACATGGAAACATCTTCGTATAAAAGTACACAGAGTCATTCGCAGAAACTAGTTTGTGATGAGTGCCTTCAACTCACGGAGTTTAACCTTTCTTTTCATAGAGCAGTTTGGAAACACTCTCTTTGTAAAGTCTGCAAGTGGATATTTGGACCTCTTTGAGGCCTTCGTTGGAAACGGGATTTCTTCATATAACGCTAGACAGAAGAATTCTCTGTAACTTCTTTGTGTTGTGTGTATTCCACTCACAGAGTTGAACCTTTCTTGAGAGAGAGCAGAGTTGAAACACTCTTTCTGTGGAATTTGCTAGTGCAGATTTCAAACGCTTCGAAGACAGTGATAGAAAAGGATATATCTTCGTATTAAAACTAGACAAAATCATTCTCAGAAAACACTTTGTGATGTGTGTGTTCAACTCACAGAGTTTAACCTTTCTTTAATCGAGCAGTTTGGAAATGCACTCTTTGTAATTCTGCAGGTGGATAATTGTCCCTCTATGAGCCCTTCGTTGGAAACGGGATTTCCTCATATAATGCTAGACAGAAGAATTCTCAGTAACTTCTTTGTGTTGTTTGTATTCAACTCACAGATTTGAACCTTCCTTTGGAGAGAGCAGATTTGAAACACTCTGTTTTTGGAATTTGCAAGTGCAGATTGCAAGCGCTTCTAGGCCTATGGCAGAAAAGGAAATATCTTCGTATAAAAACTACACAGAATCATTCTCAACAACTACTTTGTGATGTGTGCGTTCAACTCACAGAGTTTAACCTTTCTTTTCATAGAGCAGTTTGGAAACACTCTGTTTGTAAAGTCTGCAGGTGCTTATTTGGACTTCTTTGAGGCCTTCGTTGGAAACGGGATTTCTTCATATAATCCTAGACAGAAGAATTCTCAGTCACTTCTTTGTGTTGTGTGTATTCAAGTCACAGAGTTGAACCTTCCTTTACACAGAGCAGTTTTGAAAAACTCTTTCTGTGGAATTTGCAAGTGGAGATTTCAAGCGATTTGAGGCTAATCTTTGAAATGGAAATATCTTCGTGTAAAAACTACACAGAATCATTCTCAGAAACTGCTTTGTTATGTGTGCGTTCAGCTCACAGCGTTCCACCTTTCTTTTCGTAGAGCAGTTTGGAAAGACTCTGTCTGTAAAGTCTGCAAGTGATTACTTGGACACCTTTGAGGACTTCGTTGGAAGCGGGATTTTTTCATTTACTGCTAGACAGAAGAATTCTCAGTAAATCCTTTGTGTTGTGTGTATTCAACTCGCAGAGTGGAACCTTCCTTTATTCAGAGCAGTTTTGAAACACTCTTTTTGTGGAATTTGCAAGTGGAGATTTCAAGCGAATTCACGCCAATCTTAGACATGGAAACATCTTCGTATTAAAAGTACACAGAGTCATTCGCAGAAACTAGTTTGTGATGTGTGCCTTCAACTCACAGAGTTTAAGCTTTCTTTTCATAGAGCAGTTTGGAAACACTCTATTTGTAAAGTCTGCAAGTGGATATTTGGACCTCTTTGAGGCCTTCGTTGGAAACGGGATTTCTTCATATAACGCTAGACAGAAGAATTCTCTGTAACTTCTTTGTGTTGTGTGTATTCCACTCACAGAGTTGAACCTTTGTTGAGAGAGAGCAGAGTTGAAACACTCTTTCTGTGGAATTTGCTAGTGCAGATTTCAAACTCTTCGAAGACAGTGATAGAAAAGGATATATCTTCGTATTAAAACTAGACAAAATCATTCTCAGAAAACACTTTGTGATGTGTGTGTTCAACTCACAGAGTTTAACCTTTCTGTAATCGAGCAGTTTGGAAATACACTCTTTGTAAGTCTGCAGGTGGATAATTGTCCCTCTATGAGCCCTTCGTTGGAAACGGGATTTCCTCATATAATGCTAGACAGAAGTATTCTCAGTAACTTCTTTGTGTTGTTTGTATTCAACTCACAGATTTGAACTTTCCTTTAGAGAGAGCAGATTTGAAACACTCTGCTTTTGGAAATTGTAAGTGCAGATTGCAAGCGCTTCTAGGCCTATGGCAGAAAAGGAAATATCTTCGTATAAAAACTACACAGAATCATTCTCAACAACTACTTTGTGATGTGTGCGTTCAACTCACAGAGTTTAACCTTTCTTTTCATAGAGCAGTTTGGAAACACTCTGTTTGTAAAGTCTGCAGGTGCTTATTTGGACTTCTTTGAGGCCTTCGTTGGAAACGGGATTTCTTCATATAATGCTAGACAGAAGAATTCTCAGTCACTTCTTTGTGTTGTGTGTATTCAAGTCACAGAGTTGAACCTTCCTTTACACAGAGCAGTTTTGAAAAACTCTTTCTGTGGAATTTGCAAGTGGAGATTTCAAGCGATTTGAGGCTAATCTTTGAAATGGAAATATCTTCGTGTAAAAACTACACAGAATCATTCTCAGAAACTGCTTTGTTATGTGTGCGTTCAGCTCACAGAGTTCCACCTTTCTTTTCATAGAGCAGTTTGGAAAGACTCTGTCTGTAAAGTCTGCAAGTGATTACTTGGACCCCTTTGAGGACTTCGTTGGAAGCGGGATTTTTTCATTTACTGCTAGACAGAAGAATTCTCAGTAAATCCTTTGTGTTGTGTGTATTCAACTCACAGAGTGGAACCTTCCTTTATTCAGAGCAGTTTTGAAACACTCTTTTTGTGGAATTTGCAAGTGGAGATTTCAAGCGAATTCACGCCAATCTTAGACATGGAAACATCTTCGTATTAAAAGTACACAGAGTCATTCGCAGAAACTAGTTTGTGATGTGTGCCTTCAACTCACGGAGTTTAACCTTTCTTTTCATAGAGCAGTTTGGAAACACTCTATTTGTAAAGTCTGCAAGTGGATATTTGGACCTCTTTGAGGCCTTCGTTGGAAACGGGATTTCTTCATATAACGCTAGACAGAAGAATTCTCAGTAACTTCTTTGTGTTGTGTGTATTCCACTCACAGAGTTGAACCTTTCTTGAGAGAGAGCAGAGTTGAAACACTCTGTTTGTGGAATTTGCTAGTGCAGATTTCAAACGCTTCGAAGACAGTGATAGAAAAGGATATATCTTCGTATTAAAACTAGACAAAATCATTCTCAGAAAACACTTTGTGATGTGTGTGTTCAACTCACAGAGTTTAACCTTTCTTTAATCGAGCAGTTTGGAAATACACTCTTTGTAAGTCTGCAGCTGGATAATTGTCCCTCTATGAGCCCTTCATTGGAAACGGGATTTCCTCATATAATGCTAGACAGAAGAATTCTCAGTAACTTCTTTGTGTTGTTTGTATTCAACTCACAGATTTGAACCTTCCTTTAGAGAGAGCAGATTTGAAACACTCTGTTTTTGGAATTTGCAAGTGCAGATTACAAGCGCTTCTAGGCCTATGGCAGAAAAAGAAATATCTTCGTATAAAAACTACACAGAATCATTCTCAACAACTACTTTGTGATGTGTGCGTTCAACTCACAGAGTTTAACCTTTCTTTTCATAGAGCAGTTTGGAAACACTCTGTTTGTAAAGTCTGCAGGTGCTTATTTGGACTTCTTTGAGGCCTTCGTTGGAAACGGGATTTCTTCATATAATGCTAGACAGAAGAATTCTCCAGTAACTTCTTTGTGTTGTGTGTATTCAAGTCACAGAGTTGAACCTTCCTTTAGACAGAGCAGTTTTGAAAAATTCTTTCTGTGTAATTTGCAAGTGGAGATTTCAAGCGATTTGAGGCTAATCTTTGAAATGGAAATATCTTCGTGTAAAAACTACACAGAATCATTCTCAGAAACTGCTTTGTTATGTGTGCGTTCAGCTCACAGTAGTTCCACCTTTGTTTTCATAGAGCAGTTTGGAAAGACTCTGTCTGTAAAGTCTGCAAGTGATTACTTGGACCCCTTTGAGGACTTCGTTGGAAGCGGGATTTTTTCATTTACTGCTAGACAGAAGAATTCTCAGTAAATCCTTTGTGTTGTGTGTATTCAACTCACAGAGTGGAACCTTCCTTTATTCAGAGCAGTTTTGAAACACTCTTTTTGTGGAATTTGCAAGTGGAGATTTCAAGCGATTTGACGCCAATCTTAGACATGGAAATATCTTCATATTAAAAGTACACAGAGTCATTCGTAGAAACTAGTTTGTGATGTGTGCCTTCAACTCACAGAGTTTAACCTTTCTTTTCATAGAGCAGTTGGGAAACACTCTATTTGTAAAGTCTGCAAGTGGATATTTGGACCTCTTTGAGGCCTTCGTTGGAAACGGGATTTCTTCATATAACGCTAGACAGAAGAATTCTCAGTAACTTCTTTGTGTTGTGTGTATTCAACTCACCGAGTTGAACCTTTCTTTAGAGAGAGCAGAGTTGAAACACTCTTCTTGTGGAATTTGCTAGTGCAGATTTCAAACGCTTCGAAGACAGTGATAGAAAAGGATATATCTTCGTATTAAAACTAGACAAAATCATTCTCAGAAAACACTTTGTGATGTGTGTGTTCAACTCACAGAGTTTAACCTTTCTTTAATCGAGCAGTTTGGAAATACACTCTTTGTAAGTCTGCAGGTGGATAATTGGCCCTCTTTGAGCCCTTCGTTGGAAACGGGATTTCCTCATATAATGCTAGACAGAAGAATTCTCAGTAACTTCTTTGTGTTGTTTGTATTCAACTCACAGATTTGAACCTTCCTTTAGAGAGAGCAGATTTGAAACACTCTGTTTTTGGAATTTGCAAGTGCAGATTTCAAGCGCTTCTAGGCCTATGGCAGAAAAGGAAATATCTTCATATAAAAACTACACAGAATCATTCTCAACAACTACTTTGTGATGTGTGCGTTCAACTCACAGAGTTTAACCTTTCTTTTCTTAGAGCAGTTTGGAAACACTCTGTTTGTAAAGCCTGCAAGTGCTTTTTTGGACTTCATTGAGGCCTTCGTTGGAAACGGGATTTCTTCATATAATGCTAGACAGAAGAATTCTCAGTCAGTTCTTTGTGTTTTGTGTATTCAAGTCACAGAGGTGAACCTTCCTTTAGACAGAGCAGTTTTGAAAAATTCTTTCTGTGGAATTTGCAATTGGAGATTTTAAGCGATTTGAGGCTAATCTTTGAAATGGAAATATCTTCGTGGAAAAACTACACAGAATCATTCTCAGAAACTGCTTTGTTATCTGTGCGTTCAGTTCACAGAGTTTCACCTTTCTCTTCATAGAGCAGTTTGGAAAGACTCTGTCTGTAAAGTCTGCAAGTGATTAGTTAGACCCCTTTGAGGCCTTCGTTGGAAGCGGGATTTCTCATTTACTGCTAGACAGAAGAATTCTCAGTAAATCCTTTGTGTTGTGTGTATTCAACTCACAGAGTGGAACCTTCCTTTATTCAGAGCAGTTTTGAAAAACACTTTTTGTGGAATTTGCAAGTGGAGATTTCAAGTGATTTGACGCCAATCTTAGACATGGAAATATCTTCATATTAAAAGTACACAGAGTCATTCGTAGAAACTAGTTTGTGATGTGTGCCTTCAACTCACAGAGTTTAACCTTTCTTTTCATAGAGCAGTTTGGAAACACTCTGTTTGTAAATTCTGCAAGTGGATATTTGGACCTCTTTGAGGCCTCCGTTGGAAACGGGATTTCTACATACAACGCTAGACAGAAGAATTCTCAGTAACTTCTTTGTGTTGTGTGTATTCAACTCACAGAGTTGAACCTTTCTTTAGAGAGAGCAGAGTTGAAACACTCTGTTTTTGGAATTTGCAAGTGCAGATTTCAAGCGATTCTAGGCCTATGGCAGAAAAGGAAATATCTTCGTATAAAAACTACACAGAATCATTCTCAACAACTACTTTGTGATGTGTGCGTTCAACTCACAAAGTTTAACCTTTCTTTTCATAGAGAAGTTTGGAAACACTCTGTTTGTAAAGCCTGCAAGTGCTTTTTTGGACTTCATTGAGGCCTTCGTTGGAAACGGGATTTCTTCATATAATGCTAGACAGAAGAATTCTCAGTAAATCCTTTGTGTTGTGTTTATTCAACTCACAGAGTGGAAACTTCCTTTATTCAGAGCAGTTTTGAAACACTCTTTTTGTGGAATTTGCAAGTGGAGATTTCAAGCGATTTGACGCCAATCTTAGACATGGAAATATCTTCATATTAAAAGTACACAGAATCATTCGTAGAAACTAGTTTGTGTTGTGTGCCTTCAACTCACAGAAGTTTAACCTTTCTTTTCATAGAGCAGTTCGGAAACATTCTATTTGTAAAGTCTGCAAGTGGATATTTGGAACTCTTTGAGGCCTTCGTTGGAAAAGGGATTTCTTCATATAACGCTAGACAGAAGAATTCTCAGTAACTTCTTTGTGTTGTGTGTATTCAACTCACAGAGTTGAACCTTTCTTTAGAGAGAGCAGAGTTAAAACACTCTTTTTGTGGAATTTGCTAGTGCAGATTTCAAACGCTTCGAAGACAGTGATAGAAAAGGATATATCTTCGTATTAAAACTAGACAAAATCATTCTCAGAAAACACTTTGTGATGTGTGTGTTCAACTCACACAGTTTAACCTTTCTTTAATCGAGCAGTTTGGAAATACACTCTTTGTAAGTCTGCAGGTGGATAATTGGCCCTCTTTGAGCCCTTCATTGGAAACGGGATTTCCTCATATAATGCTAGACAGAAGAATTCTCAGTAACTTCTTTGTGTTGTTTGTATTCAACTCACAGATTTGAACCTTCCTTTAGAGAGAGCAGATTTGAAACACTCTGTTTTTGGAATTTGCAAGTGCAGATTTCAAGCGCTTCTAGGCCTATGGCAGAAAAGGAAATATCTTCGTATAAAAACTACACAGAATCATTCTCAACAACTACTTTGTGATGTGTGCGTTCAACTCACAAAGTTTAACCTTTCTTTTCATAGAGCAGTTTGGAAACACTCTGTTTGTAAAGCCTGTAATTGCTTTTTTGGACTTCATTGAGGCCTTCGTTGGAAACGGGATTTCTTCATATAATGCTAGACAGAAGAATTCTCAGTCACTTCTTTGTGTTGTGTGTATTCAAGTCACAGAGTTGAACCTTCCTTTAGACAGAGCAGTTTTGAAAAATTCTTTCTGTGGAGTTTGCAAGTGGAGATTTCAAGCGATTTGAGGCTAATCTTTGAAATGGAAATATCTTCGTGTAAAAACTACACAGAATCATTCTCAGAAACTGCTTTGTCATCTGTGCGTTCATTTCACAGAGTTTCACCTTTCTCTTCATAGAGCAGTTTGGAAAGACTCTGTCTGTAAAGTCTGCAAGTGATTAGTTAGACCCCTTTGAGGCCTTCGTTGGAAGTGGGATTTCTCATTTACTGCTAGACAGAAGAATTCTCAGTAAATCCTTTGTGTTGTGTGTATTCAACTCACAGAGTGGAACCTTCCTTTATTCAGAGCAGTTTTGAAACACTCTTTTTGTGGAATTTGCAAGTGGAGATTTCAAGCGATTTGACGCCAATCTTAGACATGGAAATATCTTCATATTAAAAGTACACAGAGTCATTCGTAGAAACTAGTTTGTGATGTGTGCCTTCAACTCACAGAGTTTAACCTTTCTTTTCATAGAGCAGTTTGGAAACACTCTATTTGTAAAGTCTGCAAGTGGATATTTGGACCTCTTTGAGGCCTTCGTTGGAAACGGGATTTCTTCATACAACGCTAGACAGAAGAATTCTCAGTAACTTCTTTGTGTTGTGTGTATTCAACTCACAGAGTTGAACCTTTCTTTAGAGAGAGCAGAGTTGAAACACTCTGTTTTTGGAATTTGCAACTGCAGATTTCAAGCGACTCTAGGCCTATGGCAGAAAAGGAAATATCTTCGTATAAAAACTACACAGAATCATTCTCAACAACTACTTTGTGATGTGTGCGTTCAACTCACAGAGTTTAACCTTTCTTTTCATAGAGCAGTTTGGAAACACTCTGTTTGTAAAGCCTGCAAGTGCCTTTTTGGACTTCATTGAGGCCTTCGTTGGAAACGGGATTTCTTCATATAATGCTAGACAGAAGAATTCTCAGTCACTTCTTTGTGTTGTGTGTATTCAAGTCACAGAGTTGAACCTTCCTTTAGACAGAGCAGTTTTGAAAAATTCTTTCTGTGTAATTTGCAAGTGGAGATTTCAAGCGATTTGAGGCTAATCTTTGAAATGGAAATATCTTCGTGTAAAAACTACACAGAATCATTCTCAGAAACTGCTTTGTCATCTGTGCGTTCAGTTCACAGAGTTTCACCTTTCTCTTCATAGAGCAGTTTGGAAAGACTTTGTCTGTAAAGTCTGCAAGTGATTAGTTAGACCCCTTTGAGGCCTTCGTTGGAAGCGGGATTTCTCATTTACTGCTAGACAGAAGAATTCTCAGTAAATCCTTTGTGTTGTGTGTATTCAACTCACAGAGTGGAACCTTCCTTTATTCAGAGCAGTTTTGAAACACTCTTTTTGTGGAATTTGCAAGTGGAGATTTCAAGCGATTTGACGCCAATC
The DNA here is from genome assembly GCF_000001405.40 of Homo sapiens. Classification (NCBI taxonomy): domain Eukaryota; kingdom Metazoa; phylum Chordata; class Mammalia; order Primates; family Hominidae; genus Homo; species Homo sapiens. The sequence continues at coordinate 40,070,057 of NC_000010.11, forward strand.
TTAGACATGGAAATATCTTCATATTAAAAGTACACAGAGTCATTCGTAGAAACTAGTTTGTGATGTGTGCCTTCAACTCACAGAGTTTAACCTTTCTTTTCATAGAGCAGTTGGGAAACACTCTATTTGTAAAGTCTGCAAGTGGATATTTGGACCTCTTTGAGGCCTTCGTTGGAAACGGGATTTCTTCATATAACGCTAGACAGAAGAATTCTCAGTAACTTCTTTGTGTTGTGTGTATTCAACTCACAGAGTTGAACCTTTCTTTAGAGGGAGCAGAGGTGAAACACTCTTTTTGTGGAATTTGCTAGTGTAGATTTCAAACGCTTCGAAGACAGTGATAGAAAAGGATATATCTTCGTATTAAAAGTAGACAAAATCATTCTCAGAAAACTCTTTGTGATGTGTGTGTTCAACTCACAGAGTTTAACCTTTCTTTAATCGAGCAGTTTGGAAATACACTCTTTGTAAGTCTGCAGGTGGATATTTGGCCCTCTTTGAGCCCTTCGTTGGAAACGGGATTTCCTCATATAATGCTAGACAGAAGAATTCTCAGTAACTTCTTTGTGTTGTTTGTATTCAACACACAGATTTGAACCTTCCTTTAGAGAGAGCAGATTTGAAACACTCTGTTTTTGGAATTTGCAAGTGCAGATTTCAAGCGCTTCTAGGCCTATGGCAGAAAAGGAAATATCTTCGTATAAAAACTACACAGAATCATTCTCAACAACTACTTTGTGATGTGTGCGTTCAACTCACAGAGTTTAACCTTTCTTTTCATAGAGCAGTTTGGAAACACTCTGTTTGTAAAGCCTGCAAGTGCTTTTTTGGACTTCATTGAGGCCTTCGTTGGAAACGGGATTTCTTCATATAATGCTAGACAGAAGAATTCTCAGTCACTTCTTTGTGTTGTGTGTATTCAAGTCACAGAGTTGAACCTTCCTTTAGACAGAGCAGTTTTGAAAAATTCTTTCTGTGGAGTTTGCAAGTGGAGATTTCAAGCGATTTGAGGCTAATCTTTGAAATGGAAATATCTTCGTGTAAAAACTACACAGAATCATTCTCAGAAACTGCTTTGTTATCTGTGCGTTCAGTTCACAGAGTTTCACCTTTCTCTTCATAGAGCAGTTTGGAAAGACTCTGTCTGTAAAGTCTGCAAGTGATTAGTTAGTCCCCTTTGAGGACTTCGTTGGAAGCGGGATTTCTCATTTACTGCTAGACAGAAGAATTCTCAGTAAATCCTTTGTGTTGTGTGTATTCAACTCACAAGAGTGGAACCTTCCTTTATTCAGAGCAGTTTTGAAACACTCTTTTTGTGGAATTTGCAAGTGGAGATTTCAAGCGAATTCACGCCAATCTTAGACATGGAAACATCTTCGTATTAAAAGTACACAGAATCATTCGTAGAAACTAGTTTGTGTTGTGTGCCTTCAACTCACAGAGTTTAACCTTTCTTTTCATAGAGCAGTTCGGAAACATTCTATTTGTAAAGTCTGCAAGTGGATATTTGGAACTCTTTGAGGCCTTCGTTGGAAAAGGGATTTCTTCATATAACGCTAGACAGAAGAATTCTCAGTAACTTCTTTGTGTTGTGTGTATTCAACTCACAGAGTTGAACCTTTCTTTAGAGAGAGCAGAGTTGAAACACTCTTTTTGTGGAATTTGCTAGTGCAGATTTCAAACGCTTCGAAGACAGTGATAGAAAAGGATATATCTTCGTATTAAAACTAGACAAAATCATTCTCAGAAAACACTTTGTGATGTGTGTGTTCAACTCACACAGTTTAACCTTTCTTTAATCGAGCAGTTTGGAAATACACTCTTTGTAAGTCTGCAGGTGGATAATTGGCCCTCTTTGAGCCCTTCATTGGAAACGGGATTTCCTCATATAATGCTAGACAGAAGAATTCTCAGTAACTTCTTTGTGTTGTTTGTATTCAACTCACAGATTTGAACCTTCCTTTAGAGAGAGCAGATTTGAAACACTCTGTTTTTGGAATTTGCAAGTGCAGATTTCAAGCGCTTCTAGGCCTATGGCAGAAAAGGAAATATCTTCGTATAAAAACTACACAGAATCATTCTCAACAACTACTTTGTGATGTGTGCGTTCAACTCACAGAGTTTAAACTTTGTTTTCATAGAGCAGTTTGGAAACACTCTGTTTGTAAAGCCTGCAAGTGCTTTTTTGGACTTCATTGAGGCCTTCGTTGGAAACGGGATTTCTTCATATAATGCTGGACAGAAGAATTCTCAGTCACTTCTTTGTGTTGTGTGTATTCAAGTCACAGAGTTGAACCTTCCTTTAGACAGAGCAGTTTTGAAAAATTCTTACTGTGGAATTTGCAAGTGGAGATTTCAAGCGATTTGAGGCTAATCTTTGAAATGGAAATATCTTCGTGTAAAAACTACACAGAATCATTCTCAGAAACTGCTTTGTCATCTGTGCGTTCAGTTCACAGAGTTTCACCTTTCTCTTCATAGAGCAGTTTGGAAAGATTCTGTCTGTAAAGTCTGCAAGTGATTAGTTAGACCCCTTTGAGGCCTTCGTTGGAAGCGGGATTTCCCATTTACTGCTAGACAGAAGAATTCTCAGTAAATCCTTTGTGTTGTGTGTATTCAACTCACAGAGTGGAACCTTCCTTTATTCAGAGCAGTTTTGAAACACTCTTTTTGTGGAATTTGCAAGTGGAGATTTCAAGCGATTTGACGCCAATCTTAGACATGGAAATATCTTCATATTAAAAGTACACAGAGTCATTCGTAGAAACTAGTTTGTGATGTGTGCCTTCAACTCACAGAGTTTAACCTTTCTTTTCATAGAGCAGTTGGGAAACACTCTATTTGTAAAGTCTGCAAGTGGATATTTGGACCTCTTTGAGGCCTTCGTTGGAAACGGGATTTCTTCATATAACGCTAGACAGAAGAATTCTCAGTAACTTCTTTGTGTTGAGTGTATTCAACTCACAGAGTTGAACCTTTCTTTAGAGGGAGCAGAGGTGAAACACTCTTTTTGTGGAATTTGCTAGTGTAGATTTCAAACGCTTCGAAGACAGTGATAGAAAAGGATATATCTTCGTATTAAAAGTAGACAAAATCATTGTCAGAAAACTCTTTGTGATGTGTGTGTTCAACTCACAGAGTTTAACCTTTCTTTAATCGAGCAGTTTGGAAATACACTCTTTGTAAGTCTGCAGGTGGATATTTGGCCCTCTTTGAGCCCTTCTTTGGAAACGGGATTTCCTCTTATAATGCTAGACAGAAGAATTCTCAGTAACTTCTCTGTGTTGTTTGTATTCAACACACAGATTTGAACCTTCCTTTAGAGAGAGCAGATTTGAAACACTCTGTTTTTGGAATTTGCAAGTGCAGATTTCAAGCGCTTCTAGGCCTATGGCAGAAAAGGAAATATCTTCGTAAAAAACTACACAGAATCATTCTCAACAACTACTTTGTGATGTGTGCGTTCAACTCACAGAGTTTAACCTTTCTTTTCATAGAGCAGTTTGGAAACACTCTGTTTGCAAAGCCTGCAAGTGCTTTTTTGGACTTCATTGAGGCCTTCGTTGGAAACGGGATTTCTTCATACAACGCTAGACAGAAGAATTCTCAGTCACTTCTTTGTGTTGTGTGTATTCAACTCACAGAGTTGAACCTTTCTTTAGAGAGAGCAGAGTTGAAACACTCTGTTTTTGGAATTTGCAAGTGCAGATTTCAAGCGATTCTAGGCCTATGGCAGAAAAGGAAATATCTTCGTATAAAAACTACACAGAATCATTCTCAACAACTACTTTGTGATGTGTGCGTTCAACTCACAGAGTTTAACCTTTCTTTTCATAGAGCAGTTTGGAAACACTCTGTTTGTAAAGTCTGCAGGTGCTTATTTGGACTTCTTTGAGGCCTTCGTTGGAAACGGGATTTCTTCATATAATGCTAGACAGAAGAATTCTCAGTCACTTCTTTGTGTTGTGTGTATTCAAGTCACAGAGTTGAACCTTCCTTTACACAGAGCAGTTTTGAAAAACTCTTTCTGTGGAATTTGCAAGTGGAGATTTCAAGCGATTTGAGGCTAATCTTTGAAATGGAAATATCTTCGTGTAAAAACTACACAGAATCATTGTCAGAAACTGCTTTGTTATGTGTGCGTTCAGCTCACAGAGTTCCACCTTTCTTTTCATAGAGCAGTTTGGAAAGACTCTGTCTGTAAAGTCTGCAAGTGATTACTTGGACCCCTTTGAGGACTTCGTTGGAAGCGGGATTTTTTCATTTACTGCTAGACAGAAGAATTCTCAGTAAATCCTTTGTGTTGTGTGTATTCAACTCACAGAGTGGAACTTTCCTTTATTCAGAGCAGTTTTGAAACACTCTTTTTGTGGAATTTGCAAGTGGAGATTTCAAGCGAATTCACGCCCATCTTAGACATGGAAACACCTTCGTATTAAAAGTACACAGAGTCATTCGCAGAAACTAGTTTGTGATGTGTGCCTTCAACTCACGGAGTTTAACCTTTCTTTTCATAGAGCAGTTTGGAAACACTCTATTTCTAAAGTCTGCATGTGGATATTTGGACCTCTTTGAGGCCTTCGTTGGAAACGGGATATCTTCATATAACGCTAGACAGAAGAATTCTCAGTAACTTCTTTGTGTTGTTTGTATTCAACTCACAGATTTGAACCTTCCTTTAGAGAGAGCAGTTTTGAAACACTCTGTTTTTGGAATTTGCAAGTGCAGATTTCAAGCGCTTCTAGGCCTATGGCAGAAAAGGAAATATCTTCGTATAAAAACTACACAGAATCATTCTCAACAACTACTTTGTGATGTGTGCGTTCAACTCACAGAGTTTAACCTTTCTTTTCATAGAGCAGTTTGGAAACACTCTGTTTGTAAAGTCTGCAGGTGCTTATTTGGACTTCTTTGAGGCCTTCGTTGGAAACGGGATTTCTTCATATAATGCTAGACAGAAGAATTCTCAGTCACTTCTTTGTGTTGTGTATATTCAAGTCACAGAGTTGAACCTTCCTTTACACAGAGCAGTTTTGAAAAACTCTTTCTGTGGAATTTGCAAGTGGAGATTTCAAGCGATTTGAGGCTAATCTTTGAAATGGAAATATCTTCGTGTAAAAACTACACAGAATCATTGTCAGAAACTGCTTTGTTATGTGTGCGTTCAGCTCACAGAGTTCCACCTTTGTTTTCATAGAGCAGTTTGGAAAGACTCTGTCTGTAAAGTCTGCAAGTGATTACTTGGACCCCTTTGAGGACTTCGTTGGAAGCGGGATTTTTTCATTTACTGCTAGACAGAAGAATTCTCAGTAAATCCTTTGTGTTGTGTGTATTCAACTCACAGAGTGGAACCTTCCTTTATTCAGAGCAGTTTTGAAACACTCTTTTTGTGGAATTTGCAAGTGGAGATTTCAAGCGAATTCACGCCAATCTTAGACATGGAAACATCTTCGTATTAAAAGTACACAGAGTCATTCGCAGAAACTAGTTTGTGATGTGTGCCTTCAACTCACAGAGTTTAACCTTTCTTTTCATAGAGCAGTTTGGAAACACTCTATTTGTAAAGTCTGCAAGTGGATATTTGGACCTCTTTGAGGCCTTCGTTGGAAACGGGATTTCTTCATATAACGCTAGACAGAAGAATTCTCAGTAACTTCTTTGTGTTGTGTGTATTCCACTCACAGAGTTGAACCTTTCTTGAGAGAGAGCAGAGTTGAAACACTCTGTTTGTGGAATTTGCTAGTGCAGATTTCAAACGCTTCGAAGACAGTGATAGAAAAGGATATATCTTCGTATTAAAACTAGACAAAATCATTCTCAGAAAACACTTTGTGATGTGTGTGTTCAACTCACAGAGTTTAACCTTTCTTTAATCGAGCAGTTTGGAAATACACTCTTTGTAAGTCTGCAGCTGGATAATTGTCCCTCTATGAGCCCTTCGTTGGAAACGGGATTTCCTCTTATAATGCTAGACAGAAGAATTCTCAGTAACTTCTTTGTGTTGTTTGTATTCAACTCACAGATTTGAACCTTCCTTTGGAGAGAGCAGATTTGAAACACTCTGTTTTTGGAATTTGCAAGTGCAGATTGCAAGCGCTTCTAGGCCTATGGCAGAAAAGGAAATATCTTCGTATAAAAACTACACAGAATCATTCTCAACAACTACTTTGTGATGTGTGCGTTCAACTCACAGAGTTTAACCTTTCTTTTCATAGAGCAGTTTGGAAACACTCTGTTTGTAAAGTCTGCAGGTGCTTCTTTGGACTTCTTTGAGGCCTTCGTTGGAAACGGGATTTCTTCATATAATGCTAGACAGAAGAATTCTCAGTCACTTCTTTGTGTTGTGTGTATTCAAGTCACAGAGTTGAACCTTCCTTTAGACAGAGCAGTTTTGAAAAATTCTTTCTGTGGAGTTTGCAAGTGGAGATTTCAAGCGATTTGAGGCTAATCTTTGAAATGGAAATATCTTCGTGTAAAAACTACACAGAATCATTCTCAGAAACTGCTTTGTCATCTGTGCGTTCAGTTCACAGAGTTTCACCTTTCTCTTCATAGAGCAGTTTGGAAAGACTCTGTCTGTAAAGTCTGCAAGTGATTAGTTAGACCCCTTTGAGGCCTTCGTTGGAAGCGGGATTTCTCATTTACTGCTAGACAGAAGAATTCTCAGTAAATCCTTTGTGTTGTGTGTATTCAACTCACAGAGTGGAACCTTCCTTTATTCAGAGCAGTTTTGAAAAACACTTTTCGTGGAATTTGCAAGTGGAGATTTCAAGCGATTTGACGCCAATCTTAGACATGGAAATATCTTCATATTAAAAGTACACAGAGTCATTCGTAGAAACTAGTTTGTGATGTGTGCCTTCAACTCACAGAGTTTAACCTTTCTTTTCATAGAGCAGTTTGGAAACACTCTATTTGTAAAGTCTGCAAGTGGATATTTGGACCTCTTTGAGGCCTTCGTTGGAAACGGGATTTCTTCATACAACGCTAGACAGAAGAATTCTCAGTAACTTCTTTGTGTTGTGTGTATTCAACTCACAGAGTTGAACCTTTCTTTAGAGAGAGCAGAGTTGAAACACTCTGTTTTTGGAATTTGCAACTGCAGATTTCAAGCGATTCTAGGCCTATGGCAGAAAAGGAAATATCTTCGTATAAAAACTACACAGAATCATTCTCAACAACTACTTTGTGATGTGTGCGTTCAACTCACAGAGTTTAACCTTTCTTTTCATAGAGCAGTTTGGAAACACTCTGTTTGTAAAGCCTGCAAGTGCTTTTTTGGACTTCATTGAGGCCTTCGTTGGAAACGGGATTTCTTCATGTAATGCTAGACAGAAGAATTCTCAGTCACTTCTTTGTGTTGTGTGTATTCAAGTCACAGGAGTTGAACCTTCCTTTAGACAGAGCAGTTTTGAAAAATTCTTTCTGTGGAGTTTGCAAGTGGAGATTTCAAGCGATTTGAGGCTAATCTTTGAAATGGAAATATCTTCGTGTAAAAACTACACAGAATCATTCTCAGAAACTGCTTTGTCATCTGTGCGTTCAGTTCACAGAGTTTCACCTTTCTCTTCATAGAGCAGTTTGGAAAGACTCTGTCTGTAAAGTCTGCAAGTGATTAGTTAGACCCCTTTGAGGCCTTCGTTGGAAGCGGGATTTCTCATTTACTGCTAGACAGAAGAATTCTCAGTAAATCCTTTGTGTTGTGTGTATTCAACTCACAGAGTGGAACCTTCCTTTATTCAGAGCAGTTTTGAGAAACACTTTTTGTGGAATTTGCAAGTGGAGATTTCAAGCGATTTGACGCCAATCTTAGACATGGAAATATCTTCATATTAAAAGTACACAGAGTCATTCGTAGAAACTAGTTTGTGATGTGTGCCTTCAACTCACAGAGTTTAACCTTTCTTTTCATAGAGCAGTTTGGAAACACTCTATTTGTAAAGTCTGCAAGTGGATATTTGGACCTCTTTGAGGCCTTCGTTGGAAACGGGATTTCTTCATACAACGCTAGACAGAAGCATTCTCAGAAGTTTATTTGTGATGTGTGTATTCAACTCACAGAGTTGAACCTTTCTTTAGAGGGAGCAGAGGTGAAACACTCTTTTTGTGGAATTTGCTAGTGTAGATTTCAAACGCTTCGAAGACAGTGATAGAAAAGGATATATCTTCGTATTAAAAGTAGACAAAATCATTCTCAGAAAACTCTTTGTGATGTGTGTGTTCAACTCACAGAGTTTAACCTTTCTTTAATCGAGCAGTTTGGAAATACACTCTTTGTAAGTCTGCAGGTGGATATTTGGCCCTCTTTGAGCCCTTCGTTGGAAACGGGATTTCCTCATATAATGCTAGACAGAAGAATTCTCAGTAACTTCTTTGTGTTGTTTGTATTCAACACACAGATTTGAACCTTCCTTTAGAGAGAGCAGATTTGAAACACTCTGTTTTTGGAATTTGCAAGTGCAGATTTCAAGCGCTTCTAGGCCTATGGCAGAAAAGGAAATATCTTCGTATAAAAACTACACAGAATCATTCTCAACAACTACTTTGTGATGTGTGCGTTCAACTCACAGAGTTTAACCTTTCTTTTCATAGAGCAGTTTGGAAACACTCTGTTTGTAAAGCCTGCAAGTGCTTTTTTGGACTTCATTGAGGCCTTCGTTGGAAACGGGATTTCTTCATATAATGCTAGACAGAAGAATTCTCAGTCACTTGTTTGTGTTGTGTGTATTCAAGTCACAGAGTTGAACCTTCCTTTAGACAGAGCAGTTTTGAAAAATTCTTTCTGTGGAGTTTGCAAGTGGAGATTTCAAGCGATTTGAGGCTAATCTTTGAAATGGAAATATCTTCGTGTAAAAACTACACAGAATCATTCTCAGAAACTGCTTTGTCATCTGTGCGTTCAGTTCACAGAGTTTCACCTTTCTTTTCATACAGCAGTTTGGAAAGACTCTGTCTGTAAAGTCTGCAAGTGATTAGTTAGACCCCTTTGAGGCCTTCGTTGAAAGCGGGATTTCTCATTTACTGCTAGACAGAAGAATTCTCAGTAAATCCTTTGTGTTGTGTGTATTCAACTCACAGAGTGGAACCTTCCTGTATTCAGAGCAGTTTTGAAACACTCTTTTTGTGGAATTTGCAAGTGGAGATTTCAAGCGAATTCACGCCAATCTTAGACATGGAAACATCTTCGTATTAAAAGTACACAGAGTCATTCGCAGAAACTAGTTTGTGATGTGTGCCTTCAACTCACGGAGTTTAACCTTTCTTTTCATAGAGCAGTTTGGAAACACTCTATCTGTAAAGTCTGCAAGTGGATATTTGGACCTCTTTGAGGCCTTCGTTGGAAACGGGATTTCTTCATATAACGCTAGACAGAAGAATTCTCAGTAACTTCTTTGTGTTGTGTGTATTCAACTCACAGAGTTGAACCTTTCTTGAGAGAGAGCAGAGTTGAAACACTCTTTCTGTGGAATTTGCTAGTGCAGATTTCAAACGCTTCGAAGACAGTGATAGAAAAGGATATATCTTCGTATTAAAACTAGACAAAATCATTCTCAGAAAACACTTTGTGATGTGTGTGTTCAACTCACAGAGTTTAACCTTTCTTTAATCGAGCAGTTTGGAAATACACTCTTTGTAAGTCTGCAGCTGGATAATTGTCCCTCTATGAGCCCTTCGTTGGAAACGGGATTTCCTCTTATAATGCTAGACAGAAGAATTCTCAGTAACTTCTTTGTGTTGTTTGTATTCAACTCACAGATTTGAACCTTCGTTTAGAGAGAGCAGATTTGAAACACTCTGTTTTCGGAATTTGCAAGTGCAGATTACAAGCGCTTCTAGGCCTATGGCAGAAAAGGAAATATCTTCGTATAAAAACTACACAGAATCATTCTCAGAAAACTCTTTGTGATGTGTGTGTTCAACTCACAGAGTTTAACCTTTCTTTAATCGAGCAGTTTGGAAATACACTCTTTGTAAGTCTGCAGGTGGATAATTGGCCCTCTTTGAGCCCTTCGTTGGAAACGGGATTTCCTCATATAATGCTAGACAGAAGAATTCTCAGTAACTTCTTTGTGTTGTTTGTATTCAACTCACAGATTTGAACCTTCCTTTAGAGAGAGCAGATTTGAAACACTCTGTTTTTGGAATTTGCAAGTGCAGATTTCAAGCGCTTCTAGGCCTATGGCAGAAAAGGAAATATCTTCGTATAAAAACTACACAGAATCATTCTCAACAACTACTTTGTGATGTGTGCGTTCAACTCACAGAGTTTAACCTTTCTTTTCATAGAGCAGTTTGGAAACACTCTGTTTGTAAAGCCTGCAAGTGCTTTTTTGGACTTCATTGAGGCCTTCGTTGGAAACGGGATTTCTTCATATAATGCTAGACAGAAGAATTCTCAGTCACTTCTTTGTGTTGTGTGTATTCAAGTCACAGAGTTGAACCTTCCTTTAGACAGAGCAGTTTTGAAAAATTCTTTCTGTGGAGTTTGCAAGTGGAGATTTCAAGCGATTTGAGCCTAATCTTTGAAATGGAAATATCTTCGTGTAAAAACTACACAGAATCATTCTCAGAAACTGCTTTGTCATCTGTGCGTTCAGTTCACAGAGTTTCACCTTTCTCTTCATAGAGCAGTTTGGAAAGACTCTGTCTGTAAAGTCTGCAAGTGATTAGTTAGACCCCTTTGAGGCCTTCGTTGGAAGCGGGATTTCTCATTTACTGCTAGACAGAAGAATTCTCAGAAAATCCTTTGTGTTGTGTGTATTCAACTCACAGAGTGGAACCTTCCTTTATTCAGAGCAGTTTTGAAAAACACTTTTTGTGGAATTTGCAAGTGGAGATTTCAAGCGATTTGACGCCAATCTTAGACATGGAAATATCTTCATATTAAAAGTACACAGAATCATTCTCAACAACTACTTTGTGATGTGTGCGTTCAACTCACAAAGTTTAACCTTTCTTTTCATAGAGCAGTTTGGAAACACTCTGTTTGTAAAGCCTGCAAGTGCTTTTTTGGACTTCATTGAGGCCTTCGTTGGAAACGGGATTTCTTCATACAACGCTAGACAGAAGAATTCTCAGTAACTTCTTTGTGTTGTGTGTATTCAACTCACAGAGTTGAACCTTTCTTTAGAGAGAGCAGAGTTGAAACACTCTGTTTTTGGAATTTGCAAGTGCAGATTTCAAGCGATTCTAGGCCTATGGCAGAAAAGGAAATATCTTCGTATAAAAACTACACAGAATCATTCTCAACAACTACTTTGTGATGTGTGCGTTCAACTCACAGAGTTTAACCTTTCTTTTCATAGAGCAGTTTGGAAACACTCTGTTTGTAAAGCCTGCAAGTGCTTTTTTGGACTTCATTGAGGCCTTCGTTGGAAACGGGATTTCTTCATATAATGCTAGACAGAAGAATTCTCAGTCACTTCTTTGTGTTGTGTGTATTCAAGTCACAGAGTTGAACCTTCCTTTAGACAGAGCAGTTTTGAAAAATTCTTTCTGTGGAGTTTGCAAGTGGAGATTTCAAGCGATTTGAGGCTAATCTTTGAAATGGAAATATCTTCGTGTAAAAACTACACAGAATCATTCTCAGAAACTGCTTTGTCATCTGTGCGTTCAGTTCACAGAGTTTCACCTTTCTCTTCATAGAGCAGTTTGGAAAGACTCTGTCTGTAAAGTCTGCAAGTGATTAGTTAGACCCCTTTGAGGCCTTCGTTGGAAGCGGGATTTCTCATTTACTGCTAGACAGAAGAATTCTCAGTAAATCCTTTGTGTTGTGTGTATTCAACTCACAGAGTGGAACCTTCCTTTATTCAGAGCAGTTTTGAAACACTCTTTTTGTGGAATTTGCAAGTGGAGATTTCAAGCGATTTGACGCCAATCTTAGACATGGAAATATCTTCATATTAAAAGTACACAGAGTCATCCGTAGAAACTAGTTTGTGATGTGTGCCTTCAACTCACAGAGTTTAACCTTTCTTTTCATAGAGCAGTTGGGAAACACTCTATTTGTAAAGTCTGCAAGTGGATATTTGGACCTCTTTGAGGCCTTCGTTGGAAACGGGATTTCTTCATACAACGCTAGACAGAAGAATTCTCAGTAACTTCTTTGTGTTGTGTGTATTCAACTCACAGAGTTGAACCTTTCTTTAGAGAGAGCAGAGTTGAAACACTCTGTTTTTGGAATTTGCAAGTGCAGATTTCAAGCGATTCTAGGCCTATGGCAGAAAAGGAAATATCTTCGTATAAAAACTACACAGAATCATTCTCAACAACTACTTTGTGATGTGTGCGTTCAACTCACAGAGTTTAACCTTTCTTTTCATAGAGCAGTTTGGAAACACTCTGTTTGTAAAGCCTGCAAGTGCTTTTTTGGACTTCATTCAGGCCTTCGTTGGAAACGGGATTTCTTCATATAATGCTAGACAGAAGAATTCTCAGTCACTTGTTTGTGTTGTGTGTATTCAAGTCACAGAGTTGAACCTTCCTTTAGACAGAGCAGTTTTGAAAAATTCTTTCTGTGGAGTTTGCAAGTGGAGATTTCAAGCGATTTGAGGCTAATCTTTGAAATGGAAATATCTTCGTGTAAAAACTACACAGAATCATTCTCAGAAACTGCTTTGTCATCTGTGCGTTCAGTTCACAGAGTTTCACCTTTCTCTTCATAGAGCAGTTTGGAAAGACTCTGTCTGTAAAGTCTGCAAGTGATTAGTTAGACCCCTTTGAGGCCTTCGTTGGAAGCGGGATTTCTCATTTACTGCTAGACAGAAGAATTCTCAGTAAATCCTTTGTGTTGTGTGTATTCAACTCACAGAGTGGAACCTTCCTTTATTCAGAGCAGTTTTGAAACACTCTTTTTGTGGAATTTGCAAGTGGAGATTTCAAGCGATTTGACGCCAATCTTAGACATGGAAATATCTTCATATTAAAAGTACACAGAGTCATTCGTAGAAACTAGTTTGTGATGTGTGCCTTCAACTCACAGAGTTTAACCTTTCTTTTCATAGAGCAGTTGGGAAACACTCTATTTGTAAAGTCTGCAAGTGGATATTTGGACCTCTTTGAGGCCTTCGTTGGAAACGGGATTTCTTCATATAACGCTAGACAGAAGAATTCTCAGTAACTTCTTTGTGTTGTGTGTATTCAACTCATAGAGTTGAACCTTTCTTTAGAGGGAGCAGAGGTGAAACACTCTTTTTGTGGAATTTGCTAGTGTAGATTTCAAACGCTTCGAAGACAGTGATAGAAAAGGATATATCTTTGTATTAAAAGTACACAAAATCATTCTCAGAAAACTCTTTGTGATGTGTGTGTTCAACTCACAGAGTTTAACCTTTCTTTAATCGAGCAGTTTGGAAATACACTCTTTGTAAGTCTGCAGGTGGATATTTGGCCCTCTTTGAGCCCTTCGTTGGAAACGGGATTTCCTCATATAATGCTAGACAGAAGAATTCTCAGTAACTTCTTTGTGTTGTTTGTATTCAACACACAGATTTGAACCTTCCTTTAGAGAGAGCAGACTTGAAACACTCTGTTTTTGGAATTTGCAAGTGCAGATTTCAAGCGCTTCTAGGCCTATGGCAGAAAAGGAAATATCTTCGTATAAAAACTACACAGAATCATTCTCAACAACTACTTTGTGATGTGTGCGTTCAACTCACAGAGTTTAACCTTTCTTTTCATAGAGCAGTTTGGAAACACTCTGTTTGTAAAGCCTGCAAGTGCTTTTTTGGACTTCATTGAGGCCTTCGTTGGAAACGGGATTTCTTCATATAATGCTAGACAGAAGAATTCTCAGTCACTTGTTTGTGTTGTGTGTATTCAAGTCACAGAGTTGAACCTTCCTTTAGACAGAGCAGTTTTGAAAAATTCTTTCTGTGGAGTTTGCAAGTGGAGATTTCAAGCGATTTGAGGCTAATCTTTGAAATGGAAATATCTTCGTGTAAAAACTACACAGAATCATTCTCAGAAACTGCTTTGTCATCTGTGCGTTCAGTTCACAGAGTTTCACCTTTCTCTTCATAGAGCAGTTTGGAAAGACTCTGTCTGTAAAGTCTGCAAGTGATTAGTTAGACCCCTTTGAGGCCTTCGTTGGAAGCGGGATTTCTCATTTACTGCTAGACAGAAGAATTCTCAGTAAATCCTTTGTGTTGTGTGTATTCAACTCACAGAGTGGAACCTTCCTTTATTCAGAGCAGTTTTGAAACACTCTTTTTGTGAAATTTGCAAGTGGAGATTTCAAGCGATTTGACGCCAATCTTAGACATGGAAATATCTTCATATTAAAAGTACACAGAGTCATCCGTAGAAACTAGTTTGTGATGTGTGCCTTCAACTCACAGAGTTTAACCTTTCTTTTCATAGAGCAGTTGGGAAACACTCTATTTGTAAAGTCTGCAAGTGGATATTTGGACCTCTTTGAGGCCTTCGTTGGAAACGGGATTTCTTCATACAACGCTAGACAGAAGAATTCTCAGTAACTTCTTTGTGTTGTGTGTATTCAACTCACAGAGTTGAACCTTTCTTTAGAGAGAGCAGAGTTGAAACACTCTGTTTTTGGAATTTGCAAGTGCAGATTTCAAGCGATTCTAGGCCTATGGCAGAAAAGGAAATATCTTCGTATAAAAACTACACAGAATCATTCTCAACAACTACTTTGTGATGTGTGCGTTCAACTCACAGAGTTTAACCTTTCTTTTCATAGAGCAGTTTGGAAACACTCTGTTTGTAAAGCCTGCAAGTGCTTTTTTGGACTTCATTGAGGCCTTCGTTGGAAACGGGATTTCTTCATATAATGCTAGACAGAAGAATTCTCAGTCACTTCTTTGTGTTGTGTGTATTCAAGTCACAGAGTTGAACCTTCCTTTAGACAGAGCAGTTTTGAAAAGTTCTTTCTGTGTAATTTGCAAGTGGAGATTTCAAGCGATTTGAGGCTAATCTTTGAAATGGAAATATCTTCGTGTAAAAACTACACAGAATCATTCTCAGAAACTGCTTTGTCATCTGTGCGTTCAGTTCACAGAGTTTCACCTTTCTCTTCATAGAGCAGTTTGGAAAGACTCTGTCTGTAAAGTCTGCAAGTGATTAGTTAGACCCCTTTGAGGCCTTCGTTGGAAGCGGGATTTCTCATTTACTGCTAGACAGAAGAATTCTCAGTAAATCCTTTGTGTTGTGTGTATTCAACTCACAGAGTGGAACCTTCCTTTATTCAGAGCAGTTTTGAAACACTCTTTTTGTGGAATTTGCAAGTGGAGATTTCAAGCGATTTGACGCCAATCTTAGACATGGAAATATCTTCATATTAAAAGTACACAGAGTCATTCGTAGAAACTAGTTTGTGATGTGTGCCTTCAACTCACAGAGTTTAACCTTTCTTTTCATAGAGCAGTTGGGAAACACTCTATTTGTAAAGTCTGCAAGTGGATATTTGGACCTCTTTGAGGCCTTCGTTGGAAACGGGATTTCTTCATATAACGCTAGACAGAAGAATTCTCAGTAACTTCTTTGTGTTGTGTGTATTCAACTCACAGAGTTGAACCTTTCTTTAGAGGGAGCAGAGGTGAAACAATCTTTTTGTGGAATTTGCTAGTGTAGATTTCAAACGCTTCGAAGTCAGTGATAGAAAAGGATATATCTTCGTATTAAAAGTAGACAAAATCATTCTCAGAAAACACTTTGTGATGTGTGAGTTCAACTCACAGAGTTTAACCTTTCTTTAATCGAGCAGTTTGGAAATACACTCTTTGTAAGTCTGCAGGTGGATATTTGGCCCTCTTTGAGCCCTACTTTGGAAACGGGATTTCCTCTTATAATGCTAGACAGAAGAATTCTCAGTAACTTCTCTGTGTTGTTTGTATTCAACACACAGATTTGAACCTTCCTTTAGAGAGAGCAGATTTGAAACACTCTGTTTTTGGAATTTGCAAGTGCAGATTTCAAGCACTTCTAGGCCTATGGCAGAAAAGGAAATATCTTCGTATAAAAACTACACAGAATCATTCTCAACAACTACTTTGTGATGTGTGCGTTCAACTCACAGAGTTTAACCTTTCTTTTCATAGAGCAGTTTGGAAACACTCTGTTTGTAAAGCCTGCAAGTGCTTTTTTGGACTTCATTGAGGCCTTCGTTGGAAACGGGATTTCTTCATACAACGCTAGACAGAAGAATTCTCAGTAACTTCTTTGTGTTATGTGTATTCAACTCACAGAGTTGAACCTTTCTTTAGAGGGAGCAGAGGTGAAACACTCTTTTTGTGGAATTTGCTAGTGTAGATTTCAAACGCTTCGAAGACAGTGATAGAAAAGGATATATCTTCGTATTAAAAGTAGACAAAATCATTCTCAGAAAACTCTTTGTGATGTGTGTGTTCAACTCACAGAGTTTAACCTTTCTTTAATCGAGCAGTTTGGAAATACACTCTTTGTAAGTCTGCAGGTGGATATTTGTCCCTCTTTGAGCCCTTCGTTGGAAACGGGATTTCCTCATATAATGCTAGACAGAAGAATTCTCAGTAACTTCTTTGTGTTGTTTGTATTCAACACACAGATTTGAACCTTCCTTTAGAGAGAGCAGATTTGAAACACTCTGTTTTTGGAATTTGCAAGTGCAGATTTCAAGCGCTTCTAGGCCTATGGCAGAAAAGGAAATATCTTCGTATAAAAACTACACAGAATCATTCTCAACAACTACTTTGTGATGTGTGCGTTCAACTCACAGAGGTTAACCTTTCTTTTCAGAGAGCAGTTTGGAAACACTCTGTTTGTAAAGCCTGCAAGTGCTTTTTTGGACTTCATTGAGGCCTTCGTTGGAAACGGGATTTCTTCATACAACGCTAGACAGAAGAATTCTCAGTAACTTCTTTGTGTTGTGTGTATTCAACTCACAGAGTTGAACCTTTCTTTAGAGAGAGCAGAGTTGAAACACTCTGTTTTTGGAATTTGCAAGTGCAGATTTCAAGCGATTCTAGGCCTATGGCAGAAAAGGAAATATCTTCGTATAAAAACTACACAGAATCATTCTCAACAACTACTTTGTGATGTGTGCGTTCAACTCACAGAGTTTAACCTTTCTTTTCATAGAGCAGTTTGGAAACACTCTGTTTGTAAAGCCTGCAAGTGCTTTTTTGGACTTCATTGAGGCCTTCGTTGGAAACGGGATTTCTTCATATAATGCTAGACAGAAGAATTCTCAGTCACTTCTTTGTGTTGTGTGTATTCAAGTCACAGAGTTGAACCTTCCTTTAGACAGAGCAGTTTTGAAAAATTCTTTCTGTGGAGTTTGCAAGTGGAGATTTCAAGCGATTTGAGGCTAATCTTTGAAATGGAAATATCTTCGTGTAAAAACTACACAGAATCATTCTCAGAAACTGCTTTGTCATCTGTGCGTTCAGTTCACAGAGTTTCACCTTTCTCTTCATAGAGCAGTTTGGAAAGACTCTGTCTGTAAAGTCTGCAAGTGATTAGTTAGACCCCTTGGAGGCCTTCGTTGGAAGCGGGATTTCTCATTTACTGCTAGACAGAAGAATTCTCAGTAAATCCTTTGTGTTGTGTGTATTCAACTCACAGAGTGGAACCTTCCTTTATTCAGAGCAGTTTTGAAACACTCTTTTTGTGGAATTTGCAAGTGGAGATTTCAAGCGAATTCACGCCAATCTTAGACATGGAAACATCTTCGTATTAAAAGTACACAGAGTCATTCGCAGAAACTTGTTTGTGATGTGTGCCTTCAACTCACAGAGTTTAACCTTTCTTTTCATAGAGCAGTTTGGAAACACTCTATTTGTAAAGTCTGCAAGTGGATATTTGGACCTCTTTGAGGCCTTCGTTGGAAACGGGATTTCTTCATATAACGCTAGACAGAAGAATTCTCAGTAACTTCTTTGTGTTGTGTGTATTCCACTCACAGAGTTGAACCTTTCTTGAGAGAGAGCAGAGTTGAAACACTCTGTTTGTGGAATTTGCTAGTGCAGATTTCAAACGCTTCGAAGACAGTGATAGAAAAGGATATATCTTCGTATTAAAACTAGACAAAATCATTCTCAGAAAACACTTTGTGATGTGTGTGTTCAACTCACAGAGTTTAACCTTTCTTTAATCGAGCAGTTTGGAAATACACTCTTTGTAAGTCTGCAGCTGGATAATTGTCCCTCTATGAGCCCTTCGTTGGAAACGGGATTTCCTCATATAATGCTAGACAGAAGAATTCTCAGTAACTTCTTTGTGTTGTTTGTATTCAACTCACAGATTTGAACCTTCCTTTAGAGAGAGCAGATTTGAAACACTCTGGTTTTGGAATTTGCAAGTGCAGATTACAAGCGCTTCTAGGCCTATGGCAGAAAAGGAAATATCTTCGTATAAAAACTACACAGAATCATTCTCAACAACTACTTTGTGATGTGTGCGTTCAACTCACAGAGTTTAACCTTTCTTTTCATAGAGCAGTTTGGAAACACTCTGTTTGTAAAGTCTGCCGGTGCTTATTTGGACTTCTTTGAGGCCTTCGTTGGAAACGGGATTTCTTCATATAATGCTAGACAGAAGAATTCTCAGTCACTTCTTTGTGTTGTGTGTATTCAAGTCACAGAGTTGAACCTTCCTTTACACAGAGCAGTTTTGAAAAACTCTTTCTGTGGAATTTGCAAGTGGAGATTTCAAGCGATTTGAGGCTAATCTTTGAAATGGAAATATCTTCGTGTAAAAACTACACAGAATCATTCTCAGAAACTGCTTTGTTATGTGTGCGTTCAGCTCACAGAGTTCCACCTTTCTTTTCATAGAGCAGTTTGGAAAGACTCTGTCTGTAAAGTCTGCAAGTGATTACTTGGACCCCTTTGAGGACTTCGTTGGAAGCGGGATTTTTTCATTTACTGCTAGACAGAAGAATTCTCAGTAAATCCTTCGTGTTGTGTGTATTCAACTCACAGAGTGGAACCTTCCTTTATTCAGAGCAGTTTTGAAACACTCTTTTTGTGGAATTTGCAAGTGGAGATTTCAAGCAAATTCACGCCAATCTTAGACATGGAAACATCTTCGTATTAAAAGTACACAGAGTCATTCGCAGAAACTAGTTTGTGATGTGTGCCTTCAACTCACAGAGTTTAAGCTTTCTTTTCATAGAGCAGTTTGGAAACACTCTATTTGTAAAGTCTGCAAGTGGATATTTGGACCTCTTTGAGGCCTTCGTTGGAAACGGGATTTCTTCATATAACGCTAGACAGAAGAATTCTCTGTAACTTCTTTGTGTTGTGTGTATTCAACTCACAGAGTTGAACCTTTCTTGAGAGAGAGCAGAGTTGAAACACTCTTTCTGTGGAATTTGCTAGTGCAGATTTCAAACGCTTCGAAGACAGTGATAGAAAAGGATATATCTTCGTATTAAAACTAGACAAAATCATTCTCAGAAAACACTTTGTGATGTGTGTGTTCAACTCACAGAGTTTAACCTTTCTGTAATCGAGCAGTTTGGAAATACACTCTTTGTAAGTCTGCAGGTGGATAATTGTCCCTCTATGAGCCCTTCGTTGGAAACGGGATTTCCTCATATAATGCTAGACAGAAGAATTCTCAGTAACTTCTTTGTGTTGTTTGTATTCAACTCACAGATTTGAACTTTCCTTTAGAGAGAGGAGATTTGAAACACTCTGTTTTTGGAAATTGTAAGTTCAGATTACAAGCGCTTCTAGGCCTATGGCAGAAAAGGAAATATCTTCGTGTAAAAACTACACAGAATCATTCTCAACAACTACTTTGTGATGTGTGCTTTCAACTCACAGAGTTTAACCTTTCTTTTCATAGAGCAGTTTGGAAACACTCTGTTTGTAAAGTCTGCAGGTGCTTATTTGGACTTCTTTGAGGCCTTCGTTGGAAACGGGATTTCTTCATATAATGCTAGACAGAAGAATTCTCAGTCACTTCTTTGTGTTGTGTGTATTCAAGTCACAGAGTTGAACCTTCCTTTACACAGAGCAGTTTTGAAAAACTCTTTCTGTGGAATTTGCAAGTGGAGATTTCAAGCGATTTGAGGCTAATCTTTGAAATGGAAATATCTTCGTGTAAAAACTACACAGAATCATTCTCAGCAACTGCTTTGTTATGTGTGCGTTCAGCTCGCAGAGTTCCACCTTTCTTTTCATAGAGCAGTTTGGAAAGACTCTGTCTGTAAAGTCTGCAAGTGATTACTTGGACCCCTTTGAGGACTTCGTTGGAAGCGGGATTTTTTCATTTACTGCTAGACAGAAGAATTCTCAGTAAATCCTTCGTGTTGTGTGTATTCAACTCACAGAGTGGAACCTTCCTTTATTCAGAGCAGTTTTGAAACACTCTTTTTGTGGAATTTGCAAGTGGAGATTTCAAGCGAATTCACGCCAATCTTAGACATGGAAACATCTTCGTATTAAAAGTACACAGAGTCATTCGCAGAAACTAGTTTGTGATGTGTGCCTTCAACTCACAGAGTTTAACCTTTCTTTTCATAGAGCAGTTTGGAAACACTCTATTTGTAAAGTCTGCAAGTGGATATTTGGACCACTTTGAGGCCTTCGTTGGAAACGGGATTTCTTCATATAACGCTAGACAGAAGAATTCTCAGTAACTTCTTTGTGTTGTGTGTATTCAACTCACAGAGTTGAACCTTTCTTGAGAGAGAGCAGAGTTGAAACACTCTTTTTGTGGAATTTGCTAGTGCAGATTTCAAACGCTTCGAAGACAGTGATAGAAAAGGATATATCTTCGTATTAAAACTAGACAAAATCATTCTCAGAAAACACTTTGTGATGTGTGTGTTCAACTCACAGAGTTTAACCTTTCTGTAATCGAGCAGTTTGGAAATACACTCTTTGTAAGTCTGCAGGTGGATAATTGTCCCTCTATGAGCCCTTCGTTGGAAACGGGATTTCCTCATATAATGCTAGACAGAAGAATTCTCAGTAACTTCTTTGTGTTGTTTGTATTCAACTCACAGATTTGAACTTTCCTTTAGAGAGAGGAGATTTGAAACACTCTGTTTTTGGAAATTGTAAGTGCAGATTACAAGCGCTTCTAGGCCTATGGCAGAAAAGGAAATATCTTCGTGTAAAAACTACACAGAATCATTCTCAACAACTACTTTGTGATGTGTGCTTTCAACTCACAGAGTTTAACCTTTCTTTTCATAGAGCAGTTTGGAAACACTCTGTTTGTAAAGTCTGCAGGTGCTTATTTGGACTTCTTTGAGGCCTTCGTTGGAAACGGGATTTCTTCATATAATGCTAGACAGAAGAATTCTCAGTCACTTCTTTGTGTTGTGTGTATTCAAGTCACAGAGTTGAACCTTCCTTTACACAGAGCAGTTTTGAAAAACTCTTTCTGTGGAATTTGCAAGTGGAGATTTCAAGCGATTTGAGGCTAATCTTTGAAATGGAAATATCTTCGTGTAAAAACTACACAGAATCATTCTCAGAAACTGCTTTGTTACGTGTGCGTTCAGCTCACAGAGTTACACCTTTCTTTTCATAGAGCAGTTTGGAAAGACTCTGTCTGTAAAGTCTGCAAGTGATTACTTGGACCCCTTTGAGGACTTCGTTGGAAGCGGGATTTTTTCATTTACTGCTAGACAGAAGAATTCTCAGTAAATCCTTTGTGTTGTGTGTATTCAACTCACAGAGTGGAACCTTCCTTTATTCAGAGCAGTTTTGAAACACTCTTTTTGTGGAATTTGCAAGTGGAGATTTCAAGCGAATTCACGCCAATCTTAGACATGGAAACATCTTCGTATTAAAAGTACACAGAGTCATTCGCAGAAACTAGTTTGTGATGTGTGCCTTCAACTCACGGAGTTTAACCTTTCTTTTCATAGAGCAGTTTGGAAACACTCTATTTGTAAGTCTGCAAGTGGATATTTGGACCTCTTTGAGGCCTTCGTTGGAAACGGGATTTCTTCATATAACGCTAGACAGAAGAATTCTCAGTAACTTCTTTGTGTTGTGTGTATTCCACTCACAGAGTTGAACCTTTCTTGAGAGAGAGCAGAGTTGAAACACTCTGTTTGTGGAATTTGCTAGTGCAGATTTCAAACGCTTCAAAGACAGTGATAGAAAAGGATATATCTTCGTATTAAAACTAGACAAAATCATTCTCAGAAAACACTTTGTGATGTGTGTGTTCAACTCACAGAGTTTAACCTTTCTTTAATCGAGCAGTTTGGAAATACACTCTTTGTAAGTCTGCAGCTGGATAATTGTCCCTCTATGAGCCCTTCGTTGGAAACGGGATTTCCTCATATAATGCTAGACAGAAGAATTCTCAGTAACTTCTTTGTGTTGTTTGTATTCAACTCACAGATTTGAACCTTCCTTTAGAGAGAGCAGATTTGAAACACTGTGGTTTTGGAATTTGCAAGTGCAGATTACAAGCGCTTCTAGGCCTATGGCAGAAAAGGAAATATCTTCGTATAAAAACTACACAGAATCATTCTCACCAACTACTTTGTGATGTGTGCGTTCAACTCACAGAGTTTAACCTTTCTTTTCATAGAGCAGTTTGGAAACACTCTGTTTGTAAAGTCTTCAGGTGCTTATTTGGACTTCTTTGAGGCCTTCGTTGGAAACGGGATTTCTTCATATAATGCTAGACAGAAGAATTCTCAGTCACTTCTTTGTGTTGTGTGTATTCAAGTCACAGAGTTGAACCTTCCTTTACACAGAGCAGTTTTGAAAAACTCTTCCTGTGGAATTTGCAAGTGGAGATTTCAAGCGATTTGAGGCTAATCTTTGAAATGGAAATATCTTCGTGTAAAAACTACACAGAATCATTGTCAGAAACTGCTTTGTTATGTGTGCGTTCAGCTCACAGAGTTCCACCTTTGTTTTCATAGAGCAGTTTGGAAAGACTCTGTCTGTAAAGTCTGCAAGTGATTACTTGGACCCCTTTGAGGACTTCGTTGGAAGCGGGATTTTTTCATTTACTGCTAGACAGAAGAATTCTCAGTAAATCCTTTGTGTTGTGTGTATTCAACTCACAGAGTGGAACCTTCCTTTATTCAGAGCAGTTTTGAAACACTCTTTTTGTGGAATTTGCAAGTGGAGATTTCAAGCGAATTCACGCCAATCTTAGACATGGAAACATCTTCGTATTAAAAGTACACAGAGTCATTCGCAGAAACTAGTTTGTGATGTGTGCCTTCAACTCACAGAGTTTAACCTTTCTTTTCATAGAGCAGTTTGGAAACACTCTATTTGTAAAGTCTGCAAGTGGATATTTGGACCTCTTTGAGGCCTTCGTTGGAAACGGGATTTCTTCATATAACGCTAGACAGAAGAATTCTCAGTAACTTCTTTGTGTTGTGTGTATTCCACTCACAGAGTTGAACCTTTCTTGAGAGAGAGCAGAGTTGAAACACTCTGTTTGTGGAATTTGCTAGTGCAGATTTCAAACGCTTCGAAGACAGTGATAGAAAAGGATATATCTTCGTATTAAAACTAGACAAAATCATTCTCAGAAAACACTTTGTGATGTGTGTGTTCAACTCACAGAGTTTAACCTTTCTTTAATCGAGCAGTTTGGAAATACACTCTTTGTAAGTCTGCAGCTGGATAATTGTCCCTCTATGAGCCCTTCGTTGGAAACGGGATTTCCTCTTATAATGCTAGACAGAAGAATTCTCAGTAACTTCTTTGTGTTGTTTGTATTCAACTCACAGATTTGAACCTTCCTTTGGAGAGAGCAGATTTGAAACACTCTGTTTTTGGAATTTGCAAGTGCAGATTACAAGCGCTTCTAGGCCTATGGCAGAAAAGGAAATATCTTCGTATAAAAACTACACAGAATCATTCTCAACAACTACTTTGTGATGTGTGCGTTCAACTCACAGAGTTTAACCTTTCTTTTCATAGAGCAGTTTGGAAACACTCTGTTTGTAAAGTCTGCAGGTGCTTATTTGGACTTCTTTGAGGCCTTCGTTGGAAACGGGATTTCTTCATATAATGCTAGACAGAAGAATTCTCAGTCACTTCTTTGTGTTGTGTGTATTCAAGTCACAGAGTTGAACCTTCCTTTACACAGAGCAGTTTTGAAAAACTCTTTCTGTGGAATTTGCAAGTGGAGATTTCAAGCGATTTGAGGCTAATCTTTGAAATGGAAATATCTTCGTGTAAAAACTACACAGAATCATTCTCAGAAACTGCTTTGTTAAGTGTGCGTTCAGCTCACAGCGTTCCAGCTTTCTTTTCATAGAGCAGTTTGGAAAGACTCTGTCTGTAAAGTCTGCAAGTGATTACTTGGACCCCTTTGAGGACTTCGTTGGAAGCGGGATTTTTTCATTTACTGCTAGACAGAAGAATTCTCAGTAAATCCTTTGTGTTGTGTGTATTCAACTCACAGAGTGGAACCTTCCTTTATTCAGAGCAGTTTTGAAACACTCTTTTTGTGGAAATTGCAAGTGGAGATTTCAAGCGAATTCACGCCAATCTTAGACATGGAAAACATCTTCGTATTAAAAGTACACAGAGTCATTCGCAGAAACTAGTTTGTGATGTGTGCCTTCAACTCACAGAGTTTAACCTTTCTTTTCATAGAGCAGTTTGGAAACACTCTATTTGTAAAGTCTGCAAGTGGATATTTGGACCTCTTTGAGGCCTTCGTTGGAAACGGGATTTCTTCATATAACGCTAGACAGAAGAATTCTCTGTAACTTCTTTGTGTTGTGTGTATTCCACTCACAGAGTTGAACCTTTCTTGAGAGAGAGCAGAGTTGAAACACTCTTTCTGTGGAATTTGCTAGTGCAGATTTCAAACGCTTCGAAGACAGTGATAGAAAAGGATATATCTTCGTATTAAAACTAGACAAAATCATTCTCAGAAAACACTTTGTGATATGTGTGTTCAACTCACAGAGTTTAACCTTTCTTTAATCGAGCAGTTTGGAAATGCACTCTTTGTAAGTCTGCAGGTGGATAATTGTCCCTCTATGAGCCCTTCGTTGGAAACGGGATTTCCTCATATAATGCTAGACAGAAGTATTCTCAGTAACTTCTTTGTGTTGTTTGTATTCAACTCACAGATTTGAAACTTCCTTTAGAGAGAGCAGATTTGAAACACTCTGTTTTTGGAATTTGCAAGTGCAGATTGCAAGCGCTTCTAGGCCTATGGCAGAAAAGGAAATATCTTCGTATAAAAACTACACAGAATCATTCTCAACAACTACTTTGTGATGTGTGCGTTCAACTCACAGAGTTTAACCTTTCTTTTCATAGAGCAGTTTGGAAACACTCTGTTTGTAAAGTCTGCAGGTGCTTCTTTGGACTTCTTTGAGGCCTTCGTTGGAAACGGGATTTCTTCATATAATGCTAGACAGAAGAATTCTCAGTCACTTCTTTGTGTTGTGTGTATTCAAGTCACAGAGTTGAACCTTCCTTTACACAGAGCAGTTTTGAAAAACTCTTTCTGTGGAATTTGCAAGTGGAGATTTCAAGCGATTTGAGGCTAATCTTTGAAATGGAAATATCTTCGTGTAAAAACTACACAGAATCATTGTCAGAAACTGCTTTGTTATGTGTGCGTTCAGCTCACAGAGTTCCACCTTTCTTTTCATAGAGCAGTTTGGAAAGACTCTGTCTGTAAAGTCTGCAAGTGATTACTTGGACCCCTTTGAGGACTTCGTTGGAAGCGGGATTTTTTCATTTACTGCTAGACAGAAGAATTCTCAGTAAATCCTTTGTGTTGTGTGTATTCAACTCACAGAGTGGAACCTTCCTTTATTCAGAGCAGTTTTGAAACACTCTTTTTGTGGAATTTGCAAGTGGAGATTTCAAGCGAATTCACGCCAATCTTAGACATGGAAACATCTTCGTATTAAAAGTACACAGAGTCATTCGCAGAAACTAGTTTGTGATGTGTGCCTTCAACTCACGGAGTTTAACCTTTCTTTTCATAGAGCAGTTTGGAAACACTCTATTTGTAAAGTCTGCAAGTGGATATTTGGACCTCTTTGAGGCCTTCGTTGGAAACGGGATTTCTTCATATAACGCTAGACAGAAGAATTCTCAGTAACTTCTTTGTGTTGTGTGTATTCCACTCACAGAGTTGAACCTTTCTTGAGAGAGAGCAGAGTGGAAACACTCTGTTTGTGGAATTTGCTAGTGCAGATTTCAAACGCTTCGAAGACAGTGATAGAAAAGGATATATCTTCGTATTAAAACTAGACAAAGTCATTCGCAGAAACTAGTTTGTGATGTGTGCCTTCAACTCACAGAGTTTAACCTTTCTTTTCATAGAGCATTTTGGAAACACTCTATTTGTAAAGTCTGCAAGTGGATATTTGGACGTCTTTGAGGCCTTCGTTGGAAACGGGATTTCTTCATATAACGCTAGACAGAAGAATTCTCAGTAACTTCTTTGTGTTGTTTGTATTCAACTCACAGATTTGAACCTTCCTTTAGAGAGGGCAGATTTGAAACACTCTGGTTTCGGAATTTGCAAGTGCAGATTACAAGCGCTTCTAGGCCTATGGCAGAAAAGGAAATATCTTCGTATAAAAACTACACAGAATCATTCTCAACAACTACTTTGTGATGTGTGCGTTCAACTCACAGAGTTTAACCTTTCTTTTCATAGAGCAGTTTGGAAACACTCTGTTTGTAAAGTCTGCAGGTGCTTATTTGGACTTCTTTGAGGCCTTCGTTGGAAACGGGATTTCTTCATATAATGCTAGACAGAAGAATTCTCAGTCACTTCTTTGTGTTGTGTGTATTCAAGTCACAGAGTTGAACCTTCCTTTACACAGAGCAGTTTTGAAAAACTCTTTCTGTGGAATTTGCAAGTGGAGATTTCAAGCGATTTGAGGCTAATCTTTGAAATGGAAATATCTTCGTGTAAAAACTACACAGAATCATTCTCAGAAACTGCTTTGTTATGTGTGCGTTCAGCTCACACAGTTCCACCTTTCTTTTCATAGAGCAGTTTGGAAAGACTCTGTCTGTAAAGTCTGCAAGTGATTACTTGGACCCCTTTGAGGACTTCGTTGGAAGCGGGATTTTTTCATTTACTGCTAGACAGAAGAATTCTCAGTAAATCCTTTGTGTTGCGTGCATTCAACTCACAGAGTGGAACCTTCCTTTATTCAGAGCACTTTTGAAAAACACTTTTTGTGGAATTTGCAAGTGGAGATTTCAAGCGATTTGAACGCCAATCTTAGACATGGAAATATCTTCATATTAAAAGTACACAGAGTCATTCGTAGAAACTAGTTTGTGATGTGTGCCTTCAACTCACAGAGTTTAACCTTTCTTTTCATAGAGCAGTTTGGAAACACTCTATTTGTAAAGTCTGCAAGTGGATATTTGGACCTCTTTGAGGCCTTCGTTGGAAACGGGATTTCTTCATACAACGCCAGACAGAAGAATTCTCAGTAACTTCTTTGTGTTGTGTGTATTCAACTCACAGAGTTGAACCTTTCTTTAGAGAGAGCAGAGTTGAAACACTCTGTTTTTGGAATTTGCAAGTGCAGATATCAAGCGATTCTAGGCCTATGGCAGAAAAGGAAATATCTTCGTATAAAAACTGCACAGAATCATTCTCAACAACTACTTTGTGATGTGTGCGTTCAACTCACAAAGTTTAACCTTTCTTTTCATAGAGCAGTTTGGAAACACTCTGTTTGTAAAGCCTGCAATTGCTTTTTTGGACTTCATTGAGGCCTTCGTTGGAAACGGGATTTCTTCATATAATGCTAGACAGAAGAATTCTCAGTCACTTCTTTGTGTTGTGTGTATTCAAGTCACAGAGTTGAACCTTCCTTTAGACAGAGCAGTTTTGAAAAATTCTTTCTGTGGAGTTTGCAAGTGGAGATTTCAAGCGATTTGAGGCTAATCTTTGAAATGGAAATATCTTCGTGTAAAAACTACACAGAAGCATTCTCAGAAACTGCTTTGTCATCTGTGCGTTCAGTTCACAGAGTTTCACCTTTCTCTTCATAGAGCAGTTTGGAAAGACTCTGTCTTTAAAGTCTCCAAGTGATTAGTTAGACCCCTTTGAGGCCTTCGTGGGAAGCGGGATTTCTCATTTACTGCTAGACAGAAGAATTCTCAGTAAATCCTTTGTGTTGTGTTTATTCAACTCACAGAGTGGAACCTTCTTTTATTCAGAGCAGTTTTGAAACACTCTTTTTGTGGAATTTGCAAGTGGAGATTTCAAGCGATTTGACGCCAATCTTAGACATGGAAATATCTTCATATTAAAAGTACACAGAATCATTCGTAGAAACTAGTTTGTGATGTGTGCCTTCAACTCACAGAGTTTAACCTTTCTTTTCATAGAGCAGTTCGGAAACACTCTATTTGTAAAGTCTGCAAGTGGATATTTGGACCTCTTTGAGGCCTTCGTTGGAAAAGGGATTTCTTCGTATAACGCTAGACAGAAGAATTCTCAGTAACTTCTTTGTGTTGGGTGTATTCAACTCACAGAGTTGAACCTTTCTTTAGAGAGAGCAGAGTTGAAACACTCTTTTTGTGGAATTTGCTAGTGCAGATTTCAAACGCTTCGAAGACAGTGATAGCAAAGGATATATCTTCGTATTAAAACTAGACAAAATCATTCTCAGAAAACACTTTGTGATGTGTGTGTTCAACTCACAGAGTTTAACCTTTCTTTAATCGAGCAGTTTGGAAATACACTCTTTGTAAGTCTGCAGGTGGATAATTGGCCCTCTTTGAGCCCTTCGTTGGAAACGGGATTTCCTCATATAATGCTAGACAGAAGAATTCTCAGTAACTTCTTTGTGTTGTTTGTATTCAACTCACAGATTTGAACCTTCCTTTAGAGAGAGCAGATTTGAAACACTCTGTTTTTGGAATTTGCAAGTGCAGATTTCAAGCACATCTAGGCCTATGGCAGAAAAGGAAATATCTTCGTATAAAAAATACACAGAATCATTCTCAACAACTACTTTGTGATGTGTGCGTTCAACTCACAGAGTTTAACCTTTCTTTTCATAGAGCAGTTTGGAAACACTCTGTTTGTAAAGCCTGCAAGTGCTTTTTTGGACTTCATTGAGGCCTTCGTTGGAAACGGGATTTCTTCATATAATGCTAGACAGAAGAATTCTCAGTCACTTCTTTGTGTTGTGTGTATTCAAGTCACAGAGTTGAACCTTCCTTTAGACAGAGCAGTTTTGAAAAATTCTTTCTGTGGAGTTTGCAAGTGGAGATTTCAAGCGATTTGAGGCTAATCTTTGAAATGGAAATATCTTCGTGTAAAAACTACACAGAATCATTCTCAGAAACTGCTTTGTCATCTGTGCGTTCAGTTCACAGAGTTTCACCTTTCTCTTCATAGAGCAGTTTGGAAAGACTCTGTCTGTAAAGTCTGCAAGTGATTAGTTAGACCCCTTTGAGGCCTTCGTTGGAAGCGGGATTTCTCATTTACTGCTAGACAGAAGAATTCTCAGTAAATCCTTTGTGTTGTGTGTATTCAACTCACAGAGTGGAACCTTCCTTTATTCAGAGCAGTTTTGAAAAACACTTTTCGTGGAATTTGCAAGTGGAGATTTCAAGCGATTTGACGCCAATCTTAGACATGGAAATATCTTCATATTAAAAGTACACAGAATCATTCTCAGAAAACACTTTGTGATGTGTGTGTTCAACTCACAGAGTTTAACCTTTCTTTAATCGAGCAGTTTGGAAATACACTCTTTGTAAGTCTGCAGGTGGATAATTGTCCCTCTTTGAGCCCTTCGTTGGAAACGGGATTTCCTCATATAATGCTAGACAGATGAATTCTCAGTAACTTCTTTGTGTTGTTTGTATTCAACTCACAGATTCGAACCTTCCTTTAGAGAGAGCAGATTTGAAACACTCTGTTTTTGGAATTTGCAAGTGCAGATTTCAAGCGCTTCTAGGCCTATGGCAGAAAAGGAAATATCTTCGTATAAAAACTACACAGAATCATTCTCAACAACTCCTTTGTGATGTGTGCGTTCAACTCACAAAGTTTAACCTTTCTTTTCATAGAGCAGTTTGGAAACACTCTGTTTGTAAAGCGTGCAATTGCTTTTTTGGACTTCATTGAGGCCTTCGTTGGAAACGGGATTTCTTCATATAATGCTAGACAGAAGAATTCTCAGTCACTTCTTTGTGTTGTGTGTATTCAAGTCACAGAGTTGAACCTTCCTTTAGACAGAGCAGTTTTGAAAAATTCTTTCTGTGGAGTTTGCAAGTGGAGATTTCAAGCGATTTGAGGCTAATCTTTGAAATGGAAATATCTTCGTGTAAAAACTACACAGAATCATTCTCAGAAACTGCTTTGTCATCTGTGCGTTCAGTTCACAGAGTTTCACCTTTCTCTTCATAGAGCAGTTTGGAAAGACTCTGTCTGTAAAGTCTGCAAGTGATTAGTTAGACCCCTTTGAGGCCTTCGTTGGAAGCGGGATTTCTCATTTACTGCTAGACAGAAGAATTCTCAGTAAATCCTTTGTGTTGTGTGTATTCAACTCACAGAGTGGAACCTTCCTTTATTCAGAGCAGTTTTGAAAAACACTTTTTGTGGAATTTGCAAGTGGAGATTTCAAGCGATTTGACGCCAATCTTAGACATGGAAATATCTTCATATTAAAAGTACACAGAGTCATTCGTAGAAACTAGTTTGTGATGTGTGCCTTCAACTCACAGAGTTTAACTTTTCTTTTCATAGAGCAGTTTGGAAACACTCTGTTTGTAAAGTCTGCAAGTGGATATTTGGACCTCTTTGAGGCCTTCGTTGGAAACGGGATTTCTTCATACAACGCTAGACAGAAGAATTCTCAGTAACTTCTTTGTGTTGTGTGTATTCAACTCACAGAGTTGTACCTTTCTTTAGAGAGAGCAGAGTTGAAACACTCTGTTTTTGGAATTTGCAAGTGCAGATTTCAAGCGATTCTAGGCCTATGGCAGGAAAGGAAATATCTTCGTATAAAAACTACACAGAATCATTCTCAACAACTACTTTGTGATGTGTGCGTTCAACTCACAAAGTTTAACCTTTCTTTTCATAGAGCAGTTTGGAAACACGCTGTTTGCAAAGCCTGCAAGTGCTTTTTTGGACTTCATTGAGGCCATCGTTGGAAACGGGATTTCTTCATATAATGCTAGACAGAAGAATTCTCAGTAAATCATTTGTGTTGCGTTGATTCAACTCACAGAGTGGAACCTTCCTTTATTCAGAGCAGTTTTGAAACACTCTTTTTGTGGAATTTGCAAGTGGAGATTTCAAGCGATTTGACGCCAATCTTAGACATGGAAATATCTTCATATTAAAAGTACACAGAATCATTCGTAGAAACTAGTTTGTGATGTGTGCCTTCAACTCACAGAGTTTAACCTTTCTTTTCATAGAGCAGTTTGGAAACACTCTATTTGTAAAGTCTGCAAGTGGATATTTGGACCTCTTTGAGGCCATCGTTGGAAAAGGGATTTCTTCATATAACGCTAGACAGAAGAATTTTCAGTAACTTCTTTGTGTTGTGTGTATTCAACTCACAGAGTTCAACTTTTCTTTAGAGAGAGCAGAGTTGAAACACTCTTTTTGTGGAATTTGCTAGAGCAGATTTCAAACGCTTCGAAGACAGTGATAGCAAAGGATATATCTTCGTATTAAAACTAGACAAAATCATTCTCAGAAAACACTTTGTGATGTGTGTGTTCAACTCACAGAGTTTAACCTTTCTTTAATCGAGCAGTTTGGAAATACACTCTTTGTAAGTCTGCAGGTGGATAATTGGCCCTCTTTGAGCCCTTCGTTGGAAACGGGATTTCCTCATATAATGCTAGACAGAAGAATTCTCAGTAACTTCTTTGTGTTGTTTGTATTCAACTCACAGATTTGAACCTTCCTTTAGAGAGAGCAGATTTGAAACACTCTGTTTTTGGAATTTGCAAGTGCAGATTTCAAGCGCTTCTAGGCCTATGGCAGAAAAGGAAATATCTTTGTATAAAAACTACACAGAATCATTCTCAACAACTACTTTGTGATGTGTGCGTTCAACTCACAGAGTTTAACCTTTCTTTTCATAGAGCAGTTTGGAAACACTCTGTTTGTAAAGTCTGCAGGTGCTTATTTGGACTTCTTTGAGGCCTTCGTTGGAAACGGGATTTCTTCATGTAATGCTAGACAGAAGAATTCTCAGTCACTTCTTTGTGTTGTGTGTATTCAAGTCACAGAGTTGAACCTTCCTTTACACAGAGCAGTTTTGAAAAACTCTTTCTGTGGAATTTGCAAGTGGAGATTTCAAGCGATTTGAGGCTAATCTTTGAAATGGAAATAGCTTCGTGTAAAAACTACACAGAATCATTCTCAGAAACTTCTTTGTTATGTGTGCGTTCAGCTCACAGAGTTCCACCTTTCTTTTCATAGAGCAGTTTGGAAAGACTCTGTCTGTAAAGTCTGCAAGTGATTACTTGGACCCCTTTGAGGACTTCGTTGGAAGCGGGATTTTTTCATTTACTGCTAGACAGAAGAATTCTCAGTAAATCCTTTGTGTTGTGTGTATTCAACTCACAGAGTGGAACCTTCCTTTATTCAGAGCAGTTTTGAAACACTCTTTTTGTGGAATTTGCAAGTGGAGATTTCAAGCGAATTCACGCCAATCTTAGACATGGAAACATCTTCGTATTAAAAGTACACAGAGTCATTCGCAGAAACTAGTTTGTGATGTGTGCCTTCAACTCACGGAGTTTAACCTTTCTTTTCATAGAGCAGTTTGGAAACACTCTATTTGTAAAGTCTGCAAGTGGATATTTGGACCTCTTTGAGGCCTTCGTTGGAAACGGGATTTCTTCATATAACGCTAGACAGAAGAATTCTCAGTAACTTCTTTGTGTTGTGTGTATTCCACTCACAGTAGTTGAACCTTTCTTGAGAGAGAGCAGAGTTGAAACACTCTGTTTGTGGAATTTGCTAGTGCAGATTTCAAACGCTTCGAAGACAGTGATAGAAAAGGATATATCTTCGTATTAAAACTAGACAAAATCATTCTCAGAAAACACTTTGTGATGTGTGTGTTCAACTCACAGAGTTTAACCTTTCTTTAATCGAGCAGTTTGGAAATACACTCTTTGTAAGTCTGCAGCTGGATAATTGTCCCTCTATGAGCCCTTCGTTGGAAACAGGATTTCCTCTTATAATGCTAGACAGAAGAATTCTCAGTAACTTCTTTGTGTTGTTTGTATTCAACTCACAGATTTGAACCTTCCTTTAGAGAGAGCAGATTTGAAACACTCTGTTTTTGGAATTTGCAAGTGCAGATTACAAGCGCTTCTAGGCCTATGGCAGAAAAGGAAATATCTTCGTATAAAAACTACACAGAATCATTCTCAACAACTACTTTGTGATGTGTGCGTTCAACTCACAGAGTTTAACCTTTCTTTTCATAGAGCAGTTTGGAAACACTCTGTTTGTAAAGTCTGCAGGTGCTTATTTGGACTTCTTTGAGGCCTTCGTTGGAAACGGGATTTCTTCATATAATGCTAGACAGAAGAATTCTCAGTCACTTCTTTGTGTTGTGTGTATTCAAGTCACAGAGTTGAACCTTCCTTTACACAGAGCAGTTTTGAAAAACTCTTTCTGTGGAATTTGCAAGTGGAGATTTCAAGCGATTTGAGGCTAATCTTTGAAATGGAAATATCTTCGTGTAAAAACTACACAGAATCATTCTCAGAAACTGCTTTGTTATGTGTGCGTTCAGGTCACAGAGTTCCACCTTTCTTTTCATAGAGCAGTTTGGAAAGACTCTGTCTGTAAAGTCTGCAAGTGATTACTTGGACCCCTTTGAGGACTTCGTTGGAAGCGGGATTTTTTCATTTACTGCTAGACAGAAGAATTCTCAGTAAATCCTTTGTGTTGTGTGTATTCAACTCACAGAGTGGAACCTTCCTTTATTCAGAGCACTTTTGAAACACTCTTTTTGTGGAATTTGCAAGTGGAGATTTCAAGCGAATTCACGCCAATCTTAGACATGGAAACATCTTCGTATTAAAAGTACACAGAGTCATTCGCAGAAACTAGTTTGTGATGTGTGCCTTCAACTCACGGAGTTTAACCTTTCTTTTCATAGAGCAGTTTGGAAACACTCTATTTGTAAAGTCTGCAAGTGGATATTTGGACCACTTTGAGGCCTTCGTTGGAAACGGGATTTCTTCATATAACGCTAGACAGAAGAATTCTCAGTAACTTCTTTGTGTTGTGTGTATTCAACTCACAGAGTTGAACCTTTCTTGAGAGAGAGCAGAGTTGAAACACTCTTTCTGTGGAATTTGCTAGTGCAGATTTCAAACGCTTCGAAGACAGTGATAGAAAAGGATATATCTTCGTATTAAAACTAGACAAAATCATTCTCAGAAAACACTTTGTGATGTGTGTGTTCAACTCACAGAGTTTAACCTTTCTTTAATCGAGCAGTTTGGAAATACACTCTTTGTAAGTCTGCAGCTGGATAATTGTCCCTCTATGAGCCCTTCGTTGGAAACGGGATTTCCTCTTATAATGCTAGACAGAAGAATTCTCAGTAACTTCTTTGTGTTGTTTGTATTCAACTCACAGATTTGAACCTTCCTTTAGAGAGAGCAGATTTGAAACACTCTGTTTTTGGAATTTGCAAGTGCAGATTTCAAGCGCTTACTAGGCCTATGGCAGAAAAGGAAATATCTTCGTATAAAAACTACACAGAATCATTCTCAACAACTACTTTGTGATGTGTGCGTTCAACTCACAGAGTTTAACCTTTCTTTTCATAGAGCAGTTTGGAAACACTCTGTTTGTAAAGCCTGCAAGTGCTTTTTTGGACTTCATTGAGGCCTTCGTTGGAAACGGGATTTCTTCATATAATGCTAGACAGAAGAATTCTCAGTCACTTCTTTGTGTTGTGTGTATTCAAGTCACAGAGTTGAACCTTCTTTTAGACAGAGCAGTTTTGAAAAATTTTTTCTGTGGAATTTGCAAGTGGAGATTTCAAGCGATTTGAGGCTAATCTTTGAAATGGAAATATCTTCGTGTAAAAACTACACAGAATCATTCTTAGAAACTGCTTTGTTATGTGTGCGTTCAGTTCACAGAGTTTCACCTTTCTCTTCATAGAGCAGTTTGGAAAGACTCTGTCTGTAAAGTCCGCAAGTGATTAGTTAGACCCCTTTGAGGCCTTCGTTGGAAGTGGGATTTCTCATTTACTGCTAGACAGAAGAATTCTCAGTAAATCCTTTGTGTTGTGTGTATTCAACTCACAGAGTGGAACCTTCCTTTATTCAGAGCAGTTTTGAAAAACACTTTTTGTGGAATTTGCAAGTGGAGATTTCAAGCGATTTGACGCCAATCTTAGACATGGAAATATCTTCATATTAAAAGTACACAGAGTCATTCGTAAAAACTAGTTTGTGATGTGTGCCTTCAACTCACAGAGTTTAACCTTTCTTTTCATAGAGCAGTTTGGAAACACTCTATTTGTAAAGTCTGCAAGTGGATATTTGGACCTCTTTGAGGCCTTCGTTGGAAACGGGATTTCTTCATACAATGCTAGACAGAAGAATTCTCAGTAACTTCTTTGTGTTGTTTGTATTCATCTCACAGAGTTGAACCTTTCTTTAGAGAGAGCAGAGTTGAAACACTCTGTTTTTGGAATTTGCAAGTGCAGATTTCAAGCGATTCTAGGCCTATGGCAGAAAAGGAAATATCTTCGTATAAAAACTACACAGAATCATTCTCAACAACTACTTTGTGATGTGTGCGTTCAACTCACAAGAGTTTAACCTTTCTTTTCATAGAGCAGTTTGGAAACACTCTGTTTGTAAAGCGTGCAAGTGCTTTTTTGGACTTCATTGAGGCCTTCGTTGGAAACGGGATTTCTTCATACAACGCTAGACAGAAGAATTCTCAGTCACTTCTTTGTGTTGTGTGTATTCAAGTCACAGAGTTGAACCTTCCTTTACACAGAGCAGTTTTGAAAAACTCTTTCTGTGGAATTTGCAAGTGGAGATTTCAAGCGATTTGAGGCTAATCTTTGAAATGGAAATATCTTCGTGTAAAAACTACACAGAATCATTCTCAGAAACTGCTTTGTTATGTGTGCGTTCAGCTCACAGAGTTCCACCTTTCTTTTCATAGAGCAGTTTGGAAAGACTCTGTCTGTAAAGTCTGCAAGTGATTACTTGGACCCCTTTGAGGACTTCGTTGGAAGCGGGATTTTTTCATTTACCGCTAGACAGAAGAATTCTCAGTAAATCCTTTGTGTTGTGTGTATTCAACTCACAGAGTGGAACCTTCCTTTATTCAGAGCAGTTTTGAAACACTCTTTTTGTGGAATTTGCAAGTGGAGATTTCAAGCGAATTCACGCCAATCTTAGACATGGAAACATCTTCGTATTAAAAGTACACAGAGTCATTCGCAGAAACTAGTTTGTGATGTGTGCCTTCAACTCACGGAGTTTAACCTTTCTTTTCATAGAGCAGTTTGGAAACACTCTATTTGTAAAGTCTGCAAGTGGATATTTGGACCTCTTTGAGGCCTTCGTTGGAAACGGGATTTCTTCATATAACGCTAGACAGAAGAATTCTCAGTAACTTCTTTGTGTTGTGTGTATTCCACTCACAGAGTTGAACCTTTCTTGAGAGAGAGCAGAGTTGAAACACTCTTTTTGTGGAATTTGCTAGTGCAGATTTCAAACACTTCGAAGACAGTGATAGAAAAGGATATATCTTCGTATTAAAACTAGACAAAATCATTCTCAGAAAACACTTTGTGATGTGTGTGTTCAACTCACAGAGTTTAACCTTTCTTTAATCGAGCAGTTTGGAAATACACTCTTTGTAAGTCTGCAGCTGGATAATTGTCCCTCTATGAGCCCTTCGTTGGAAACGGGATTTCCTCTTATAATGCTAGACAGAAGAATTCTCAGTAACTTCTTTGTGTTGTTTGTATTCAACTCACAGATTTGAACCTTCCTTTAGAGAGAGCAGATTTGAAACACTCTGTTTTCGAATTTGCAAGTGCAGATTACAAGCGCTTCTAGGCCTATGGCAGAAAAGGAAATATCTTCGTATAAAAACTACACAGAATCATTCTCAACAACTACTTTGTGATGTGTGCGTTCAACTCACAGAGTTTAACCTTTCTTTTCATAGAGCAGTTTGGAAACACTCTGTTTGTAAAGTCTGCAGGTGCTTATTTGGACTTCTTTGAGGCCTTCGTTGGAAACGGGATTTCTTCATATAATGCTAGACAGAAGAATTCTCAGTCACTTCTTTGTGTTGTGTGTATTCAAGTCACAGAGTTGAACCTTCCTTTACACAGAGCAGTTTTGAAAAACTCTTTCTGTGGAATTTGCAAGTGGAGATTTCAAGCGATTTGAGGCTAATCTTTGAAATGGAAATAGCTTCGTGTAAAAACTACACAGAATCATTCTCAGAAACTGCTTTGTCATCTGTGCGTTCAGTTCACAGAGTTTCACCTTTCTCTTCATAGAGCAGTTTGGAAAGACTCTGTCTGTAATGTCTGCAAGTGATTAGTTAGACCCCTTTGAGGCCTTCGTTGGAAGCGGGATTTCTCATTTACTGCTAGACAGAAGAATTCTCAGTAAATCCTTTGTGTTGTGTGTATTCAACTCACAGAGTGGAACCTTCCTTTATTCAGAGCAGTTTTGAAAAACACTTTTTGTGGAATTTGCAAGTGGAGATTTCAAGCGATTTGACGCCAATCTTAGACATGGGAAAATCTTCATATTAAAAGTACACAGAATCATTCGTAGAAACTAGTTTGTGATGTGTGCCTTCAACTCACAGAGTTTAACCTTTCTTTTCATAGAGCTGTTCGGAAACATTCTATTTGTAAAGTCTGCAAGTGGATATTTGGACCTCTTTGAGGCCTTCGTTGGAAAAGGAATTTCTTCATATAACGCTAGACAGAAGAATTCTCAGTAACTTCTTTGTGTTGTTTGTATTCAACTCACAGATTTGAACCTTCCTTTGGAGAGAGCAGATTTGAAACACTCTGTTTTTGGAATTTGCAAGTGCAGATTGCAAGCG
This sequence comes from Homo sapiens, assembly GCF_000001405.40. Taxonomy (NCBI): domain Eukaryota; kingdom Metazoa; phylum Chordata; class Mammalia; order Primates; family Hominidae; genus Homo; species Homo sapiens. The sequence continues at coordinate 40,108,067 of NC_000010.11, forward strand.
CTTCTAGGCCTATGGCAGAAAAGGAAATATCTTCGTATAAAAACTACACAGAATCATTCTCAACAACTACTTTGTGATGTGTGCATTCAACTCACAGAGTTTAACCTTTCTTTTCATAGAGCAGTTTGGAAACACTCCGTTTGTAAAGTCTGCAGGTGCTTATTTGGACTTCTTTGAGGCCTTCGTTGGAAACGGGATTTCTTCATATAATGCTAGACAGAAGAATTCTCAGTCACTTCTTTGTGTTGTGTGTATTCAAGTCACAGAGTTGAACCTTCCTTTACACAGAGCAGTTTTGAAAAACTCTTTCTGTGGAATTTGCAAGTGGAGATTTCAAGCGATTTGAGGCTAATCTTTGAAATGGAAATATCTTCGTGTAAAAACTACACAGAATCATTCTCAGAAACTGCTTTGTTATGTGTGCGTTCAGCTCACAGAGTTCCACCTTTCTTTTCATAGAGCAGTTTGGAAAGACTCTGTCTGTAAAGTCTGCAAGTGATTACTTGGACCCCTTTGAGGACTTCGTTGGAAGCGGGATTTTTTCATTTACTGCTAGACAGAAGAATTCTCAGTAAATCCTTTGTGTTGTGTGTATTCAACTCACAGAGTGGAACCTTCCTTTATTCAGAGCAGTTTTGAAACACTCTTTTTGTGGAATTTGCAAGTGGAGATTTCAAGCGAATTCACGCCAATCGTAGACATGGAAACATCTTCGTATTAAAAGTACACAGAGTCATTCGCAGAAACTAGTTTGTGATGTGTGCCTTCAACTCACAGAGTTTAACCTTTCTTTTCATAGAGCAGTTTGGAAACACTCTATTTGTAAAGTCTGCAAGTGGATATTTGGACCTCTTTGAGGCCTTCGTTGGAAACGGGATTTCTTCATATAACGCTAGACAGAAGAATTCTCAGAAACTTCTTTGTGTTGTGTGTATTCCACTCACAGAGTTGAACCTTTCTTGGAGAGAGCAGAGTTGAAACACTCTGTTTGTGGAATTTGCAAGTGCAGATTGCAAGCGCTTCTAGGCCTATGGCAGAAAAGGAAATATCTTCGTATAAAAACTACACAGAATCATTCTCAACAACTACTTTGTGATGTGTGCGTTCAGCTCACAGAGTATAACCTTTCTTTTCATAGAGCAGTTTGGAAACACTCTGTTTGTAAAGTCTGCAGGTGCTTATTTGGACTTCTTTGAGGCCTTCGTTGGAAACGGGATTTCTTCATATAATGCTAGACAGAAGAATTCTCAGTCACTTCTTTGTGTTGTGTGTATTCAAGTCACAGAGTTGAACCTTCCTTTACACAGAGCAGTTTTGAAAAACTCTTTCTGTGGAATTTGCAAGTGGAGATTTCAAGCGATTTGAGGCTAATCTTTGAAATGGAAATATCTTCGTTTAAAAACTACACAGAATCATTCTCAGAAACTGCTTTGTTATGTGTGCGTTCAGCTCACAGAGTTCCACCTTTCTTTTCATAGAGCAGTTTGGAAAGACTCTGTCTGTAAAGTCTGCAAGTGATTACTTGGACCCCTTTGAGGACTTCGTTGGAAGCGGGATTTTTTCATTTACTGCTAGACAGAAGAATTCTCAGTAAATCCTTTGTGTTGTGTGTATTCAACTCACAGAGTGGAACCTTCCTTTATTCAGAGCACTTTTGAAACACTCTTTTTGTGGAATTTGCAGGTGGAGATTTCAAGCGAATTCACGCCAATCTTAGACATGGAAACATCTTCGTATTAAAAGTACACAGAGTCATTCGCAGAAACTAGTTTGTGATGTGTGCCTTCAACTCACGGAGTTTAACCTTTCTTTTCATAGAGCAGTTTGGAAACACTCTATTTGTAAAGTCTGCAAGTGGATATTTGGACCTCTTTGAGGCCTTCGTTGGAAACGGGATTTCTTCATATAACGCTAGACAGAAGAATTCTCAGTAACTTCTTTGTATTGTGTGTATTCAACTCACAGAGTTGAACCTTTCTTGAGAGAGAGCAGATTTGAAACACTCTTTCTGTGGAATTTGCTAGTGCAGATTTCAAACGCTTCGAAGACAGTGATAGAAAAGGATATATCTTCGTATTAAAACTAGACAAAATCATTCTCAGAAAACACTTTGTGATGTGTGTGTTCAACTCACAGAGTTTAACCTTTCTTTAATCGAGCAGTTTGGAAATACACTCTTTGTAAGTCTGCAGCTGGATAATTGTCCCTCTATGAGCCCTTCGTTGGAAACGGGATTTCCTCTTATAATGCTAGACAGAAGAATTCTCAGTAACTTCTTTGTGTTGTTTGTATTCAACTCACAGATTTGAACCTTCCTTTAGAGAGAGCAGATTTGAAACACTCTGTTTTTGGAATTTGCAAGTGCAGATTACAAGCGCTTCTAGGCCTATGGCAGAAAAGGAAATATCTTCGTATAAAAACTACACAGAATCATTCTCAACAACTACTTTGTGATGTGTGCGTTCAACTCACAGAGTTTAACCTTTCTTTTCATAGAGCAGTTTGGAAACACTCTGTTTGTAAAGTCTGCAGGTGCTTATTTGGACTTCTTTGAGGCCTTCGTTGGAAACGGGATTTCTTCATATAATGCTAGACAGAAGAATTCTCAGTCACTTCTTTGTGTTGTGTGTATTCAAGTCACAGAGTTGAACCTTCCTTTACACAGAGCAGTTTTGAAAAACTCTTTCTGTGGAATTTGCAAGTGGAGATTTCAAGCGATTTGAGGCTAATCTTTGAAATGGAAATATCTTCGTGTAAAAACTACACAGAATCATTGTCAGAAACTGCTTTGTTATGTGTGCGTTCAGCTCACAGAGTTCCACCTTTCTTTTCATAGAGCAGTTTGGAAAGACTCTGTAAAGTCTGCAAGTGATTACTTGGACCCCTTTGAGGACTTCATTGGAAGCGGGATTTTTTCATTTACTGCTAGACAGAAGAATTCTCAGTAAATCCTTCGTGTTGTGTGTATTCAACTCACAGAGTGGAACCTTCCTTTATTCAGAGCAGTTTTGAAACACTCTTTTTGGGGAATTTGCAAGTGGAGATTTCAAGCGAATTCACGCCAATCTTAGACATGGAAACATCTTCGTATTAAAAGTACACAGAGTCATTCGCAGAAACTAGTTTGAGATGTGTGCCTTCAACACACGGAGTTTAACCTTTCTTTTCATAGAGCAGTTTGGAAACACTCTATTTGTAAAGTCTGCAAGTGGATATTTGGACCTCTTTGAGGCCTTCGTTGGAAACGGGATTTCTTCATATAACGCTATACAGAAGAATTCTCTGTAACTTCTTTGTGTTGTGTGTATTCCACTCACAGAGTTGAACCTTTCTTGAGAGAGAGCAGATTTGAAACACTCTTTCTGTGGAATTTGCTAGTGCAGATTTCAAACGCTTCGAAGACAGTGATAGAAAAGGATATATCTTCGTATTAAAACTAGACAAAATCATTCTCAGAAAACACTTTGTGATGTGTGTGTTCAACTCACAGAGTTTAACCTTTCTTTAATCGAGCAGTTTGGAAATACACTCTTTGTAAGTCTGCAGCTGGATAATTGTCCCTCTATGAGCCCTTCGTTGGAAACGGGATTTCCTCATATAATGCTAGACAGAAGAACTCTCAGTAACTTCTTTGTGTTGTTTGTATTCAACTCACAGATTTGAACCTTCCTTTGGAGAGAGCAGATTTGAAACACTCTGTTTTTGGAATTTGCAAGTGCAGATTGCAAGCGCTTCTAAGCCTATGGCAGAAAAGGAAATATCTTCGTATAAAAACTACACAGAATCATTCTCAACAACTACTTTGTGATGTGTGCGTTCAGCTCACAGAGTTTAACCTTTCTTTTCATAGAGCAGTTTGGAAACACTCTGTTTGTAAAGTCTGCAGGTGCTTATTTGGACTTCTTTGAGGCCTTCGTTGGAAACGGGATTTCTTCATATAATGCTAGACAGAAGAATTCTCAGTCACTTCTTTGTGTTGTGTGTATTCAAGTCACAGAGTTGAACCTTCCTTTACACAGAGCAGTTTTGAAAAACTCTTTCTGTGGAATTTGCAAGTGGAGATTTCAAGCGATTTGAGGCTAATCTTTGAAATGGAAATATCTTCGTGTAAAAACTACACAGAATCATTCTCAGAAACTGCTTTGTTATGTGTGCGTTCAGCTCACAGAGTTCCACCTTTCTTTTCATAGAGCAGTTTGGAAAGACTCTGTCTGTAAAGTCTGCAAGTGATTACTTGGACCCCTTTGAGGACTTCGTTGGAAGCGGGATTTTTTCATTTACTGCTAGACAGAAGAATTCTCAGTAAATCCTTTGTGTTGTGTGTATTCAACTCACAGAGTGGAACCTTCCTTTATTCAGAGCAGTTTTGAAACACTCTTTTTGTGGAATTTGCAAGTGGAGATTTCAAGCGAATTCACGCCAATCTTAGACATGGAAACATCTTCGTATTAAAAGTACACAGAGTCATTCGCAGAAACTAGTTTGTGATGTGTGCCTTCAACTCACAGAGTTTAACCTTTCTTTTCATAGAGCAGTTTGGAAACACTCTGTTTGTAAAGTCTGCAGGTGCTTATTTGGACTTCTTTGAGGCCTTCGTTGGAAACGGGATTTCTTCATATAATGCTAGACAGAAGAATTCTCAGTCACTTCTTTGTGTTGTGTGTATTCAAGTCACAGAGTTGAACCTTCCTTTACACAGAGCAGTTTTGAAAAACTCTTTCTGTGGAATTTGCAAGTGGAGATTTCAAGCGATTTGAGGCTAATCTTTGAAATGGAAATAGCTTCGTGTAAAAACTACACAGAATCATTCTCAGAAACTGCTTTGTTATGTGTGCGTTCAGCTCACAGAGTTCCACCTTTCTTTTCATAGAGCAGTTTGGAAAGACTCTGTCTGTAAAGTCTGCAAGTGAATACTTGGACCCCTTTGAGGACTTCGTTGGAAGCGGGATTTTTTCATTTACTGCTAGACAGAAGAATTCTCAGTAAATCCTTTGTATTGTGTGTATTCAACTCACAGAGTGGAACCTTCCTTTATTCAGAGCAGTTTTGAAACACTCTTTTTGTGGAATTTGCAAGTGGAGATTTCAAGCGAATTCACGCCAATCTTAGACATGGAAACATCTTCGTATTAAAAGTACACAGAGTCATTCGCAGAAACTAGTTTGTGATGTGTGCCTTCAACTCACGGAGTTTAACCTTTCTTTTCATAGAGCAGTTTGGAAACACTCTATTTGTAAAGTCTGCAAGTGGATATTTGGACCTCTTTGAGGCCTTCGTTGGAAATGGGATTTCTTCATATAACGCTAGACAGAAGAATTCTCAGTAACTTCTTTGTGTTGTGTGTATTCAACTCACAGAGTTGAACCTTTCTTGAGAGAGAGCAGAGTTGAAACACTCTTTCTGTGGAATTTGCTAGTGCAGATTTCAAACGCTTCGAAGACAGTGATAGAAAAGGGTATATCTTCGTATTAAAACTAGACAAAATCATTCTCAGAAAACACTTTGTGATGTGTGTGTTCAACTCACAGAGTTTAACCTTTCTTTAATCGAGCAGTTTGGAAATACACTCTTTGTAAGTCTGCAGCTGGATAATTGTCCCTCTATGAGCCCTTCGTTGGAAACGGGATTTCCTCTTATAATGCTAGACAGAAGAATTCTCAGTAACTACTTTGTGTTGTTTGTATTCAACTCACAGATTGAACCTTCCTTTAGAGAGAGCAGATTTGTAACACTCTGTTTTTGGAATTTGCAAGTGCAGATTACAAGCGCTTCTAGGCCTATGGCAGAAAAGGAAATATCTTCGTATAAAAACTACACAGAATCATTCTCAACAACTACTTTGTGATGTGTGCGTTCAACTCACAGAGTTTAACCTTTCTTTTCATAGAGCAGTTTGGAAACACTCTGTTTGTAAAGTCTGCAGGTGCTTATTTGGACTTCTTTGAGGCCTTCGTTGGAAACGGGATTTCTTCATGTAATGCTAGACAGAAGAATTCTCAGTCACTTCTTTGTGTTGTGTGTATTCAAGTCACAGAGTTGAACCTTCCTTTACACAGAGCAGTTTTGAAAAACTCTTTCTGTGGAATTTGCAAGTGGAGATTTCAAGCGATTTGAGGCTAATCTTTGAAATGGAAATATCTTCGTGTAAAAACTACACAGAATCATTCTCAGAAACTGCTTTGTTATGTGTGCGTTCAGCTCACAGAGTTCCACCTTTCTTTTCATAGAGCAGTTTGGAAAGACTCTGTCTGTAAAGTCTGCAAGTGATTACTTGGACCCCTTTGAGGACTTCGTTGGAAGCGGGATTTTTTCATTTACTGCTAGACAGAAGAATTCTCAGTAAATCCTTTGTGTTGTGTGTATTCAACTCACAGAGTGGAACCTTCCTTTATTCAGAGCAGTTTTGAAACACTCTTTTTGTGGAATTTGCAAGTGGAGATTTCAAGCGAATTCACGCCAATCTTAGACATGGAAACATCTTCGTATTAAAAGTACACAGAGTCATTCGCAGAAACTAGTTTGTGATGTGTGCCTTCAACTCACAGAGTTTAACCTTTCTTTTCATAGAGCAGTTTGGAAACACTCTATTTGTAAAGTCTGCAAGTGGATATTTGGACCTCTTTGAGGCCTTCGTTGGAAACGGGATTTCTTCATATAACGCTAGACAGAAGAATTCTCAGTAACTTCTTTGTGTTGTGTGTATTCCACTCACAGAGTTGAACCTTTCTTGAGAGAGAGCAGAGTTGAAACACTCTGTTTGTGGAATTTGCTAGTGCAGATTTCAAACGCTTCGAAGACAGTGATAGAAAAGGATATATACTTCGTATTAAAACTAGACAAAATCATTCTCAGAAAACACTTTGTGATGTGTGTGTTCAACTCACAGAGTTTAACCTTTCTTTAATCGAGCAGTTTGGAAATACACTCTTTGTAAGTCTGCAGCTGGATAATTGTCCCTCTATGAGCCCTTCGTTGGAAACGGGATTTCCTCTTATAATGCTAGACAGAAGAATTCTCAGTAACTTCTTTGTGTTGTTTGTACTCAACTCACAGATTTGAACCTTCCTTTAGAGAGAGCAGATTTGAAACACTCTGTTTTTGGAATTTGCAAGTGCAGATTACAAGCGCTTCTAGGCCTATGGCAGAAAAGGAAATATCTTCGTATAAAAACTACACAGAATCATTCTCAACAACTACTTTGTGATGTGTGCGTTCAACTCACAGAGTTTAACCTTTCTTTTCATAGAGCAGTTTGGAAACACTCTGTTTGTAAAGTCTGCAGGTGCTTATTTGGACTTCTTTGAGGCCTTCGTTGGAAACGGGATTTCTTCATGTAATGCTAGACAGAAGAATTCTCAGTCACTTCTTTGTGTTGTGTGTATTCAAGTCACAGAGTTGAACCTTCCTTTACACAGAGCAGTTTTGAAAAACTCTTTCTGTGGAATTTGCAAGTGGAGATTTCAAGCGATTTGAGGCTAATCTTTGAAATGGAAATAGCTTCGTGTAAAAACTACACAGAATCATTCTCAGAAACTTCTTTGTTATGTGTGCGTTCAGCTCACAGAGTTCCACCTTTCTTTTCATAGAGCAGTTTGGAAAGACTCTGTCTGTAAAGTCTGCAAGTGATTACTTGGACCCCTTTGAGGACTTCGTTGGAAGCGGGATTTTTTCATTTACTGCTAGACAGAAGAATTCTCAGTAAATCCTTTGTGTTGTGTGTATTCAACTCACAGAGTGGAACCTTCCTTTATTCAGAGCAGTTTTGAAACACTCTTTTTGTGGAATTTGCAAGTGGAGATTTCAAGCGAATTCACGCCAATCTTAGACATGGAAACATCTTCGTATTAAAAGTACACAGAGTCATTCGCAGAAACTAGTTTGTGATGTGTGCCTTCAACTCACGGAGTTTAACCTTTCTTTTCATAGAGCAGTTTGGAAACACTCTATCTGTAAAGTCTGCAAGTGGATATTTGGACCTCTTTGAGGCCTTCGTTGGAAACGGGATTTCTTCATATAACGCTAGACAGAAGAATTCTCAGTAACTTCTTTGTGTTGTGTGTATTCAACTCACAGAGTTGAACCTTTCTTGAGAGAGAGCAGAGTTGAAACACTCTTTCTGTGGAATTTGCTAGTGCAGATTTCAAACGCTTCGAAGACAGTGATAGAAAAGGATATATCTTCGTATTGAAACTAGACAAAATCATTCTCAGAAAACACTTTGTGATGTGTGTGTTCAACTCACAGAGTTTAACCTTTCTTTAATCGAGCAGTTTGGAAATACACTCTTTGTAAGTCTGCAGCTGGATAATTGTCCCTCTATGAGCCCTTCGTTGGAAACAGGATTTCCTCTTATAATGCTAGACAGAAGAATTCTCAGTAACTTCTTTGTGTTGTTTGTATTCAACTCACAGATTTGAACCTTCCTTTAGAGAGAGCAGATTTGAAACACTCTGTTTTTGGAATTTGCAAGTGCAGATTACAAGCGCTTCTAGGCCTATGGCAGAAAAGGAAATATCTTCGTATAAAAACTACACAGAATCATTCTCAACAACTACTTTGTGATGTGTGCGTTCAACTCACAGAGTTTAACCTTTCTTTTCATAGAGCAGTTTGGAAACACTCTGTTTGTAAAGTCTGCAGGTGCTTATTTGGACTTCTTTGAGGCCTTCGTTGGAAACGGGATTTCTTCATTTAATGCTAGACAGAAGAATTCTCAGTCACTTCTTTGTGTTGTGTGTATTCAAGTCACAGAGTTGAACCTTCCTTTACACAGAGCAGTTTTGAAAAACTCTTTCTGTGGAATTTGCAAGTGGAGATTTCAAGCGATTTGAGGCTAATCTTTGAAATGGAAATAGCTTCGTGTAAAAACTACACAGAATCATTCTCAGAAACTGCTTTGTTATGTGTGCGTTCAGCTCACAGAGTTCCACCTTTCTTTTCATAGAGAAGTTTGGAAAGACTCTGTCTGCAAAGTCTGCAAGTGATTACTTGGACCCCTTTGAGGACTTCGTTGGAAGCGGGATTTTTTCATTTACTGCTAGACAGAAGAATTCTCAGTAAATCCTTTGTGTTGTGTGTATTCAACTCACAGAGTGGAACCTTCCTTTATTCAGAGCACTTTTGAAACACTCTTTTTGTGGAATTTGCAAGTGGAGATTTCAAGCGAATTCACGCCAATCTTAGACATGGAAACATCTTCGTATTAAAAGTACACAGAGTCATTCGCAGAAACTAGTTTGTGATGTGTGCCTTCAACTCACGGAGTTTAACCTTTCTTTTCATAGAGCAGTTTGGAAACACTCTATTTGTAAAGTCTGCAAGTGGATATTTGGACCTCTTTGAGGCCTTCGTTGGAAACGGGATTTCTTCATATAACGCTAGACAGAAGAATTCTCAGTAACTTCTTTGTGTTGTGTGTATTCAACTCACAGAGTTGAACCTTTCTTGAGAGAGAGCAGAGTTGAAACACTCTTTCTGTGGAATTTGCTAGTGCAGATTTCAAACGCTTCGAAGACAGTGATAGAAAAGGATATATCTTCGTATTAAAACTAGACAAAATCATTCTCAGAAAACACTTTGTGATGTGTGTGTTCAACTCACAGAGTTTAACCTTTCTTTAATCGAGCAGTTTGGAAATACACTCTTTGTAAGTCTGCAGCTGGATAATTGTCCCTCTATGAGCCCTTCGTTGGAAACAGGATTTCCTCTTATAATGCTAGACAGAAGAATTCTCAGTAACTTCTTTGTGTTGTTTGTATTCAACTCACAGATTTGAACCTTCCTTTAGAGAGAGCAGATTTGAAACACTCTGTTTTTGGAATTTGCAAGTGCAGATTTCAAGCGCTTCTAGGCCTATGGCAGAAAAGGAAATATCTTCGTATAAAAACTACACAGAATCATTCTCAACAACTACTTTGTGATGTGTGCGTTCAACTCACAGAGTTAACCTTTCTTTTCATAGAGCAGTTTGGAAACACTCTGTTTGTAAAGTCTGCAGGTGCTTATTTGGACTTCTTTGAGGCCTTCGTTGGAAACGGGATTTCTTCATGTAATGCTAGACAGAAGAATTCTCAGTCACTTCTTTGTGTTGTGTGTATTCAAGTCACAGAGTTGAACCTTCCTTTACACAGAGCAGTTTTGAAAAACTCTTTCTGTGGAATTTGCAAGTGGAGATTTCAAGCGATTTGAGGCTAATCTTTGAAATGGAAATAGCTTCGTGTAAAAACTACACAGAATCATTCTCAGAAACTGCTTTGTTATGTGTGCGTTCAGCTCACAGAGTTCCACCTTTCTTTTCATAGAGCAGTTTGGAAAGACTCTGTCTGTAAAGTCTGCAAGTGATTACTTGGACCCCTTTGAGGACTTCGTTGGAAGCGGGATTTTTTCATTTACTGCTAGACAGAAGAATTCTCAGTAAATCCTTTGTGTTGTGTGTATTCAACTCACAGAGTGGAACCTTCCTTTATTCAGAGCAGTTTTGAAACACTCTTTTTGTGGAATTTGCAAGTGGAGATTTCAAGCGAATTCACGCCAATCTTAGACATGGAAACAACTTCGTATTAAAAGTACACAGAGTCATTCGCAGAAACTAGCTTGTGATGTGTGCCTTCAACTCACGGAGTTTAACCTTTCTTTTCATAGAGCAGTTTGGAAACACTCTATTTGTAAAGTCTGCAAGTGGATATTTGGACCTCTTTGAGGCCTTCGTTGGAAACGGGATTTCTTCATATAACGCTAGACAGAAGAATTCTCAGTAACTTCTTTGTGTTGTGTGTATTCAACTCACAGAGTTGAACCTTTCTTGAGAGAGAGCAGAGTTGAAACACTCTTTCTGTGGAATTTCCTAGTGCAGATTTCAAACGCTTCGAAGACAGTGATAGAAAAGGATATATCTTCGTATTAAAACTAGACAAAATCATTCTCAGAAAACACTTTGTGATGTGTGTGTTCAACTCACAGAGTTTAACCTTTCTTTAATCGAGCAGTTTCGAAAAACACTCTTTGTAAGTCTGCAGCTGGATAATTGTCCCTCTATGAGCCCTTCGTTGGAAACGGGATTTCCTCTTATAATGCTAGACAGAAGAATTCTCAGTAACTTCTTTGTGTTGTTTGTATTCAACTCACAGATTTGAACCTTCCTTTAGAGAGAGCAGATTTGAAACACTCTGTTTTTGGAATTTGCAAGTGCAGATTACAAGCGCTTCTAGGCCTATGGCAGAAAAGGAAATATCTTCGTATAAAAACTACACAGAATCATTCTCAACAACTACTTTGTGATGTGTGCGTTCAACTCACAGAGTTTAACCTTTCTTTTCATAGAGCAGTTTGGAAACACTCTGTTTGTAAAGTCTGCAGGTGCTTATTTGGACTTCTTTGAGGCCTTCGTTGGAAACGGGATTTCTTCATGTAATGCTAGACAGAAGAATTCTCAGTCACTTCTTTGTGTTGTGTGTATTCAAGTCACAGAGTTGAACCATCCTTTACACAGAGCAGTTTTGAAAAACTCTTTCTGTGGAATTTGCAAGTGGAGATTTCAAGCGATTTGAGGCTAATCTTTGAAATGGAAATAGCTTCGTGTAAAAACTACACAGAATCATTCTCAGAAACTTCTTTGTTATGTGTGCGTTCAGCTCACAGAGTTCCACCTTTCTTTTCATAGAGCAGTTTGGAAAGACTCTGTCTGTAAAGTCTGCAAGTGATTACTTGGACCCCTTTGAGGACTTCGTTGGAAGCGGGATTTTTTCATTTACTGCTAGACAGAAGAATTCTCAGTAAATCCTTTGTGTTGTGTGTATTCAACTCACAGAGTGGAACCTTCCTGTATTCAGAGCAGTTTTGAAACACTCTTTTTGTGGAATTTGCAAGTGGAGATTTCAAGCGAATTCACGCCAATCTTAGACATGGAAACATCTTCGTATTAAAAGTACACAGAGTCATTCGCAGAAACTAGTTTGTGATGTGTGCCTTCAACTCACGGAGTTTAACCTTTCTTTTCATAGAGCAGTTTGGAAACACTCTATCTGTAAAGTCTGCAAGTGGATATTTGGACCTCTTTGAGGCCTTCGTTGGAAACGGGATTTCTTCATATAACGCTAGACAGAAGAATTCTCAGTAACTTCTTTGTGTTGTGTGTATTCAACTCACAGAGTTGAACCTTTCTTGAGAGAGAGCAGAGTTGAAACACTCTTTCTGTGGAATTTGCTAGTGCAGATTTCAAACGCTTCGAAGACAGTGATAGAAAAGGATATATCTTCGTATTAAAACTAGACAAAATCATTCTCAGAAAACACTTTGTGATGTGTGTGTTCAACTCACAGAGTTTAACCTTTCTTTAATCGAGCAGTTTGGAAATACACTCTTTGTAAGTCTGCAGCTGGATAATTGTCCCTCTATGAGCCCTTCGTTGGAAACGGGATTTCCTCTTATAATGCTAGACAGAAGAATTCACAGTAACTTCTTTGTGTTGTTTGTATTCAACTCACAGATTTGAACCTTCCTTTAGAGAGAGCAGATTTGAAACACTCTGTTTTTGGAATTTGCAAGTGTAGATTACAAGCGATTCTAGGCCTATGGCAGAAAAGGAAATATCTTCGTATAAAAACTACACAGAATCATTCTCAACAACTACTTTGTGATGTGTGCGTTCAACTCACAGAGTTTAACCTTTCTTTTCATAGAGCAGTTTGGAAACACTCTGTTTGTAAAGTCTGCAGGTGCTTATTTGGACTTCTTTGAGGCCTTCGTTGGAAACGGGATTTCTTCATGTAATGCTAGACAGAAGAATTCTCAGTCACTTCTTTGTGTTGTGTGTATTCAAGTCACAGAGTTGAACCTTCCTTTACACAGAGCAGTTTTGAAAAACTCTTTCTGTGGAATTTGCAAGTGGAGATTTCAAGCGATTTGAGGCTAATCTTTGAAATGGAAATAGCTTCGTGTAAAAACCACACAGAATCATTCTCAGAAACTGCTTTGTTATGTGTGCGTTCAGCTCACAGAGTTCCACCTTTCTTTTCATAGAGCAGTTTGGAAAGACTCTGTCTGTAAAGTCTGCAAGTGATTACTTGGACCCCTTTGAGGACTTCGTTGGAAGCGGGATTTTTTCATTTACTGCTAGACAGAAGAATTCTCAGTAAATCCTTTGTGTTGTGTGTATTCAACTCACAGAGTGGAACCTTTCTCTATTCAGAGCAGTTTTGAAACATTCTTTTTGTGGAATTTGCAGGTGGAGATTTCAAGCGAATTTACGCCAATCTTAGACATGGAAACATCTTCGTATTAAAAGTACACAGAGTCATTCGCAGAAACTAGTTTGTGATGTGTGCCTTCAACTCACGGAGTTTAACCTTTCTTTTCATAGAGCAGTTTGGAAACACTCTATTTGTAAAGTCTGCAAGTGGATATTTGGACCTCTTTGAGGCCTTCGTTGGAAACGGGATTTCTTCATATAACGCTAGACAGAAGAATTCTCAGTAACTTCTTTGTGTTGTGTGTATTCCACTCACAGAGTTGAACCTTTCTTGAGAGAGAGCAGAGTTGAAACACTCTGTTTGTGGAATTTGCTAGTGCAGATTTCAAACGCTTCGAAGACAGTGATAGAAAAGGATATATCTTCGTATTAAAACTAGACAAAATCATTCTCAGAAAACACTTTGTGATGTGTGTGTTCAACTCACAGAGTTTAACCTTTCTTTAATCGAGCAGTTTGGAAATACACTCTTTGTAAGTCTGCAGCTGGATAATTGTCCCTCTATGAGCCCTTCGTTGGAAACGGGATTTCCTCATATAATGCTAGACAGAAGAATTCTCAGTAACTTCTTTGTGTTGTTTGTATTCAACTCACAGATTTGAACCTTCCTTTGGAGAGAGCAGATTTGAAACACTCTGTTTTTGGAATTTGCAAGTGCAGATTGCAAGCGCTTCTAGGCCTATGGCAGAAAAGGAAATATCTTCGTATAAAAACTACACAGAATCATTCTCAACAACTACTTTGTGATGTGTGCGTTCAACTCACAGAGTTTAACCTTTCTTTTCATAGAGCAGTTTGGAAACACTCTGTTTGTAAAGTCTGCAGGTGCTTATTTGGACTTCTTTGAGGCCTTCGTTGGAAACGGGATTTCTTCATATAATGCTAGACAGAAGAATTCTCAGTCACTTCTTTGTGTTGTGTGGATTCAAGTCACAGAGTTGAACCTTCCTTTACACAGAGCAGTTTTGAAAAACTCTTTCTGTGGAATTTGCAAGTGGAGATTTCAAGCGATTTGAGGCTAATCTTTGAAATGGAAATATCTTCGTGTAAAAACTACACAGAATCATTCTCAGAAACTGCTTTGTTATGTGTGCGTTCAGCTCACAGAGTTCCACCTTTCTTTTCATAGAGCAGTTTGGAAAGACTCTGTCTGTAAAGTCTGCAAGTGATTACTTGGACCCCTTTGAGGACTTCGTTGGAAGCGGGATTTTTTCATTTACTGCTAGACAGAAGAATTCTCAGTAAATCCTTTGTGTTGTGTGTATTCAACTCACAGAGTGGAACCTTCCTTTATTCAGAGCAGTTTTGAAACACTCTTTTTGTGGAATTTGCAAGTGGAGATTTCAAGCGAATTCACGCCAATCTTAGACATGGAAACATCTTCGTATTAAAAGTACACAGAGTCATTCGCAGAAACTAGTTTGTGATGTGTGCCTTCAACTCACGGAGTTTAACCTTTCTTTTCATAGAGCAGTTTGGAAACACTCTATTTGTAAAGTCTGCAAGTGGATATTTGGACCTCTTTGAGGTCTTCGTTGGAAACGGGATTTCTTCATATAACGCTAGACAGAAGAATTCTCAGTAACTTCTTTGTGTTGTGTGTATTCCACTCACAGAGTTGAACCTTTCTTGAGAGAGAGCAGAGTTGAAACACTCTGTTTGTGGAATTTGCTAGTGCAGATTTCAAACGCTTCGAAGACAGTGATAGAAAAGGATATATCTTCGTATTAAAACTAGACAAAATCATTCTCAGAAAACACTTTGTGATGTGTGTGTTCAACTCACAGAGTTTAACCTTTCTTTAATCGAGCAGTTTGGAAATACACTCTTTGTAAGTCTGCAGCTGGATAATTGTCCCTCTATGAGCCCTTCGTTGGAAACGGGATTTCCTCATATAATGCTAGACAGAAGAATTCTCAGTAACTTCTTTGTGTTGTTTGTATTCAACTCACAGATTTGAACCTTCCTTTAGAGAGAGCAGATTTGAAACACTCTGGTTTTGGAATTTGCAAGTGCAGATTACAAGCGCTTCTAGGCCTATGGCAGAAAAGGAAATATCTTCGTATAAAAACTACACAGAATCATTCTCAACAACTACTTTGTGATGTGTGCGTTCAACTCACAGAGTTTAACCTTTCTTTTCATAGAGCAGTTTGGAAACACTCTGTTTGTAAAGTCTGCAGGTGCTTATTTGGACTTCTTTGAGGCCTTCGTTGGAAACGGGATTTCTTCATATAATGCTAGACAGAAGAATTCTCAGTAACTTCTTTGTGTTGTGTGTATTCCACTCACAGAGTTGAACCTTTCTTGAGAGAGAGCAGAGTTGAAACACTCTGTTTGTGGAATTTGCTAGTGCAGATTTCAAACGCTTCGAAGACAGTGATAGAAAAGGATATATCTTCGTATTAAAACTAGACAAAATCATTCTCAGAAAACACTTTGTGATGTGTGTGTTCAACTCACAGAGTTTAACCTTTCTTTAATCGAGCAGTTTGGAAATACACTCTTTGTAAGTCTGCAGCTGGATAATTGTCCCTCTATGAGCCCTTCGTTGGAAACGGGATTTCCTCTTATAATGCTAGACAGAAGAATTCTCAGTAACTTCTTTGTGTTGTTTGTATTCAACTCACAGATTTGAACCTTCCTTTAGAGAGAGCAGATTTGAAACACTCTGTTTTTGGAATTTGCAAGTGCAGATTACAAGCCCTTCTAGGCCTATGGCAGAAAAGGAAATATCTTCGTATAAAAACTACACAGAATCATTCTCAACAACTACTTTGTGATGTGTGCGTTCAACTCACAGAGTTTAACCTTTCTTTTCATAGAGCAGTTTGGAAACACTCTGTTTGTAAAGTCTGCAGGTGCTTATTTGGACTTCTTTGAGGCCTTCGTTGGAAACGGGATTTCTTCATATAATGCTAGACAGAAGAATTCTCAGTCACTTCTTTGTGTTGTGTGTATTCAAGTCCCAGAGTTGAACCTTCCTTTACACAGAGCAGTTTTGAAAAACTCTTTCTGTGGAATTTGCAAGTGGAGATTTCAAGCGATTTGAGGCTAATCTTTGAAATGGAAATATCTTCGTGTAAAAACTACACAGAATCATTGTCAGAAACTGCTTTGTTATGTGTGCGTTCAGCTCACAGAGTTCCACCTTTGTTTTCATAGAGCAGTTTGGAAAGACTCTGTCTGTAAAGTCTGCAAGTGATTACTTGGACCCCTTTGAGGACTTCGTTGGAAGCGGGATTTTTTCATTTACTGCCAGACAGAAGAATTCTCAGTAAATCCTTTGTGTTGTGTGTATTCAACTCACAGAGTGGAACCTTCCTTTATTCAGAGCAGTTTTGAAACACTCTTTTTGTGGAATTTGCAAGTGGAGATTTCAAGCGAATTCACGCCAATCTTAGACATGGAAACATCTTCGTATTAAAAGTACACAGAGTCATTCGCAGAAACTAGTTTGTGATGTGTGCCTTCAACTCACGGAGTTTAACCTTTCTTTTCATAGAGCAGTTTGGAAACACTCTATTTGTAAAGTCTGCAAGTGGATATTTGGACGTCTTTGAGGCCTTCGTTGGAAACGGGATTTCTTCATATAACGCTAGACAGAAGAATTCTCAGTAACTTCTTTGTGTTGTGTGTATTCCACTCACAGAGTTGAACCTTTCTTGAGAGAGAGCAGAGTTGAAACACTCTGTTTGTGGAATTTGCTAGTGCAGATTTCAAACGCTTCGAAGACAGTGATAGAAAAGGATATATCTTCGTATTAAAACTAGACAAAATCATTCTCAGAAAACACTTTGTGATGTGTGTGTTCAACTCACAGAGTTTAACCTTTCTTTAATCGAGCAGTTTGGAAATACACTCTTTGTAAGTCTGCAGCTGGATAATTGTCCCTCTATGAGCCCTTCGTTGGAAACGGGATTTCCTCATATAATGCTAGACAGAAGTATTCTCAGTAACTTCTTTGTGTTGTTTGTATTCAACTCACAGATTTGAAACTTCCTTTAGAGGGAGCAGATTTGAAACACTCTGTTTTTGGAATTTGCAAATGCAGATTGCAAGCGCTTCTAGGCCTATGGCAGAAAAGGAAATATCTTCGTATAAAAACTACACAGAATCATTCTCAACAACTACTTTGTGATGTGTGCGTTCAACTCACAGAGTTTAACCTTTCTTTTCATAGAGCAGTTTGGAAACACTCTGTTTGTAAAGTCTGCAGGTGCTTATTTGGACTTCTTTGAGGCCTTCGTTGGAAACGGGATTTCTTCATATAATGCTAGACAGAAGAATTCTCAGTCACTTCTTTGTGTTGTGTGTATTCAAGTCACAGAGTTGAACCTTCCTTTACACAGAGCAGTTTTGAAAAACTCTTTCTGTGGAATTTGCAAGTGGAGATTTCAAGCGATTTGAGGCTAATCTTTGAAATGGAA
The DNA here is from genome assembly GCF_000001405.40 of Homo sapiens. Classification (NCBI taxonomy): domain Eukaryota; kingdom Metazoa; phylum Chordata; class Mammalia; order Primates; family Hominidae; genus Homo; species Homo sapiens. Next base: position 40,125,743 of record NC_000010.11, read on the forward strand.
ATATCTTCGTGTAAAAACTACACAGAATCATTCTCAGAAACTGCTTTGTTATGTGTGCGTTCAGCTCACAGAGTTCCACCTTTCTTTTCATAGAGCAGTTTGGAAAGACTCTGTCTGTAAAGTCTGCAAGTGATTACTTGGACCCCTTTGAGGACTTCGTTGGAAGCGGGATTTTTTCATTTACTGCTAGACAGAAGAATTCTCAGTAAATCCTTTGTGTTGTGTGTATTCAACTCACAGAGTGGAACCTTCCTTTATTCAGAGCAGTTTTGAAACACTCTTTTTGTGGAATTTGCAAGTGGAGATTTCAAGCGAATTCACGCCAATCTTAGACATGGAAACATCTTCGTATTAAAAGTACACAGAGTCATTCGCAGAAACTAGTTTGTGATGTGTGCCTTCAACTCACGGAGTTTAACCTTTCTTTTCATAGAGCAGTTTGGAAACACTCTATTTGTAAAGTCTGCAAGTGGATATTTGGACCTCTTTGAGGCCTTCGTTGGAAACAGGATTTCTTCATATAACGCTAGACAGAAGAATTCTCAGTAACTTCTTTGTGTTGTGTGCATTTCACTCACAGAGTTGAACCTTTCTTGAGAGAGAGCAGAGTTGAAACACTCTGTTTGTGGAATTTGCTAGTGCAGATTTCAAACGCTTCGAAGACAGTGATAGAAAAGGATATATCTTCGTATTAAAACTAGACAAAATCATTCTCAGAAAACACTTTGTGATGTGTGTGTTCAACTCACAGAGTTTAACCTTTCTTTAATCGAGCAGTTTGGAAATACACTCTTTGTAAGTCTGCAGCTGGATAATTGTCCCTCTATGAGCCCTTCGTTGGAAACGGGATTTCCTCTTATAATGCTAGACAGAAGAATTCTCAGTAACTTCTTTGTGTTGTTTGTATTCAACTCACAGATTTGAACCTTCCTTTAGAGAGAGCAGATTTGAAACACTCTGTTTTTGGAATTTGCAAGTGCAGATTACAAGCGCTTCTAGGCCTATGGCAGAAAAGGAAATATCTTCGTATAAAAACTACACAGAATCATTCTCAACAACTACTTTGTGATGTGTGCGTTCAACTCACAGAGTTTAACCTTTCTTTTCATAGAGCAGTTTGGAAACACTCTGTTTGTAAAGTCTGCAGGTGCTTATTTGGACTTCTTTGAGGCCTTCGTTGGAAACGGGATTTCTTCATATAATGCTAGACAGAAGAATTCTCAGTCACTTCTTTGTGTTGTGTGTATTCAAGTCACAGAGTTGAACCTTCCTTTACACAGAGCAGTTTTGAAAAACTCTTTCTGTGGAATTTGCAAGTGGAGATTTCAAGCGATTTGAGGCTAATCTTTGAAATGGAAATATCTTCGTGTAAAAACTACACAGAATCATTCTCAGAAACTGCTTTGTTATGTGTGCGTTCAGCTCACAGAGTTCCACCTTTCTTTTCATAGAGCAGTTTGGAAAGACTCTGTCTGTAAAGTCTGCAAGTGATTACTTGGACCCCTTTGAGGACATCGTTGGAAGCGGGATTTTTTCATTTACTGCTAGACAGAAGAATTCTCAGTAAATCCTTTGTGTTGTGTGTATTCAACTCACAGAGTGGAACCTTCCTTTATTCAGAGCAGTTTTGAAACACTCTTTTTGTGGAATTTGCAAGTGGAGGATTTCAAGCGAATTCACGCCAATCTTAGACATGGAAACATCTTCGTATTAAAAGTACACAGAAGTCATTCGTAGAAACTAGTTTGTGATGTGTGCCTTCAACTCACAGAGTTTAACCTTTCTTTTCATAGAGCAGTTTGGAAACACTCTATTTGTAAAGTCTGCAAGTGGATATTTGGACCTCTTTGAGGCCTTCGTTGGAAACGGGATTTCTTCATATAACGCTAGACAGAAGAATTCTCAGTAACTTCTTTGTGTTGTGTGTATTCAACTCACCGAGTTGAACCTTTCTTTAGAGAGAGCAGAGTTGAAACACTCTTCTTGTGGAATTTGCTAGTGCAGATTTCAAACGCTTCGAAGACAGTGATAGAAAAGGATATCTCTTCGTATTAAAACTAGACAAAAATCATTCTCAACAACTACTTTGTGATGTGTGCGTTCAACTCACAGAGTTTAAACTTTCTTTTCATAGAGCAGTTTGGAAACACTCTGTTTGTAAAGCCTGCAAGTGCTTTTTTGGACTTCATTGAGGCCTTCGTTGGAAACGGGATTTCTTCATATAATGCTAGACAGAAGAATTCTCAGTCACTTCTTTGTGTTGTGTGTATTCAAGTCACAGAGTTGAACCTTCCTTTAGAAAGAGCAGTTTTGAAAAATTCTTTCTGTGGAGTTTGCAAGTGGAGATTTCAAGCGATTTGAGGCTAATCTTTGAAATGGAAATATCTTCGTGTAAAAACTACACAGAATCATTCTCAGAAACTGCTTTGTCATCTGTGCGTTCAGTTCACAGAGTTTCACCTTTCTCTTCATAGAGCAGTTTGGAAAGACTCTGTCTGTAAAGTCTGCAAGTGATTAGTTAGACCCCTTTGAGGCCTTCGTTGGAAGCGGGATTCCTCATTTACTGCTAGACAGAAGAATTCTCAGTAAATCCTTTGTGTTGTGTGTATTCAACTCACAGAGTGGAACCTTCCTTTATTCAGAGCAGTTTTGAAAAACACTTTTTGTGGAATTTGCAAGTGGAGATTTCAAGCGATTTGACGCCAATCTTAGACATGGAAATATCTTCATATTAAAAGTACACAGAGTCATTCGTAGAAACTAGTTTGTGATGTGTGCCTTCAACTCACAGAGTTTAACCTTTCTTTTCATAGAGCAGTTTGGAAACACTCTATTTGTAAAGTCTGCAAGTGGATATTTGGACCTCTTTGAGGCCTTCGTTGGAAACGGGATTTCTTCATACAACGCTAGACAGAAGAATTCTCAGTAACTTCTTTGTGTTGTGTGTATTCAACTCACAGAGTTGAACCTTTCTTTAGAGAGAGCAGAGTTGAAACACTCTGTTTTTGGAATTTGCAACTGCAGATTTCAAGCGATTCTAGGCCTATGGCAGAAAAGGAAATATCTTCGTATAAAAACTACACAGAATCATTCTCAACAACTACTTTGTGATGTGTGCGTTCAACTCACAGAGTTTAACCTTTCTTTTCATAGAGCAGTTTGGAAACACTCTGTTTGTAAAGCCTGCAAGTGCTTTTTTGGACTTCATTGAGGCCTTCGTTGGAAACGGGATTTCTTCATATAATGCTAGACAGAAGAATTCTCAGTCACTTCTTTGTGTTGTGTGTATTCAAGTCACAGAGTTGAACCTTCCTTTAGACAGAGCAGTTTTGAAAAATTCTTTCTGTGTAATTTGCAAGTGGAGATTTCAAGCGATTTGAGGCTAATCTTTGAAATGGAAATATCTTCGTGTAAAAACTACACAGAATCATTCTCAGAAACTGCTTTGTCATCTGTGCGTTCAGTTCACAGAGTTTCACCTTTCTCTTCATACAGCAGTTTGGAAAGACTCTGTCTGTAAAGTCTGCAAGTGATTAGTTAGACCCCTTTGAGGCCTTCGTTGGAAGCGGGATTTCTCATTTACTGCTAGACAGAAGAATTCTCAGTAAATCCTTTGTGTTGTGTGTATTCAACTCACAGAGTGGAACCTTCCTTTATTCAGAGCAGTTTTCAAACACTCTTTTTGTGGAATTTGCAAGTGGAGATTTCAAGCGATTTGACGCCAATCTTAGACATGGAAATATCTTCATATTAAAAGTACACAGAGTCATTCGTAGAAACTAGTTTGTGATGTGTGCCTTCAACTCACAGAGTTTAACCTTTCTTTTCATAGAGCAGTTGGGAAACACTCTATTTGTAAAGTCTTCAAGTGGATATTTGGACCTCTTTGAGGCCTTCGTTGGAAACGGGATTTCTTCATATAACGCTAGACAGAAGAATTCTCAGTAACTTCTTTGTGTTGTTTGTATTCAACTCACAGATTTGAACCTTCCTTTAGAGAGAGCAGTTTTGAATCACTCTGTTTTTGGAATTTGCAAGTGCAGATTTCAAGCGCTTCTGGGCCTATGGCAGAAAAGGAAATATCTTCGTATAAAAACTACACAGAGTCATTCATAAAAACTAGTTTGTGATGTGTGCCTTCAACTCACAGAGTTTAACGTTTCTTTTCATAGAGCAGTTTGGAAACACTCTATTTGTAACGTCTGCAAGTGGATATTTGGACCTCTTTGAGGCCTTCGTTGGAAACGGGATTTCTTCATACAACGCTAGACAGAAGAATTCTCAGTAACTTCTTTGTGTTGTGTGTATTCAACTCACAGAGTTGAACCTTTCTTTAGAGAGAGCAGAGTTGAAACACTCTGTTTTTGGAATTTGCAAGTGCATATATCAAGCGGTTCTAGGCCTATGGCAGAAAAGGAAATATCTTCGTATAAAAACTACACAGAAATCATTCTCAACAACTACTTTGTGATGTGTGCGTTCAACTCACAGAGTTTAACCTTTCTTTTCATAGAGCAGTTTGGAAACACTCTGTTTGTAAAGTCTGCAGGTGCTTATTTGGACTTCTTTGAGGCCTTCGTTGGAAACGGGATTTCTTCATGTAATGCTAGACAGAAGAATTCTCAGTCACTTCTTTGTGTTGTGTGTATTCAAGTCACAGAGTTGAACCTTCCTTTAGACAGAGCAGTTTTGAAAAATTCTTTCTGTGGAGTTTGCAAGTGGAGATTTCAAGCGATTTGAGGCTAATCTTTGAAATGGAAATATCTTCGTGTAAAAACTACACAGAATCATTCTCAGAAACTGCTTTGTTATGTGTGCGTTCAGCTCACAGAGTTCCACCTTTCTTTTCATAGAGCAGTTTGGAAAGACTCTGTCTGTAAAGTCTGCAAGTGATTACTTGGACCCCTTTGAGGACTTCGTTGGAAGCGGGATTTTTTCATTTACTGCTAGACAGAAGAATTCTCAGTAAATCCTTTGTGTTGTGTGTATTCAACTCACAGAGTGGAACCTTCCTTTATTCAGAGCAGTTTTGAAACACTCTTTTTGTGGAATTTGCAAGTGGAGATTTCAAGCGAATTCACGCCAATCTTAGACATGGAAACATCTTCGTATTAAAAGTACACAGAGTCATTCGCAGAAACTAGTTTGAGATGTGTGCCTTCAACTCACGGAGTTTAACCTTTCTTTTCATAGAGCAGTTTGGAAACACTCTATTTGTAAAGTCTGCAAGTGGATATTTGGACCTCTTTGAGGCCTTCGTTGGAAACGGGATTTCTTCATATAACGCTAGACAGAAGAATTCTCTGTAACTTCTTTGTGTTGTGTGTATTCCACTCACAGAGTTGAACCTTTCTTGAGAGAGAGCAGAGTGGAAACACTCTGTTTGTGGAATTTGCTAGTGCAGATTTCAAACGCTTCGAAGACAGTGATAGAAAAGGATATATCTTCGTATTAAAACTAGACAAAATCATTCTCAGAAAACACTTTGTGATGTGTGTGTTCAACTCACAGAGTTTAACCTTTCTTTAATCGAGCAGTTTGGAAATACACTCTTTGTAAGTCTGCAGCTGGATAGTTGTCCCTCTATGAGCCCTTCGTTGGAAACGGGATTTCCTCATATAATGCTAGACAGAAGAATTCTCAGTAACTTCTTTGTGTTGTTTATATTCAACTCACAGATTTGAACCTTCCTATAGAGAGAGCAGATTTGAAACACTCTGTTTTTGGAATTTGCAAGTGCAGATTTCAAGCACTTCTAGGCCTATGGCAGAAAAGGAAATATCTTCGTATAAAAACTACACGGAATCATTCTCAACAACTACTTTGTGATGTGTGCGTTCAACTCACAGAGTTTAACCTTTCTTTTCATAGAGCAGTTTGGAAACACCCTGTTTGTAAAGTCTGCAGGTGCTTATTTGGACTTCTTTGAGGCCTTCGTTGGAAACGGGATTTCTTCATATAATGCTAGACAGAAGAATTCTCAGTCACTTCTTTGTGTTGTGTGTATTCAAGTCACAGAGTTGAACCTTCCTTTACACAGAGCAGTTTTGAAAAACTCTTTCTGTGGAATTTGCAAGTGGAGATTTCAAGCGATTTGAGGCTAATCTTTGAAATGGAAATATCTTCGTGTAAAAACTACACAGAATCATTGTCAGAAACTGCTTTGTTATGTGTGCGTTCAGCTCACAGAGTTCCACCTTTCTTTTCATAGAGCAGTTTGGAAAGACTCTGTAAAGTCTGCAAGTGATTACTTGGACCCCTTTGAGGACTTCATTGGAAGCGGGATTTTTTCATTTACTGCTAGACAGAAGAATTCTCAGTAAATCCTTCGTGTTGTGTGATTTCAACTCACAGAGTGGAACCTTCCTTTATTCAGAGCAGTTTTGAAACACTCTTTTTGTGGAATTTGCAAGTGCAGATTTCAAGCGAATTCACGCCAATCTTAGACATGGAAACATCTTCGTATTAAAAGTACACAGAGTCATTCGCAGAAACTAGTTTGTGATGTGTGCCTTCAACTCACAGAGTTTAACCTTTCTTTTCATAGAGCAGTTTGGAAACACTCTATTTGTAAAGTCTGCAAGTGGATATTTGGACCTCTTTGAGGCCTTCGTTGGAAACGGGATTTCTTCATATAACGCTAGACAGAAGAATTCTCAGTAACTTCTTTGTGTTGTGTGTATTCCACTCACAGAGTTGAACCTTTCTTGAGAGAGAGCAGAGTTGAAACACTCTGTTTGTGGAATTTGCTAGTGCAGATTTCAAACGCTTCGAAGACAGTGATAGAAAAGGATATATCTTCGTATTAAAACTAGACAAAATCATTCTCAGAAAACACTTTGTGATGTGTGTGTTCAACTCACAGAGTTTAACCTTTCTTTAATCGAGCAGTTTGGAAATACACTCTTTGTAAGTCTGCAGCTGGATAATTGTCCCTCTATGAGCCCTTCGTTGGAAACGGGATTTCCTCTTATAATGCTAGACAGAAGAATTCTCAGTAACTTCTTTGTGTTGTTTGTATTCAACTCACAGATTTGAACCTTCCTTTAGAGAGAGCAGATTTGAAACACTCTGGTTTTGGAATTTGCAAGTGCAGATTACAAGCGCTTCTAGGCCTATGGCAGAAAAGGTAATATCTTCGTATAAAAACTACACAGAATCATTCTCAACAACTACTTTGTGATGTGTGCGTTCAAATCACAGAGTTTAACCTTTCTTTTCATAGAGCAGTTTGGAAACACTCTGTTTGTAAAGTCTGCAGGTGCTTATTTGGACTTCTTTGAGGCCTTCGTTGGAAACGGGATTTCTTCATATAATGCTAGACAGAAGAATTCTCAGTCACTTCTTTGTGTTGTGTGTATTCAAGTCACAGAGTTGAACCTTCCTTTACACAGAGCAGTTTTGAAAAACTCTCTCTGTGGAATTTGCAAGTGGAGATTTCAAGCGATTTGAGGCTAATCTTTGAAATGGAAATATCTTCGTGTAAAAACTACACAGAATCATTCTCAGAAACTGCTTTGTTATGTGTGCGTTCAGCTCACAGAGTTCCACCTTTCTTTTCATAGAGCAGTTTGGAAAGACTCTGTCTGTAAAGTCTGCAAGTGATTACTTGGACCCCTTTGAGGACTTCGTTGGAAGCGGGATTTTTTCATTTACTGCTAGACAGAAGAATTCTCAGTAAATCCTTTGTGTTGTGTGTATTCAACTCACAGAGTGGAACCTTCCTTTATTCAGAGCAGTTTTGAAACACTCCTTTGTGGAATTTGCAAGTGGAGATTTCAAGCGAATTCACGCCAATCTTAGACATGGAAACATCTTCGTATTAAAAGTACACAGAGTCATTCGCAGAAACTAGTTTGTGATGTGTGCCTTCAACTCACGGAGTTTAACCTTTCTTTTCATAGAGCAGTTTGGAAACACTCTATTTGTAAAGTCTGCAAGTGGATATTTGGACCTCTTTGAGGCCTTCGTTGGAAACGGGATTTCTTCATATAACGCTAGACAGAAGAATTCTCAGTAACTTCTTTGTGTTGTGTGTATTCCACTCACAGAGTTGAACCTTTCTTGAGAGAGAGCAGAGTTGAAACACTCTGTTTGAGGAATTTGCTAGTGCAGATTTCAAACGCTTCGAAGACAGTGATAGAAAAGGATATATCTTCGTATTAAAACTAGACAAAATCATTCTCAGAAAACACCTTGTGATGTGTGTGTTCAACTCACAGAGTTTAACCTTTCTTTAATCGAGCAGTTTGGAAATACACTCTTTGTAAGTCTGCAGCTGGATAATTGTCCCTCTATGAGCCCTTCGTTGGAAACGGGATTTCCTCTTATAATGCTAGAGAGAAGAATTCTCAGTAACTTCTTTGTGTTGTTTGTATTCAACTCACAGATTTGAACCTTCCTTTGGAGAGAGCAGATTTGAAACACTCTGTTTTTGGAATTTGCAAGTGCAGATTGCAAGCGCTTCTAGGCCTATGGCAGAAAAGGAAATATCTTCGTATAAAAACTACACAGAATCATTCTCAACAACTACTTTGTGATGTGTGCGTTCAACTCACAGAGTTTAACCTTTCTTTTCATAGAGCAGTTTGGAAACACTCTGTTTGTAAAGTCTGCAGGTGCTTATTTGGACTTCTTTGAGGCCTTCGTTGGAAACGGGATTTCTTCATATAATGCTAGACAGAAGAATTCTCAGTCACTTCTTTGTGTTGTGTGTATTCAAGTCACAGAGTTGAACCTTCCTTTACACAGAGCAGTTTTGAAAAACTCTTTCTGTGGAATTTGCAAGTGGAGATTTCAAGCGATTTGAGGCTAATCTTTGAAATGGAAATATCTTCGTGTAAAAACTGCACAGAATCATTCTCAGAAACTGCTTTGTCATCTGTGCGTTCAGTTCACAGAGTTTCACCTTTCTCTTCATAGAGCAGTTTGGAAAGACTCTGTCTGTAAAGTCTGCAAGTGATTAGTTAGACCCCTTTGAGGCCTTCGTTGGAAGCGGGATTTCTCATTTACTGCTAGACAGAAGAATTCTCAGTAAAACCTTTGTGTTGTGTGTATTCAACTCACAGAGTGGAACCTTCCTTTATTCAGAGCAGTTTTGAAAAACACTTTTTGTGGAATTTGCAAGTGGAGATTTCAAGCGATTTGACGCCAATCTTAGACATGGAAATATCTTCATATTAAAAGTACACAGAGTCATTCGTAGAAACTAGTTTGTGATGTGTGCCTTCAACTCACAGAGTTTAACATTTCTTTTCATAGAGCAGTTTGGAAACACTCTATTTGTAAAGTCTGCAAGTGGATATTTGGACCTCTTTGAGGCCTTCGTTGGAAACGGGATTTCTTCATACAACGCTAGACAGAAGAATTCTCAGTAACTTCTTTGTGTTGTGTGTATTCAACTCACAGAGTTGAACCTTTCTTTAGAGAGAGCAGAGTTGAAACACTCTGTTTTTGGAATTTGCAAGTGCAGATTTCAAGCGCTTCTAGGCCTATGGCAGAAAAGGAAATATCTTCGTATAAAAACTACACAGAATCATTCTCAACAACTACTTTGTGATGTGTGCGTTCAACTCACAGAGTTTAACCTTTCTTTTCATAGAGCAGTTTGGAAACACTCTGTTTGTAAAGCCTGCAAGTGCTTTTTTGGACTTCATTGAGGCCTTCGTTGGAAACGGGATTTCTTCATATAATGCTAGACAGAAGAATTCTCAGTCACTTCTTTGTGTTGTGTGTATTCAAGTCACAGAGTTGAACCTTCCTTTAGACAGAGCAGTTTTGAAAAATTCTTTCTGTGGAGTTTGCAAGTGGAGATTTCAAGCGATTTGAGGCTAATCTTTGAAATGGAAATATCTTCGTGTAAAAACTACACAGAATCATTCTCAGAAACTGCTTTGTCATCTGTGCGTTCAGTTCACAGAGTTTCACCTTTCTCTTCATAGAGCAGTTTGGAAAGACTCTGTCTGTAAAGTCTGCAAGTGATTAGTTAGACCCCTTTGAGGCCTTCGTTGGAAGCGGGATTTCTCATTTACTGCTAGACAGAAGAATTCTCAGTAAATCCTTTGTGTTGTGTGTATTCAACTCACAGAGTGGAACCTTCCTTTATTCAGAGCAGTTTTGAAAAACACTTTTTGTGGAATTTGCAAGTGGAGATTTCAAGCGATTTGACGCCAATCTTAGACATGGAAATATCTTCATATTAAAAGTACACAGAGTCATTCGTAGAAACTAGTTTGTGATGTGTGCCTTCAACTCACAGAGTTTAACCTTTCTTTTCATAGAGCAGTTGGGAAACACTCTATTTGTAAAGTCTGCAAGTGGATATTTGGACCTCTTTGAGGCCTTCGTTGGAAACGGGATTTCTTCATATAACGCTAGACAGAAGAATTCTCAGTAACTTCTTTGTGTTGTGTGTATTCAACTCACAGGGTTGAACCTTTCTTTAGAGAGAGCAGAGTTGAAACACTCTGTTTTTGGAATTTGCAAGTGCAGATTTCAAGCGATTCTAGGCCTATGGCAGAAAAGGAAATATCTTCGTATAAAAACTACACAGAATCATTCTCAACAACTACTTTGTGATGTGTGCGTTCAACTCACTGAGTTTAACCTTTCTTTTCATAGAGCAGTTTGGAAACACTCTGTTTGTAAAGCCTGCAAGTGCTTTTTTGGACTTCATTGAGGCCTTCGTTGGAAACGGGATTTCTTCATATAATGCTAGACAGAAGAATTCTCAGTCACTTCTTTGTGTTGTGTGTATTCAAGTCACAGAGTTGAACCTTCCTTTAGACAGAGCAGTTTTGAAAAATTCTTTCTGTGTAATTTGCAAGTGGAGATTTCAAGCGATTTGAGGCTAATCTTTGAAATGGAAATATCTTCGTGTAAAAACTACACAGAATCATTCTCAGAAACTGCTTTGTCATCTGTGCGTTCAGTTCACAGAGTTTCACCTTTCTCTTCATAGAGCAGTTTGGAAAGACTCTGTCTGTAAAGTCTGCAAGTGATTAGTTAGACCCCTTTGAGGCCTTCGTTGGAAGCGGGATTTCTCATTTACTGCTAGACAGAAGAATTCTCAGTAAATCCTTTGTGTTGTGTGTATTCAACTCACAGAGTGGAACCTTCCTTTATTCAGAGCAGTTTTGAAACACTCTTTTTGTGGAATTTGCAAGTGGAGATTTCAAGAGATTTGACGCCAATCTTAGACATGGAAATATCTTCATATTAAAAGTACACAGAGTCATTCGCAGAAACTAGTTTGTGATGTGTGCCTTCAACTCACGGAGTTTAACCTTTCTTTTCATAGAGCAGTTTGGAAACACTCTATTTGTAAAGTCTGCAAGTGGATATTTGGACCTCTTTGAGGCCTTCGTTGGAAACGGGGATTTCTTCATATAACGCTAGACAGAAGAATTCTCACTAACTTCTTTGTGTTGTGTGTATTCAACTCACAGAGTTGAACCTTTCTTTAGAGAGAGCAGAGCTGAAACACTCTGTTTTTGGAATTTGCAAGGGGAGATTTCAAGCGATTCTAGGCCTATGGCAGAAAAGGAATTATCTTCGTATAAAAACTACACAGAATCATTCTCAACAACTACTTTGTGATGTGTGCGCTCCACTCACAAAGTTTAACCTTTCTTTTCATAGAGCAGTTTGGAAACACTCTGCTTGTAAAGCCTGCCAGTGCTTTTTCGACTTCATTGAGGCCTTCGTTGGAAACGGGATTTCTTCATATAATGCTAGACAGAAGAATTCTCAGTAAATCCTTTGTGTTGTGTTTATTCAACTCACAGAGTGGAACCTTCCTTTATTCAGAGCAGTTTTGAAACACTCTTTTTGTGGAATTTGCAAGTGGAGATTTCAAGCGATTTGACGCCAATCTTAGACATGGAAATATCTTCATATTAAAAGTACACAGAATCATTCGTAGAAACTAGTTTGTGATGTGTGCCTTCAACTCACAGAGTTTAACCTTTCTTTTCATAGAGCAGTTCGGAAACATTCTATTTGTAAAGTCTGCAAGTGGATATTTGGACCTCTTTGAGGCCTTCGTTGGAAAAGGGATTTCTTCATATAACGCTAGACAGAAGAATTCTCAGTTACTTCTTTGTGTTGTGTGTATTCAACTCACAGAGTTGAACCTTTCTTTAGAGAGAGCAGAGTTGAAACACTCTTTTTGTGGAATTTGCTAGTGCAGATTTCAAACGCTTCGAAGACAGTGATAGAAAAGGATATATCTTCGTATTAAAAGTAGACAAAATCATTCTCAGAAAACTCTTTGTGATGTGTGTGTTCAACTCACAGAGTTTAACCTTTCTTTTCATAGAGCAGTTTGGAAACACTCTGTTTGTAAAGCCTGCAAGTGCTTTTTTGTACTTCATTGAGGCCTTCGTTGGAAACGGGATTTCTTCATACAACGCTAGACAGAAGAATTCTCAGTAACTTCTTTGTGTTGTGTGTATTCAAGTCACAGAGTTGAACCTTCCTTTAGACAGAGCAGTTTTTAAAAATTCTTTCTGTGTAATTTGCAAGTGGAGATTTCAAGCGATTTGAGGCTAATCTTTGAAATGGAAATATCTTCGTGTAAAAACTACACAGAATCATTCTCAGAAACTGCTTTGTCATCTGTGCGTTCAGTTCACAGAGTTTCACCTTTCTCTTCATAGAGCAGTTTGGAAAGACTCTGTCTGTAAAGTCTGCAAGTGATTAGTTAGACCCCTTTAAGGCCTTCGTTGGAAGCGGGATTTCTCATTTACTGCTAGACAGAAGAATTCTCAGTAAATCCTTTGTGTTGTGTGTATTCAACTCACAGAGTGGAACCTTCCTTTATTCAGAGCAGTTTTGAAACACTCTTTTTGTGGAATTTGCAAGTGGAGATTTCAAGCGATTTGACGCCAATCTTAGACATGGAAATATCTTCATATTAAAAGTACACAGAGTCATTCGCAGAAACTAGTTTGTGATGTGTGCCTTCAACTCACAGAGTTTAACCTTTCTTTTCATAGAGCATTTTGGAAACACTCTATTTGTAAAGTCTGCAAGTGGATATTTGGACCTCTTTGAGGCCTTCGTTGGAAACGGGATTTCTTCATGTAACGCTAGACAGAAGAATTCTCAGTAACTTCTTTGTGTTGTGTGTATTCAACTCACAGAGTTGAACCTTTCTTTAGAGGGAGCAGAGGTGAAACACTCTTTTTGTGGAATTTGCTAGTGTAGATTTCAAACGCTTCGAAGACAGTGATAGAAAAGGATATATCTTCGTATTAAAAGTAGACAAAATCATTCTCAGAAAACTCTTTGTGATGTGTGTGTTCAACTCACAGAGTTTAACCTTTCTTTAATCGAGCAGTTTGGAAATACACTCTTTGTAAGTCTGCAGGTGGATAATTGTCCCTCTTTGAGCCCTTCGTTGGAAACGGGATTTCCTCATATAATGCTAGACAGAAGAATTCTCAGTCACTTCTTTGTGTTGTGTGTATTCAAGTCACAGAGTTGAACCTTCCTTTACACAGAGCAGTTTTGAAAAACTCTTTCTGTGGAATTTGCAAGTGGAGATTTCAAGCGATTTGAGGCTAATCTTTGAAATGGAAATAGCTTCGTGTAAAAACTACACAGAATCATTCTCAGAAACTGCTTTGTTATGTGTGCGTTCAGCTCACAGAGTTCCACCTTTGTTTTCATAGAGCAGTTTGGAAAGACTCTGTCTGTAAAGTCTGCAAGTGATTACTTGGACCCCTTTGAGGACTTCGTTGGAAGCGGGATTTTTTCATTTACTGCTAGACAGAAGAATTCTCAGTAAATCCTTTGTGTTGTGTGTATTCAACTCACAGAGTGGAACCTTCCTTTATTCAGAGCACTTTTGAAACACTCTTTTTGTGGAATTTGCAAGTGGAGATTTCAAGCGAATTCACGCCAATCTTAGACATGGAAACATCTTCGTATTAAAAGTACACAGAGTCATTTGCAGAAACTAGTTTGTGATGTGTGCCTTCAACTCACGGAGTTTAACCTTTCTTTTCATAGAGCAGTTTGGAAACACTCTATTTGTAAAGTCTGCAAGTGGATATTTGGACCTCTTTGAGGCCTTCGTTGGAAACGGAATTTCTTCATATAACGCTAGACAGAAGAATTCTCAGTAACTTCTTTGTGTTGTGTGTATTCAACTCACAGAGTTGAACCTTTCTTGAGAGAGAGCAGAGTTGAAACACTCTGTTTGTGGAATTTGCTAGTGTAGATTTCAAACGCTTCGAAGACAGTGATAGAAAAGGATATATCTTCGTATTAAAACTAGACAAAATCATTCTCAGAAAACACTTTGTGATGTGTGTGTTCAACTCACAGAGTTTAACCTTTCTTTAATCGAGCAGTTTGGAAATACACTCTTTGTAAGTCTGCAGCTGGATAATTGTCCCTCTATGAGCCCTTCGTTGGAAACGGGATTTCCTCTTATAATGCTAGACAGAAGAATTCTCAGTAACTTCTTTGTGTTGTTTGTATTCAACTCACAGATTTGAACCTTCCTTTAGAGAGAGCAGATTTGAAACACTGTGTTATTGGAATTTGCAAGTGCAGATTACAAGCGCTTCTAGGCCTATGGCAGAAAAGGAAATATCTTCGTATAAAAACTACACAGAATCATTCTCAACAACTACTTTGTGATGTGTGCGTTCAACTCACAGAGTTTAACCTTTCTTTTCATAGAGCAGTTTGGAAACACTCTGTTTGTAAAGTCTGCAGGTGCTTATTTGGACTTCTTTGAGGCCTTCGTTGGAAACGGGATTTCTTCATATAATGCTAGACAGAAGAATTCTCAGTCACTTCTTTGTGTTGTGTGTATTCAAGTCACAGAGTTGAACCTTCCTTTACACAGAGCAGTTTTGAGAAACTCTTTCTGTGGAATTTGCAAGTGGAGATTTCAAGCGATTTGAGGCTAATCTTTGAAATGGAAATAGCTTCGTGTAAAAACTACACAGAATCATTGTCAGAAACTGCTTTGTTATGTGTGCGTTCAGCTCACAGAGTTCCACCTTTGTTTTCATAGAGCAGTTTGGAAAGACTCTGTCTGTAAAGTCTGCAAGTGATTACTTGGACCCCTTTGAGGACTTCGTTGGAAGCGGGATTTTTTCATTTACTGCTAGACAGAAGAATTCTCAGTAAATCCTTTGTGTTGTGTGTATTCAACTCACAGAGTGGAACCTTCCTTTATTCAGAGCAGTTTTGAAACACTCTTTTTGTGGAATTTGCAAGTGGAGATTTCAAGCGAATTCACGCCAATCTTAGACATGGAAACATCTTCGTATTAAAAGTACACAGAGTCATTCGCAGAAACTAGTTTGTGATGTGTGCCTTCAACTCACGGAGTTTAACCTTTCTTTTCATAGAGCAGTTTGGAAACACTCTATTTGTAAAGTCTGCAAGTGGATATTTGGACCTCTTTGAGGCCTTCGTTGGAAACGGGATTTCTTCATATAACGCTAGACAGAAGAATTCTCAGTAACTTCTTTGTGTTGTGTGTATTCCACTCACAGAGTTGAACCTTTCTTGAGAGAGAGCAGAGTTGAAACACTCTGTTTGTGGAATTTGCTAGTGCAGATTTCAAACGCTTCGAAGACAGTGATAGAAAAGGATATATCTTCGTATTAAAACTAGACAAAATCATTCTCAGAAAACACTTTGTGATGTGTGCGTTCAACTCACAGAGTTTAACCTTTCTTTAATCGAGCAGTTTGGAAATACACTCTTTGTAAGTCTGCAGCTGGATAATTGTCCCTCTATGAGCCCTTCGTTGGAAACGGGATTTCCTCTTATAATGCTAGACAGAAGAATTCTCAGTAACTTCTTTGTGTTGTTTGTATTCAACTCACAGATTTGAACCTTCCTTTAGAGAGAGCAGATTTGAAACACTCTGTTTTTGGAATTTGCAAGTGCAGATTTCAAGCGCTTCTAGGCCTATGGCAGAAAAGGAAATATCTTCGTATAAAAACTACACAGAATCATTCTCAACAACTACTTTGTGATGTGCGCGTTCAACTCACAGAGTTTAACCTTTCTTTTCAGAGAGCAGTTTGGAAATACTCTGTTTGTAAAGCCTGCAAGTGCTTTTTTGGACTTCATTGAGGCCTTCGTTGGAAACGGGATTTCTTCATATAATGCTAGACAGAAGAATTCTCAGTCACTTCTTTGTGTTGTGTGTATTCAAGTCACAGAGTTGAACCTTCCTTTAGACAGAGCAGTTTTGAAAAATTCTTTCTGTGGAGTTTGCAAGTGGAGATTTCAAGCGATTTGAGGCTAATCTTTGAAATGGAAATATCTTCGTGTAAAAACTACACAGAATCATTCTCAGAAACTGCTTTGTCATCTGTGCGTTCAGTTCACAGAGTTTCACCTTTCTCTTCATAGAGCAGTTTGGAAAGACTCTGTCTGTAAAGTCTGCAAGTGATTAGTTAGACCCCTTTGAGGCCTTCGTTGGAAGCGGGATTTCTCATTTACTGCTAGACAGAAGAATTCTCAGTAAATCCTTTGTGTTGTGTGTATTCAACTCACAGAGTGGAACCTTCCTTTATTCAGAGCAGTTTTGAAAAACACTTTTTGTGGAATTTGCAAGTGGAGATTTCAAGCGATTTGACGCCAATGCTTAGACATGGAAATATCTTCATATTAAAAGTACACAGAGTCATTCGCAGCAAACTAGTTTGTGATGTGTGCCTTCAACTCACAGAGTTTAACCTTTCTTTTCATAGAGCAGTTTGGAAACACTCTATTTGTAAAGTCTGCAAGTGGATATTTGGACCTCTTTGAGGCCTTCGTTGGAAACGGGATTTCTTCATATAACGCTAGACAGAAGAATTCTCAGTAACTTCTTTGTGTTGTTTGTATTCAACTCACAGATTTGAACTTTCCTTTAGAGAGAGGAGATTTGAAACACTCTGTTTTTGGAAATTGTAAGTGCAGATTACAAGCGCTTCTAGGCCTATGGCAGAAAAGGAAATATCTTCGTGTAAAAACTACACAGAATCATTCTCAACAACTACTTTGTGATGTGTGCTTTCAACTCACAGAGTTTAACCTTTCTTTTCATAGAGCAGTTTGGAAACACTCTGTTTGTAAAGTCTGCAGGTGCTTATTTGGACTTCTTTGAGGCCTTCGTTGGAAACGGGATTTCTTCATATAATGCTAGACAGAAGAATTCTCAGTCACTTCTTTGTGTTGTGTGTATTCAAGTCACAGAGTTGAACCTTCCTTTACACAGAGCAGTTTTGAAAAACTCTTTCTGTGGAATTTGCAAGTGGAGATTTCAAGCGATTTGAGGCTAATCTTTGAAATGGAAATATCTTCGTGTAAAAACTACACAGAATCATTCTCAGAAACTGCTTTGTTATGTGTGCGTTCAGCTCGCAGAGTTCCACCTTTCTTTTCATAGAGCAGTTTGGAAAGACTCTGTCTGTAAAGTCTGCAAGTGATTACTTGGACCCCTTTGAGGACTTCGTTGGAAGCGGTATTTTTTCATTTACTGCTAGACAGAAGAATTCTCAGTAAATCCTTCGTGTTGTGTGTATTCAACTCACAGAGTGGAACCTTCCTTTATTCAGAGCAGTTTTGAAACACTCTTTTTGTGGAATTTGCAAGTGGAGATTTCAAGCGAATTCACGCCAATCTTAGACATGGAAACATCTTCGTATTAAAAGTACACAGAGTCATTCGCAGAAACTAGTTTGTGATGTGTGCCTTCAACTCACAGAGTTTAAGCTTTCTTTTCATAGAGCAGTTTGGAAACACTCTATTTGTAAAGTCTGCAAGTGGATATTTGGACCACTTTGAGGCCTTCGTTGGAAACGGGATTTCTTCATATAACGCTAGACAGAAGAATTCTCAGTAACTTCTTTGTGTTGTGTGTATTCCACTCACAGAGTTGAACCTTTCTTGAGAGAGAGCAGAGTTGAAACACTCTTTTTGTGGAATTTGCTAGTGCAGATTTCAAACGCTTCGAAGACAGTGATAGAAAAGGATATATCTTCGTATTAAAACTAGACAAAATCATTCTCAGAAAACACTTTGTGATGTGTGTGTTCAACTCACAGAGTTTAACCTTTCTTTAATCGAGCAGTTTGGAAATACACTCTTTGTAAGTCTGCAGCTGGATAATTGTCCCTCTATGAGCCCTTCGTTGGAAACGGGATTTCCTCTTATAATGCTAGACAGAAGAATTCTCAGTAACTTCTTTGTGTTGTTTGTATTCAACTCACAGATTTGAACCTTCCTTTAGAGAGAGCAGATTTGAAACACTCTGTTTTTGGAATTTGCAAGTGCAGATTACAAGCGCTTCTAGGCCTATGGCAGAAAAGGAAATATCTTCGTATAAAAACTACACAGAATCATTCTCAACAACTACTTTGTGATGTGTGCGTTCAACTCACAGAGTTTAACCTTTCTTTTCATAGAGCAGTTTGGAAACACTCTGTTTGTAAAGTCTGCAGGTGCTTATTTGGACTTCTTTGAGGCCTTCGTTGGAAACGGGATTTCTTCATATAATGCTAGACAGAAGAATTCTCAGTCACTTCTTTGTGTTGTGTGTATTCAAGTCACAGAGTTGAACCTTCCTTTACACAGAGCAGTTTTGAAAAACTCTTTCTGTGGAATTTGCAAGTGGAGATTTCAAGCGTTTTGAGGCTAATCTTTGAAATGGAAATAGCTTCGTGTAAAAACTACACAGAATCATTGTCAGAAACTGCTTTGTTATGTGTGCGTTCAGCTCACAGAGTTCCACCTTTCTTTTCATAGAGCAGTTTGGAAAGACTCTGTCTGTAAAGTCTGCAAGTGATTACTTGGACCCCTTTGAGGACTTCGTTGGAAGCGGGATTTTTTCATTTACTGCTAGACAGAAGAATTCTCAGTAAATCCTTTGTGTTGTGTGTATTCAACTCACAGAGTGGAACCTTCCTTTATTCAGAGCACTTTTGAAACACTCTTTTTGTGGAAATTGCAAGTGGAGATTTCAAGCGAATTCACGCCAATCTTAGACATGGAAACATCTTCGTATTAAAAGTACACAGAGTCATTCGCAGAAACTAGTTTGTGATGTGTGCCTTCAACTCACGGAGTTTAACCTTTCTTTTCATAGAGCAGTTTGGAAACACTCTCTTTGTAAAGTCTGCAAGTGGATATTTGGACCTCTTTGAGGCCTTCGTTGGAAACGGGATTTCTTCATATAACGCTAGACAGAAGAATTCTCAGTAACTTCTTTGTGTTGTGTGTATTCCACTCACAGAGTTGAACCTTTCTTGAGAGAGAGCAGAGTTGAAACACTCTTTCTGTGGAATTTGCTAGTGCAGATTTCAAACGCTTCGAAGACAGTGATAGAAAAGGATATATCTTCGTATTAAAACTAGACAAAATCATTCTCAGAAAACACTTTGTGATGTGTGTGTTCAACTCACAGAGTTTAACCTTTCTTTAATCGAGCAGTTTGGAAATACACTCTTTGTAAGTCTGCAGCTGGATAATTGTCCCTCTATGAGCCCTTCGTTGGAAACGGGATTTCCTCTTATAATGCTAGACAGAAGAATTCTCAGTAACTTCTTTGTGTTGTTTGTATTCAACTCACAGATTTGAACCTTCCTTTAGAGAGAGCAGATTTGAAACACTCTGTTTTTGGAATTTGCAAGTGCAGATTTCAAGCGCTTCTAGGCCTATGGCAGAAAAGGAAATATCTTCGTATAAAAACTACACAGAATCATTCTCAACAACTACTTTGTGATGTGTGCGTTCAACTCACAGAGTTTAACCTTTCTTTTCATAGAGCAGTTTGGAAACACTCTGTTTGTAAAGTCTGCAGGTGCTTATTTGGACTTCTTTGAGGCCTTCGTTGGAAACGGGATTTCTTCATGTAATGCTAGACAGAAGAATTCTCAGTCACTTCTTTGTGTTGTGTGTATTCAAGTCACAGAGTTGAACCTTCCTTTACACAGAGCAGTTTTGAAAAACTCTTTCTGTGGAATTTGCAAGTGGAGATTTCAAGCGATTTGAGGCTAATCTTTGAAATGGAAATATCTTCGTGTAAAAACTACACAGAATCATTCTCAGAAACTGCTTCTCGTTATGTGTGCGTTCAGCTCACAGAGTTCCACCTTTGTTTTCATAGAGCAGTTTGGAAAGACTCTGTCTGTAAAGTCTGCAAGTGATTACTTGGACCCCTTTGAGGACTTCGTTGGAAGCGGGATTTTTTCATTTACTGCTAGACAGAAGAATTCTCAGTAAATCCTTTGTGTTGTGTGTATTCAACTCACAGAGTGGAACCTTCCTTTATTCAGAGCAGTTTTGAAACACTCTTTTTGTGGAATTTGCAAGTGGAGATTTCAAGCGAATTCACGCCAATCTTAGACATGGAAACATCTTCGTATTAAAAGTACACAGAGTCATTCGCAGAAACTAGTTTGTGATGTGTGCCTTCAACTCACGGAGTTTAACCTTTCTTTTCATAGAGCAGTTTGGAAACACTCTATTTGTAAAGTCTGCAAGTGGATATTTGGACCTCTTTGAGGCCTTCGTTGGAAACGGGATTTTTTCATATAACGCTAGACAGAAGAATTCTCTGTAACTTCTTTGTGTTGTGTGTATTCCACTCACAGAGTTGAACCTTTCTTGAGAGAGAGCAGAGTTGAAACACTCTTTCTGTGGAATTTGCTAGTGCAGATTTCAAACGCTTCGAAGACAGTGACAGAAAAGGATATATCTTCGTATTAAAACTAGACAAAATCATTCTCAGAAAACACTTTGTGATGTGTGTGTTCAACTCACAGAGTTTAACCTTTCTTTAATCGAGCAGTTTGGAAATGCACTCTTTGTAAGTCTGCAGGTGGATAATTGTCCCTCTATGAGCCCTTCGTTGGAAACGGGATTTCCTCATATAATGCTAGACAGAAGTATTCTCAGTAACTTCTTTGTGTTGTTTGTATTCAACTCACAGATTTGAAACTTCCTTTAGAGAGAGCAGATTTGAAACACTCTGTTTTTGGAATTTGCAAGTGCAGATTGCAAGCGCTTCTAGGCCTATGGCAGAAAAGGAAATATCTTCGTATAAAAACTACACAGACTCATTCTCAACAACTACTTTGTGATGTGTGCGTTCAACTCACAGAGTTTAACCTTTCTTTTCATAGAGCAGTTTGGAAACACTCTGTTTGTAAAGTCTGCAGGTGCTTATTTGGACTTCTTTAAGGCCTTCGTTGGAAACGGGATTTCTTCATATAATGCTAGACAGAAGAATTCTCAGTCACTTCTTTGTGTTGTGTGTATTCAAGTCACAGAGTTGAACCTTCCTTTACACAGAGCAGTTTTGAAAAACTCTTTCTGTGGAATTTGCAAGTGGAGATTTCAAGCGATTTGAGGCTAATCTTTGAAATGGAAATATCTTCGTGTAAAAACTACACAGAATCATTGTCAGAAACTGCTTTGTTATGTGTGCGTTCAGCTCACAGAGTTCCACCTTTCTTTTCATAGAGCAGTTTGGAAAGACTCTGTAAAGTCTGCAAGTGATTACTTGGACCCCTTTGAGGACTTCATTGGAAGCGGGATTTTTTCATTTACTGCTAGACAGAAGAATTCTCAGTAAATCCTTTGTGTTGTGTGTATTCAACTCACAGAGTGGAACCTTCCTTTATTCAGAGCAGTTTTGAAAAACACTTTTTGTGGAATTTGCAAATGGAGATTTCAACCGATTTGACGGCAATCTTAGACATGGAAATATCTTCATATTAAAAGTACACAGAATCATTCTCAGAAAAACATTTTGTGATGTGTGTGTTCAACTCACAGAGTTTAACCTTTCTTTAATCGAGCAGTTTGGAAATACACTCTTTGTAAGTCTGCAGGTGGATAATTGGCCCTCTTTGAGCCCTTCGTTGGAAACGGGATTTCCTCATATAATGCTAGACAGAAGAATTCTCAGTAACTTCTTTGTGTTGTTTGTATTCAACTCACAGATTTGAACCTTCCTTTAGAGAGAGCAGATTTCAAACACTCTTTTTTTGGAATTTGCAAGTGCAGATTTCAAGCGCTTCTAGGCCTATGGCAGAAAAGGGAATATCTTCGTATAAAAACTACACAGAATCATTCTCAACAACTACTTTGTGATGTGTGCGTTCAACTCACAGAGTTTAACCTTTCTTTTCATAGAGCAGTTTGGAAACACTCTGTTTGTAAAGCCTGCAAGTGCTTTTTTGGACTTCATTGAGGCCTTCGTTGGAAACGGGATTTCTTCATATAATGCTAGACAGAAGAATTCTCAGTCACTTCTTTGTGTTGTGTGTATTCAAGTCACAGAGTTGAACCTTCCTTTAGACAGAGCAGTTTTGAAAAATTCTTTCTGTGTAATTTGCAAGTGGAGATTTCAAGCGATTTGAGGCTAATCTTTGAAATGGAAATATCTTCGTGTAAAAACTACACAGAATCATTCTCAGAAACTGCTTTGTCATCTGTGCGTTCAGTTCACAGAGTTTCACCTTTCTCTTCATAGAGCAGTTTGGAAAGACTCTGTCTGTAAAGTCTGCAAGTGATTAGTTAGACCCCTTTGAGGCCTTCGTTGGAAGCGGGATTTCTCATTTACTGCTAGACAGAAGAATTCTCAGTAAATCCTTTGTGTTGTGTGTATTCAACTCACAGAGTGGAACCTTCCTTTATTCAGAGCAGTTTTGAAACACTCTTTTTGTGGAATTTGCAAGTGGAGATTTCAAGCGATTTGACGCCAATCTTAGACATGGAAATATCTTCATATTAAAAGTACACAGAGTCATTCGTAGAAACTAGTTTGTGATGTGTGCCTTCAACTCACAGAGTTTAACCTTTCTTTTCATAGAGCAGTTGGGAAACACTCTATTTGTAAAGTCTGCAAGTGGATATTTGGACCTCTTTGAGGCCTTCGTTGGAAACGGGATTTCTTCATATAACGCTAGACAGAAGAATTCTCAGTAACTTCTTTGTGTTGTGTGTATTCAACTCACAGAGTTGAACCTTTCTTTAGAGGGAGCAGAGGTGAAACACTCTTTTTGTGGAATTTGCTAGTGTAGATTTCAAACGCTTCGAAGACAGTGATAGAAAAGGATATATCTTCGTATTAAAAGTAGACAAAATCATTCTCAGAAAACTCTTTGTGATGTGTGTGTTCAACTCACAGAGTTTAACCTTTCTTTAATCGAGCAGTTTGGAAATACACTCTTTGTAAGTCTGCAGGTGGATATTTGGCCCTCTTTGAGCCCTTCGTTGGAAACGGGATTTCCTCATATAATGCTAGACAGAAAAATTCTCAGTAACTTCTTTGTGTTGTTTGTATTCAACACACAGATTTGAACCTTCCTTTAGAGAGAGCAGATTTGAAACACTCTGTTTTTGGAATTTGCAAGTGCAGATTTCAAGCGCTTCTAGGCCTATGGCAGAAAAGGAAATATCTTCGTATAAAAACTACACAGAATCATTCTCAACAACTACTTTGTGATGTGTGCGTTCAACTCACAGAGTTTAACCTTTCTTTTCATAGAGCAGTTTGGAAACACTCTGTTTGTAAAGCCTGCAAGTGCTTTTTTGGACTTCATTGAGGCCTTCGTTGGAAACGGGATTTCTTCATATAATGCTAGACAGAAGAATTCTCAGTCACTTCTTTGTGTTGTGTGTATTCAAGTCACAGAGTTGAACCTTCCTTTAGACAGAGCAGTTTTGAAAAGTTCTTTCTGTGGAGTTTGCAAGTGGAGATTTCAAGCGATTTGAGGCTAATCTTTGAAATGGAAATATCTTCGTGTAAAAACTACACAGAATCATTCTCAGAAACTGCTTTGTCATCTGTGCGTTCAGTTCACAGAGTTTCACCTTTCTCTTCATAGAGCAGTTTGGAAAGACTCTGTCTGTAAAGTCTGCAAGTGATTAGTTAGACCCCTTTGAGGCCTTCGTTGGAAGCGGGATTTCTCATTTACTGCTAGACAGAAGAATTCTCAGTAAATCCTTTGTGTTGTGTGTATTCAACTCACAGAGTGGAACCTTCCTTTATTCAGAGCAGTTTTGAAACACTCTTTTTGTGGAATTTGCAAGTGGAGATTTCAAGCGATTTGACGCCAATCTTAGACATGGAAATATCTTCATATTAAAAGTACACAGAGTCATTCGTAGAAACTAGTTTGTGATGTGTGCCTTCAACTCACAGAGTTTAACCTTTCTTTTCATAGAGCAGTTGGGAAACACTCTATTTGTAAAGTCTGCAAGTGGATATTTGGACCTCTTTGAGGCCTTCGTTGGAAACGGGATTTCTTCATATAACGCTAGACAGAAGAATTCTCAGTAACTTCTTTGTGTTGTGTGTATTCAACTCACAGAGTTGAACCTTTCTTGAGAGGGAGCAGCAGTGAAACACTCTTTTTGTGGAATTTGCTAGTGTAGATTTCAAACGCTTCGAAGACAGTGATAGAAAAGGATATATCTTCGTATTAAAAGTAGACAAAATCATTCTCAACAACTACTTTGTGATGTGTGCGTTCAACTCACAGGAGTTTAACCTTTCTTTTCATAGAGCAGTTTGGAAACACTCTGTTTGTAAAGTCTGCAGGTGCTTATTTGGACTTCTTTGAGGCCTTCGTTGGAAACGGGATTTCTTCATATAATGCTAGACAGAAGAATTCTCAGTCACTTCTTTGTGTTGTGTGTATTCAAGTCACAGAGTTGAACCTTCCTTTACACAGAGCAGTTTTGAAAAACTCTTTCTGTGGAATTTGCAAGTGGAGATTTCAAGCGATTTGAGGCTAATCTTTGAAATGGAAATATCTTCGTGTAAAAACTACACAGAATCATTCTCAGAAACTGCTTTGTTATGTGTGCGTTCAGCTCACAGAGTTCCACCTTTCTTTTCATAGAGCAGTTTGGAAAGACTCTGTCTGTAAAGTCTGCAAGTGATTACTTGGACCCCTTTGAGGACTTCGTTGGAAGCGGGATTTTTTCATTTACTGCTAGACAGAAGAATTCTCAGTAAATCCTTTGTGTTGTGTGTATTCAACTCACAGAGTGGAACCTTCCTTTATTCAGAGCAGTTTTGAAACACTCTTTTTGTGGAAATTGCAAGTGGAGATTTCAAGCGAATTCACGCCAATCTTAGACATGGAAACATCTTCGTATTAAAAGTACACAGAAGTCATTCGCAGTAAACTAGTTTGTGATGTGTGCCTTCAACTCACGGAGTTTAACCTTTCTTTTCATAGAGCAGTTTGGAAACACTCTCTTTGTAAAGTCTGCAAGTGGATATTTGGACCTCTTTGAGGCCTTCGTTGGAAACGGGATTTCTTCATATAACGCTAGACAGAAGAATTCTCAGTAACTTCTTTGTGTTGTGTGTATTCCACTCACAGAGTTGAACCTTTCTTGAGAGAGAGCAGAGTTGAAACACTCTTTCTGTGGAATTTGCTAGTGCAGATTTCAAACGCTTCGAAGACAGTGATAGAAAAGGATATATCTTCGTATTAAAACTAGACAAAATCATTCTCAGAAAACACTTTGTGATGTGTGTGTTCAACTCACAGAGTTTAACCTTTCTTTAATCGAGCAGTTTGGAAATACACTCTTTGTAAGTCTGCAGCTGGATAATTGTCCCTCTATGAGCCCTTCGTTGGAAACGGGATTTCCTCTTATAATGCTAGACAGAAGAATTCTCAGTAACTTCTTTGTGTTGTTTGTATTCAACTCACAGATTTGAACCTTCCTTTAGAGAGAGCAGATTTGAAACACTCTGTTTTCGGAATTTGCAAGTGCAGATTACAAGCGCTTCTAGGCCTATGGCAGAAAAGGAAATATCTTCGTATAAAAACTACACAGAATCATTCTCAACAACTACTTTGTGATGTGTGCGTTCAACTCACAGAGTTTAACCTTTCTTTTCATAGAGCAGTTTGGAAACACTCTGTTTGTAAAGTCTGCAGGTGCTTATTTGGACTTCTTTGAGGCCTTCGTTGGAAACGGGATTTCTTCATATAATGCTAGACAGAAGAATTCTCAGTCACTTCTTTGTGTTGTGTGTATTCAAGTCACAGAGTTGAACCTTCCTTTACACAGAGCAGTTTTGAAAAACTCTTTCTGTGGAATTTGCAAGTGGAGATTTCAAGCGATTTGAGGCTAGTCTTTGAAATGGAAATAGCTTCGTGTAAAAACTACACAGAATCATTGTCAGAAACTGCTTTGTTATGTGTGCGTTCAGCTCACAGAGTTCCACCTTTCTTTTCATAGAGCAGTTTGGAAAGACTCTGTCTGTAAAGTCTGCAAGTGATTACTTGGACCCCTTTGAGGACTTCGTTGGAAGCGGGATTTTTTCATTTACTGCTAGACAGAAGAATTCTCAGTAAATCCTTTGTGTTGTGTGTATTCAACTCACAGAGTGGAACCTTCCTTTATTCAGAGCAGTTTTGAAACACTCTTTTTGTGGAATTTGCAAGTGGAGATTTCAAGCGAATTCACGCCAATCTTAGACATGGAAACATCTTCGTATTAAAAGTACACAGAGTCATTCGCAGAAACTACTTTGTGATGTGTGCCTTCAACTCACAGAGTTTAACCTTTCTTTTCATAGAGCAGTTTGGAAACACTCTATTTGTAAAGTCTGCAAGTGGATATTTGGACCTCTTTGAGGCCTTCGTTGGAAACGGGATTTCTTCATGTAACGCTAGACAGAAGAATTCTCAGTAACTTCTTTGTGTTGTGTGTATTCCACTCACAGAGTTGAACCTTTCTTGAGAGAGAGCAGAGTTGAAACACTCTGTTTGTGGAATTTGCTAGTGCAGATTTCAAACGCTTCGAAGACAGTGATAGAAAAGGATATATCTTCGTATTAAAACTAGACAAAATCATTCTCAGAAAACACTTTGTGATGTGTGTGTTCAACTCACAGAGTTTAACCTTTCTTTAATCGAGCAGTTTGGAAATACACTCTTTGTAAGTCTGCAGCTGGATAATTGTCCCTCTATGAGCCCTTCGTTGGAAACGGGATTTCCTCTTATAATGCTAGACAGAAGAATTCTCAGTAACTTCTTTGTGTTGTTTGTATTCAACTCACAGATTTGAACCTTCCTTTGGAGAGAGCAGATTTGAAACACTCTGTTTTTGGAATTTGCAAGTGCAGATTGCAAGCGCTTCTAGGCCTATGGCAGAAAAGGAAATATCTTCGTATAAAAACTACACAGAATCATTCTCAACAACTACTTTGTGATGTGTGCGTTCAACTCACAGAGTTTAACCTTTCTTTTCATAGAGCAGTTTGGAAACACTCTGTTTGTAAAGTCTGCAGGTGCTTATTTGGACTTCTTTGAGGCCTTCGTTGGAAACGGGATTTCTTCATATAATGCTAGACAGAAGAATTCTCAGTCAGTTCTTTGTGTTGTGTGTATTCAAGTCACAGAGTTGAACCTTCCTTTACACAGAGCAGTTTTGAAAAACTCTTTCTGTGGAATTTGCAAGTGGAGATTTCAAGCGATTTGAGGCTAATCTTTGAAATGGAAATATCTTCGTGTAAAAACGACACAGAATCATTCTCAGAAACTGCTTTGTTATGTGTGCGTTCAGCTCACAGAGTTCCACCTTTCTTTTCATAGAGCAGTTTGGAAAGACTCTGTCTGTAAAGTCTGCAAGTGATTACTTGGACCCCTTTGAGGACTTCGTTGGAAGCGGGATTTTTTCATTTACTGCTAGACAGAAGAATTCTCAGTAAATCCTTTGTGTTGTGTGTATTCAACTCACAGAGTGGAACCTTCCTTTATTCAGAGCAGTTTTGAAACACTCTTTTTGTGGAATTTGCAAGTGGAGATTTCAAGCGAATTCACGCCAATCTTAGACATGGAAACATCTTCGTATTAAAAGTACACAGAGTCATTCGCAGAAACTAGTTTGTGATGTGTGCCTTCAACTCACGGAGTTTAACCTTTCTTTTCATAGAGCAGTTTGGAAACACTCTATTTGTAAAGTCTGCAAGTGGATATTTGGACCTCTTTGAGGCCTTCGTTGGAAACGGGATTTCTTCATATAACGCTAGACAGAAGAATTCTCAGTAACTTCTTTGTGTTGTGTGTATTCCACTCACAGAGTTGAACCTTTCTTGAGAGAGAGCAGAGTTGAAACACTCTGTTTGTGGAATTTGCTAGTGCAGATTTCAAACGCTTCGAAGACAGTGATAGAAAAGGATATATCTTCGTATTAAAACTAGACAAAATCATTCTCAGAAAACACTTTGTGATGTGTGTGTTCAACTCACAGAGTTTAACCTTTCTTTAATCGAGCAGTTTGGAAATACACTCTTTGTAAGTCTGCAGCTGGATAATTGTCCCTCTATGAGCCCTTCCTTGGAAACGGGATTTCCTCTTATAATGCTAGACAGAAGAATTCTCAGTAACTTCTTTGTGTTGTTTGTATTCAACTCACAGATTTGAACCTTCCTTTGGAGAGAGCAGATTTGAAACACTCTGTTTTTGGAATTTGCAAGTGCAGATTACAAGCGCTTCTAGGCCTATGGCAGAAAAGGAAATATCTTCGTATAAAAACTACACAGAATCATTCTCAACAACTACTTTGTGATGTGTGCGTTCAACTCACAGAGTTTAACCTTTCTTTTCATAGAGCAGTTTGGAAACACTCTGTTTGTAAAGTCTGCAGGTGCTTATTTGGACTTCTTTGAGGCCTCCGTTGGAAACGGGATTTCTTCATATAATGCTAGACAGAAGAATTCTCAGTCACTTCTTTGTGTTGTGTGTATTCAAGTCACAGAGTTGAACCTTCCTTTACACAGAGCAGTTTTGAAAAACTCTTTCTGTGGAATTTGCAAGTGGAGATTTCAAGCGATTTGAGGCTAATCTTTGAAATGGAAATAGCTTCGTGTAAAAACTACACAGAATCATTCTCAGAAACTGCTTTGTTATGTGTGCGTTCAGCTCACAGAGTTCCACCTTTCTTTTCATAGAGCAGTTTGGAAAGACTCTGTCTGTAAAGTCTGCAAGTGATTACTTGGACCCCTTTGAGGACTTCGTTGGAAGCGGGATTTTTTCATTTACTGCTAGACAGAAGAATTCTCAGTAAATCCTTTGTGTTGTGTGTATTCAACTCACAGAGTGGAACCTTCCTTTATTCAGAGCAGTTTTGAAACACTCTTTTTGTGGAATTTGCAAGTGGAGATTTCAAGCGAATTCACGCCAATCTTAGACATGGAAACATCTTCGTATTAAAAGTACACAGAGTCATTCGCAGAAACTAGTTTGTGATGTGTGCCTTCAACTCACGGAGTTTAACCTTTCTTTTCATAGAGCAGTTTGGAAACACTCTATTTGTAAAGTCTGCAAGTGGATATTTGGACCTCTTTGAGGCCTTCGTTGGAAACGGGATTTCTTCATATAACGCTAGACAGAAGAATTCTCAGTAACTTCTTTGTGTTGTGTGTATTCCACTCACAGAGTTGAACCTTTCTTGAGAGAGAGCAGAGTTGAAACACTCTGTTTGTGGAATTTGCTAGTGCCGATTTCAAACGCTTCGAAGAGAGTGATAGAAAAGGATATATCTTCGTATTAAAACTAGACAAAATCATTCTCAGAAAACACTTTGTGATGTGTGTGTTCAACTCACAGAGTTTAACCTTTCTTTAATCGAGCAGTTTGGAAATACACTCTTTGTAAGTCTGCAGCTGGATAATTGTCCCTCTATGAGCCCTTCGTTGGAAACGGGATTTCCTCATATAATGCTAGACAGAAGAATTCTCAGTAACTTCTTTGTGTTGTTTGTATTCAACTCACAGATTTGAACCTTCCTTTGGAGAGAGCAGATTTGAAACACTCTGTTTTTGGAATTTGCAAGTGCAGATTGCAAGCGCTTCTAGGCCTATGGCAGAAAAGGAAATATCTTCGTATAAAAACTACACAGAATCATTCTCAACAACTACTTTGTGATGTGTGCGTTCAACTCACAGAGTTTAACCTTTCTTTTCATAGAGCAGTTTGGAAACACTCTGTTTGTAAAGTCTGCAGGTGCTTATTTGGACTTCTTTGAGGCCTTCGTTGGAAACGGGATTTCTTCATGTAATGCTAGACAGAAGAATTCTCAGTCACTTCTTTGTGTTGTGTGTATTCAAGTCACAGAGTTGAACCTTCCTTTACACAGAGCAGTTTTGAAAAACTCTTTCTGTGGAATTTGCAAGTGGAGATTTCAAGCGATTTGAGGCTAATCTTTGAAATGGAAATAGCTTCGTGTAAAAACTACACAGAATCATTCTCAGAAACTGCTTTGTTATGTGTGCGTTCAGCTCACAGAGTTCCACCTTTCTTTTCATAGAGCAGTTTGGAAAGACTCTGTCTGTAAAGTCTGCAAGTGATTACTTGGACCCCTTTGAGGACTTCGTTGGAAGCGGGAATTTTTCATTTACTGCTAGACAGAAGAATTCTCAGTAAATCCTTTGTGTTGTGTGTATTCAACTCACAGAGTGGAACCTTCCTTTATTCAGAGCACTTTTGAAACACTCTTTTTGTGGAATTTGCAAGTGGAGATTTCAAGCGAATTCACGCCAATCTTAGACATGGAAATATCTTCGTATTAAAAGTACACAGAGTCATTCGCAGAAACTAGTTTGTGATGTGTGCCTTCAACTCACGGAGTTTAACCTTTCTTTTCATAGAGCAGTTTGGAAACACTCTATTTGTAAAGTCTGCAAGTGGATATTTGGACCTCTTTGAGGCCTTCGTTGGAAACGGGATTTCTTCATATAACGCTAGACAGAAGAATTCTCAGTAACTTCTTTGTGTTGTGTGTATTCAACTCACAGTAGTTGAACCTTTCTTGAGAGAGAGCAGAGTTGAAACACTCTTTCTGTGGAATTTGCTAGTGCAGATTTCAAACGCTTCGAAGACAGTGATAGAAAAGGATATATCTTCGTATTAAAACTAGACAAAATCATTCTCAGAAAACACTTTGTGATGTGTGTGTTCAACTCACAGAGTTTAACCTTTCTTTAATCGAGCAGTTTGGAAATACACTCTTTGTAAGTCTGCAGCTGGATAATTGTCCCTCTATGAGCCCTTCGTTGGAAACGGGATTTCCTCTTATAATGCTAGACAGAAGAATTCTCAGTAACTTCTTTGTGTTGTTTGTATTCAACTCACAGATTTGAACTTTCCTTTAGAGAGAGCAGATTTGAAACACTCTGTTTTTGGAATTTGCAAGTGCAGATTTCAAGCGCTTCTAGGCGTATGGCAGAAAAGGAAATATCTTCGTATGAAAACTACACAGAATCATTCTCAACAACTACTTTGTGATGTGTGCGTTCAACTCACAGAGTTTAACCTTTCGTTTCATAGAGCAGTTTGGAAACACTCTGTTTGTAAAGTCTGCAGGTGCTTATTTGGACTTCTTTGAGGCCTTCGTTGGAAACGGGATTTCTTCATATAATGCTAGACAGAAGAATTCTCAGTCACTTCTTTGTGTTGTGTGTATTCAAGTCACAGAGTTGAACCTTCCTTTACACAGAGCAGTTTTGAAAAACTCTTTCTGTGGAATTTGCAAGTGGAGATTTCAAGCGATTTGAGGCTAATCTTTGAAATGGAAATATCTTCGTGTAAAAACTACACAGAATCATTCTCAGAAACTGCTTTGTTATGTGAGCGTTCAGCTCACAGAGTTCCACCTTTCTTTTCATAGAGCAGTTTGGAAAGACTCCGTCTGTAAAGTCTGCAAGTGATTACTTGGACCCCTTTGAGGACTTCGTTGGAAGCGGGATTTTTTCATTTACTGCTAGACAGAAGATTTCTCAGTAAATCCTTTGTGTTGTGTGTATTCAACTCACAGAGTGGAACCTTCCTTTATTCAGAGCAGTTTTGAAAAACACTTTTTGTGGAATTTGCAAGTGGAGATTTCAAGCGATTTGACGCCAATCTTAGACATGGAAATATCTTCATATTAAAAGTACACAGAGTCATTCGTAGAAACTAGTTTGTGATGTGTGCCTTCAACTCACAGAGTTTAACCTTTCTTTTCATAGAGCAGTTTGGAAACACTCTATTTGTAAAGTCTGCAAGTGGATATTTGGACCTCTTTGAGGCCTTCGTTGGAAACGGGATTTCTTCATACAACGCTAGACAGAAGAATTCTCAGTAACTTCTTTGTGTTGTGTGTATTCAACTCACAGAGTTGAACCTTTCTTTAGAGAGAGCAGAGTTGAAACACTCTGTTTTTGGAATTTGCAAGTGCAGATTTCAAGCGATTCTAGGCCTATGGCAGAAAAGGAAATATCTTCGTATAAAAACTACACAGAATCATTCTCAACAACTACTTTGTGATGTGTGCGTTCAACTCACAGAGTTTAACCTTTCTTTTCATAGAGCAGTTTGGAAACACTCTGTTTGTAAAGCCTGCAAGTGCTTTTTTGGACTTCATTGAGGCCTTCGTTGGAAACGGGATTTCTTCATATAATGCTAGACAGAAGAATTCTCAGTCACTTCTTTGTGTTGTGTGTATTCAACTCACAGAGTTGAACCTTCCTTTAGACAGAGCAGTTTTGAAAAATTCTTTCTGTGTAATTTGCAAGTGGAGATTTCAAGCGATTTGAGGCTAATCTTTGAAATGGAAATATCTTCGTGTAAAAACTACACAGAATCATTCTCAGAAACTGCTTTGTCATCTGTGCGTTCAGTTCACAGAGTTTCACCTTTCTCTTCATAGAGCAGTTTGGAAAGACTCTGTCTGTAAAGTCTGCAAGTGATTAGTTAGACCCCTTTGAGGCCTTCGTTGGAAGCGGGATTTCTCATTTACTGCTAGACAGAAGAATTCTCAGTAAATCCTTTGTGTTGTGTGTATTCAACTCACAGAGTGGAACCTTCCTTTATTCAGAGCAGTTTTGAAAAACACTTTTTGTGGAATTTGCAAGTGGAGATTTCAAGCGATTTGACGCCAATCTTAGGCAGGGAAATATCTTCATATGAAAAGTACACAGAGTCATTCGTAGAAACTAGTTTGTGATGTGTGCCTTCAACTCACAGAGTTTAACCTTTCTTTTCATAGAGCAGTTTGGAAACACTCTATTTGTAAAGTCTGCAAGTGGATATTTGGACCTCTTTGAGGCCTTCGTTGGAAACGGGATTTCTTCATACAACGCTAGACAGAAGAATTCTCAGTAACTTCTTTGTGTTGTGTGTATTCAACTCACAGAGTTGAACCTTTCTTTAGAGAGAGCAGAGTTGAAACACTCTGTTTTTGGAATTTGCAAGTGCAGATTTCAAGCGATTCTAGGCCTATGGCAGAAAAGGAAATATCTTCGTATAAAAACTACACAGAATCATTCTCAACAACTACTTTGTGATGTGTGCGTTTAACTCACAGAGTTTAACCTTTCTTTTCATAGAGCAGTTTGGAAACACTCTGTTTGTAAAGCCTGCAAGTGCTTTTTTGGACTTCATTCAGGCCTTCGTTGGAAACGGGATTTCTTCATATAATGCTAGACAGAAGAATTCTCATTAAATCCTTTGTGTTGGGTGTATTCAACTCACAGAGTTGAACCTTCCTTTATTCAGAGCAGTTTTGAAACACTCTTTTTGTGGAATTTGCAATTGGAGATTTCAAGCGATTTGAGGCTAATCTTTGAAATGGAAATATCTTCGTGTAAAAACTGCACAGAATCATTCTCAGAAACTGCTTTGTTATGTGTGCGTTCAGCTCACAGAGTTCCACCTTTCTTTTCATAGAGCAGTTTGGAAAGACTCTGTCTGTAAAGTCTGCAAGTGATTACTTGGACCCCTTTGAGGACTTCGTTGGAAGCGGGATTTTTTCATTTACTGCTAGACAGAAGAATTCTCAGTAAATCCTTTGTGTTGTGTGTATTCAACTCACAGAGTGGAACCTTCCTTTATTCAGAGCACTTTTGAAACACTCTTTTTGTGGAATTTGCAAGTGGAGATTTCAAGCGAATTCACGCCAATCTTAGACATGGAAACATCTTCGTATTAAAAGTACACAGAGTCATTCGCAGAAACTAGTTTGTGATGTGTGCCTTCAACTCACGGAGTTTAACCTTTCTTTTCATAGAGCAGTTTGGAAACACTCTATCTGTAAACTCTGTAAGTGGATATTTGGACCTCTTTGAGGCCTTCGTTGGAAACGGGATTTCTTCATATAACGCTAGACAGAAGAATTCTCAGTAACTTCTTTGTGTTGTGTGTATTCAACTCACAGAGTTGAACCTTTCTTGAGAGAGAGCAGAGTTGAAACACTCTGTTTGTGGAATTTGCTAGTGCAGATTTCAAACGCTTCGAAGACAGTGATAGAAAAGGATATATCTTCGTATTAAAACTAGACAAAATCATTCTCAGAAAACACTTTGTGATGTGTGTGTTCAACTCACAGAGTTTAACCTTTCTTTAATCGAGCAGTTTGGAAATACACTCTTTGTAAGTCTGCAGCTGGATAATTGTCCCTCTATGAGCCCTTCGTTGGAAACAGGATTTCCTCTTATAATGCTAGACAGAAGAATTCTCAGTAACTTCTTTGTGTTGTTTGTATTCAACTCACAGATTTGAACCTTCCTTTAGAGAGAGCAGATTTGAAACACTCTGTTTTTGGAATTTGCAAGTGCAGATTACAAGCGCTTCTAGGCCTGTGGCAGAAAAGGAAATATCTTCGTATAAAAACTACACAGAATCATTCTCAACAACTACTTTGTGATGTGTGCGTTCAACTCACAGAGTTTAACCTTTCTTTTCATAGAGCAGTTTGGAAACACTCTGTTTGTAAAGTCTGCAGGTGCTTATTTGGACTTCTTTGAGGCCTTCGTTGGAAACGGGATTTCTTCATATAATGCTAGACAGAAGAATTCTCAGTCACTTCTTTGTGTTGTGTGTATTCAAGTCACAGAGTTGAACCTTCCTTTACACAGAGCAGTTTTGAAAAACTCTTTCTGTGGAATTTGCAAGTGGAGATTTCAAGCGATTTGAGGCTAATCTTTGAAATGGAAATAGCTTCGTGTAAAAACTACACAGAATCATTCTCAGAAACTGCTTTGTTATGTGTGCGTTCAGCTCACAGAGTTCCACCTTTCTTTTCATAGAGCAGTTTGGAAAGACTCTGTCTGTAAAGTCTGCAAGTGATTACTTGGACCCCTTTGAGGACTTCGTTGGAAGCGGGATTTTTTCATTTACTGCTAGACAGAAGAATTCTCAGTAAATCCTTTGTGTTGTGTGTATTCAACTCACAGAGTGAAACCTTCCTTTATTCAGAGCAGTTTTGAAACACTCTTTTTGTGGAAATTGCAAGTGGAGATTTCAAGCGAATTCACGCCAATCTTAGACATGGAAACATCTTCGTATTAAAAGTACACAGAGTCATTCGCAGAAACTAGTTTGTGATGTGTGCCTTCAACTCACGGAGTTTAACCTTTCTTTTCATAGAGCAGTTTGGAAACACTCTATTTGTAAAGTCTGCAAGGGGATATTTGGACCTCTTTGAGGCCTTCGTTGGAAACGGGATTTCTTCATATAACGCTAGACAGAAGAATTCTCAGTAACTTCTTTGTGTTGTGTGTATTCCACTCACAGAGTTGAACCTTTCTTGAGAGAGAGCAGAGTTGAAACACTCTTTCTGTGGAATTTGCTAGTGCAGATTTCAAACGCTTCGAAGACAGTGATAGAAAAGGATATATCTTCGTATTAAAACTAGACAAAATCATTCTCAGAAAACACTTTGTGATGTGTGTGTTCAACTCACAGAGTTTAACCTTTCTTTAATCGAGCAGTTTGGAAATACACTCTTTGTAAGTCTGCAGCTGGATAATTGTCCCTCTAGGAGCCCTTCGTTGGAAACGGGATTTCCTCTTATAATGCTAGACAGAAGAATTCTCAGTAACTTCTTTGTGTTGTTTGTATTCAACTCACAGATTTGAACCTTCCTTTGGAGAGAGCAGATTTGAAACACTCTGTTTTTGGAATTTGCAAGTGCAGATTGCAAGCGCTTCTAGGCCTATGGCAGAAAAGGAAATATCTTCGTATAAAAACTACACAGAATCATTCTCAACAACTACTTTGTGATGTGTGCGTTCAACTCACAGAGTTTAACCTTTCTTTTCATAGAGCAGTTTGGAAACACTCTGTTTGTAAAGTCTGCAGGTGCTTATTTGGACTTCTTTGAGGCCTTCGTTGGAAACGGGATTTCTTCATATAATGCTAGACAGAAGAATTCTCAGTCACTTCTTTGTGTTGTGTGTATTCAAGTCACAGAGTTGAACCTTCCTTTACACAGAGCAGTTTTGAAAAACTCTTTCTGTGGAATTTGCAAGTGGAGATTTCAAGCGATTTGAGGCTAATCTTTGAAATGGAAATATTCTTCGTGTAAAAACTACACAGAATCATTCTCAGAAACTGCTTTGTTATGTGTGCGTTCAGCTCACAGAGTTCCACCTTTCTTTTCATAGAGCAGTTTGGAAAGACTCTGTCTGTAAAGTCTGCAAGTGAATACTTGGACCCCTTTGAGGACTTCGTTGGAAGCGGGATTTTTTCATTTACTGCTAGACAGAAGAATTCTCAGTAAATCCTTTGTGTTGTGTGTATTCAACTCACAGAGTGGAACCTTCCTTTATTCAGAGCAGTTTTGAAACACTCTTTTTGTGGAATTTGCAAGTGGAGATTTCAAGCGAATTCACGCCAATCTTAGACATGGAAACATCTTCGTATTAAAAGTACACAGAGTCATTCGCAGAAACTAGTTTGTGATGTGTGCCTTCAACTCACGGAGTTTAACCTTTCTTTTCATAGAGCAGTTTGGAAACACTCTATTTGTAAAGTCTGCAAGTGGATATTTGGACCTCTTTGAGGCCTTCGTTGGAAACGGGATTTCTTCATATAACGCTAGACAGAAGAATTCTCAGTAACTTCTTTGTGTTGTGTGTATTCAACTCACAGAGTTGAACGTTTCTTGAGAGAGAGCAGAGTGGAAACACTCTTTTTGTGGAATTTGCTAGTGCAGATTTCAAACGCTTCGAAGACAGTGATAGAAAAGGATATATCTTCGTATTAAAACTAGACAAAATCATTCTCAGAAAACACTTTGTGATGTGTGTGTTCAACTCACAGAGTTTAACCTTTCTTTAATCGAGCAGTTTGGAAATACACTCTTTGTAAGTCTGCAGGTGGATAATTGTCCCTCTATGAGCCCTTCGTTGGAAACGGGATTTCCTCATATAATGCTAGACAGAAGAATTCTCAGTAACTTCTTTGTGTTGTTTGTATTCAACTCACAGATTTGAAATTTCCTTTAGAGAGAGCAGATTTGAAACACTCTGTTTTTGGAATTTGTAAGTGCCGATTTCAAGCACTTCTAGGCCTATGGCAGAAAAGGAAATATCTTCGTGTAAAAACTACACAGAATCATTCTCAACAACTACTTTGTGATGTGTGCGTTCAACTCACAGAGTTTAACCTTTCTTTTCATAGAGCAGTTTGGAAACACTCTGTTTGTAAAGTCTGCAGGTGCTTATTTGGACTTCTTTGAGGCCTTCGTTGGAAACGGGATTTCTTCATATAATGCTAGACAGAAGAATTCTCAGTCACTTCTTTGTGTTGTGTGTATTCAAGTCACAGAGTTGAACCTTCCTTTACACAGAGCAGTTTTGAAAAACTCTTTCTGTGGAATTTGCAAGTGGAGATTTCAAGCGATTTGAGGCTAATCTTTGAAATGGAAATATCTTCGTGTAAAAACTACACAGAATCATTCTCAGAAACTGCTTTGTTATGTGTGCGTTCAGCTCACAGAGTTCCACCTTTCTTTTCATAGAGCAGTTTGGAAAGACTCTGTCTGTAAAGTCTGCAAGTGATTACTTGGACCCCTTTGAGGACTTCGTTGGAAGCGGGATTTTTTCATTTACTGCTAGACAGAAGAATTCTCAGTAAATCCTTTGTGTTGTGTGTATTCAACTCACAGAGTGGAACCTTCCTTTATTCAGAGCAGTTTTGAAACACTCTTTTTGTGGAATTTGCAAGTGGAGATTTCAAGCGAATTCACGCCAATCTTAGACATGGAAACATCTTCGTATTAAAAGTACACAGAGTCATTCGCAGAAACTAGTTTGTGATGTGTGCGTTCAACTCACAGAGTTTAACCTTTCTTTTCATAGAGCAGTTTGGAAACACTCTGTTTGTAAAGTCTGCAGGTGCTTATTTGGACTTCTTTGAGGCCTTCGTTGGATACGGGATTTCTTCATATAATGCTAGACAGAAGAATTCTCAGTCACTTCTTTGTGTTGTGTGTATTCAAGTCACAGAGTTGAACCTTCCTTTACACAGAGCAGTTTTGAAAAACTCTTTCTGTGGAATTTGCAAGTGGAGATTTCAAGCGATTTGAGGCTAATCTTTGAAATGGAAATAGCTTCGTGTAAAAACTACACAGAATCATTCTCAGAAACTGCTTTGTTATGTGTGCGTTCAGCTCACAGAGTTCCACCTTTCTTTTCATAGAGCAGTTTGGAAAGACTCTGTCTGTAAAGTCTGCAAGTGATTACTTGGACCCCTTTGAGGACTTCGTTGGAAGCGGGATTTTTTCATTTACTGCTAGACAGAAGAATTCTCAGTAAATCCTTTGTGTTGTGTGTATTCAACTCACAGAGTGGAACCTTCCTTTATTCAGAGCACTTTTGAAACACTCTTTTTGTGGAATTTGCAAGTGGAGATTTCAAGCGAATTCACGCCAATCTTAGACATGGAAACATCTTCGTATTAAAAGTACACAGAGTCATTCGCAGAAACTAGTTTGTGATGTGTGCCTTCAACTCACGGAGTTTAACCTTTCTTTTCATAGAGCAGTTTGGAAACACTCTATTTGTAAAGTCTGCAAGTGGATATTTGGACCTCTTTGAGGCCTTCGTTGGAAACGGGATTTCTTCATATAACGCTAGACAGAAGAATTCTCAGTAACTTCTTTGTGTTGTGTGTATTCAACTCACAGAGTTGAACCTTTCTTGAGAGAGAGCAGAGTTGAAACACTCTTTCTGTGGAATTTGCTAGTGCAGATTTCAAACGCTTCGAAGACAGTGATAGAAAAGGATATATCTTCGTATTAAAACTAGACAAAATCATTCTCAGAAAACACTTTGTGATGTGTGTGTTCAACTCACAGAGTTTAACCTTTCTTTAATCGAGCAGTTTGGAAATACACTCTTTGTAAGTCTGCAGCTGGATAATTGTCCCTCTATGAGCCCTTCGTTGGAAACAGGATTTCCTCTTATAATGCTAGACAGAAGAATTCTCAGTAACTTCTTTGTGTTGTTTGTATTCAACTCACAGATTTGAACCTTCCTTTGGAGAGAGCAGATTTGAAACACTCTGTTTTTGGAATTTGCAAGTGCAGATTGCAAGCGCTTCTAGGCCTATGGCAGAAAAGGAAATATCTTCGTATAAAAACTACACAGAATCATTCTCAACAACTACTTTGTGATGTGTGCGTTCAACTCACAGAGTTTAACCTTTCTTTTCATAGAGCAGTTTGGAAACACTCTGTTTGTAAAGTCTGCAGGTGCTTATTTGGACTTCTTTGAGGCCTTCGTTGGAAACGGGATTTCTTCATATAATGCTAGACAGAAGAATTCTCAGTCACTTCTTTGTGTTGTGTGTATTCAAGTCACAGAGTTGAACCTTCCTTTACACAGAGCAGTTTTGAAAAACTCTTTCTGTGGAATTTGCAAGTGGAGATTTCAAGCGATTTGAGGCTAATCTTTGAAATGGAAATATCTTCGTGTAAAAACTACACAGAATCATTCTCAGAAACTGTTTTGTTATGTGTGCGTTCAGCTCACAGAGTTCCACCTTTCTTTTCATAGAGCAGTTTGGAAAGACTCTGTCTGTAAAGTCTGCAAGTGATTACTTGGACCCCTTTGAGGACTTCGTTGGAAGCGGGATTTTTTCATTTACTGCTAGACAGAAGAATTCTCAGTAAATCCTTTGTGTTGTGTGTATTCAACTCACAGAGTGGAACCTTCCTTTATTCAGAGCAGTTTTGAAACACTCTTTTTGTGGAATTTGCAAGTGGAGATTTCAAGCGAATTCACGCCAATCTTAGACATGGAAACATCTTCGTATTAAAAGTACACAGAGTCATTCGCAGAAACTAGTTTGTGATGTGTGCCTTCAACTCACAGAGTTTAACCTTTCTTTTCATAGAGCAGTTTGGAAACACTCTATTTGTAAAGTCTGCAAGTGGATATTTGGACCTCTTTGAGGCCTTCGTTGGAAACGGGATTTCTTCATATAACGCTAGACAGAAGAATTCTCAGTAACTTCTTTGTGTTGTGTGTATTCCACTCTCAGAGTTGAACCTTTCTTGAGAGAGAGCAGAGTTGAAACCCTCTGTTTGTGGAATTTGCTAGTGCAGATTTCAAACGCTTCGAAGACAGTGATAGAAAAGGATATATCTTCGTATTAAAACTAGACAAAAATCATTCTCAACAACTACTTTGTGATGTGTGCGTTCAACTCACAAAGTTTAACCTTTCTTTTCATAGAGCAGTTTGGAAACACGCTGTTTGTAAAGCCTGCAAGTGCTTTTTTGGACTTCATTGAGGTCTTCGTTGGAAACGGGATTTCTTCATATAATGCTAGACAGAAGAATTCTCAGTCACTTCTTTGTGTTGTGTGTATTCAAGTCACAGAGTTGAACCTTCCTTTACACAGAGCAGTTTTGAAAAACTCTTTCTGTGGAATTTGCAAGTGGAGATTTCAAGCGATTTGAGGCTAATCTTTGAAATGGAAATATCTTCGTGTAAAAACTACACAGAATCATTCTCAGAAACTGCTTTGTTATGTGTGCGTTCAGCTCACAGAGTTCCACCTTTCTTTTCATAGAGCAGTTTGGAAAGTCTCTGTCTGTAAAGTCTGCAAGTGATTACTTGGACCCCTTTGAGGACTTCGTTGGAAGCGGGATTTTTTCATTTACTGCTAGACAGAAGAATTCTCAGTAAATCCTTTGTGTTGTGTGTATTCAACTCACAGAGTGGAACCTTCCTTTATTCAGAGCAGTTTTGAAACACTCTTTTTGTGGAATTTGCAAGTGGAGATTTCAAGCGAATTCACGCCAATCTTAGACATGGAAACATCTTCGTATTAAAAGTACACAGAGTCATTCGCAGAAACTAGTTTGTGATGTGTGCCTTCAACTCACGGAGTTTAACCTTTCTTTTCATAGAGCAGTTTGGAAACACTCTATTTGTAAAGTCTGCAAGTGGATATTTGGACCTCTTTGAGGCCTTCGTTGGAAACGGGATTTCTTCATATAACGCTAGACAGAAGAATTCTCAGTAACTTCTTTGTGTTGTGTGTATTCAACTCACAGAGTTGAACCTTTCTTGAGAGAGAGCAGAGTTGAAACACTCTGTTTGTGGAATTTGCTAGTGCAGATTTCAAACGCTTCGAAGACAGTGATAGAAAAGGATATATCTTCGTATTAAAACTAGACAAAATCATTCTCAGAAAACACTTTGTGATGTGTGTGTTCAACTCACAGAGTTTAACCTTTCTTTAATCGAGCAGTTTGGAAATACACTCTTTGTAAGTCTGCAGCTGGATAATTGTCCCTCTATGAGCCCTTCGTTGGAAACGGGATTTCCTCTTATAATGCTAGACAGAAGAATTCTCAGTAACTTCTTTGTGTTGTTTGTATTCAACTCACAGATTTGAACCTTCCTTTAGAGAGAGCAGATTTGAAACACTCTGTTTTTGGAATTTGCAAGTGCAGATTTCAAGCGCTTCTAGGCCTATGGCAGAAAAGGAAATATCTTCGTATAAAAACTACACAGAATCATTCTCAACAACTACTTTGTGATGTGTGCGTTCAACTCACAGAGTTTAACCTTTCTTTTCATAGAGCAGTTTGGAAACACTCTGTTTGTAAAGTCTGCAGGTGCTTATTTGGACTTCTTTGAGGCCTTCGTTGGAAACGGGATTTCTTCATATAATGCTAGACAGAAGAATTCTCAGTCACTTCTTTGTGTTGTGTGTATTCAAGTCACAGAGTTGAACCTTCCTTTACACAGAGCAGTTTTGAAAAACTCTTTCTGTGGAATTTGCAAGTGGAGATTTCAAGCGATTTGAGGCTAATCTTTGAAATGGAAATATTCTTCGTGTAAAAACTACACAGAATCATTCTCAGAAACTGCTTTGTTATGTGTGCGTTCAGCTCACAGAGTTTCACCTTTCTTTTCATAGAGCAGTTTGGAAAGACACTGTCTGTAAAGTCTGCAAGTGATTACTTGGACCCCTTTGAGGACTTCGTTGGAAGCGGGATTTTTTCATTTACTGCTAGACAGAAGAATTCTCAGTAAATCCTTTGTGTTGTGTGTATTCAACTCACAGAGTGGAACCTTCCTTTATTCAGAGCACATTTGAAACACTCTTTTTGTGGAATTTGCAAGTGGAGATTTCAAGCGAATTCACGCCAATCTTAGACATGGAAACATCTTCGTATTAAAAGTACACAGAGTCATTCGCAGAAACTAGTTTGTGATGTGTGCCTTCAACTCACGGAGTTTAACCTTTCTTTTCATAGAGCAGTTTGGAAACACTCTATTTGTAAAGTCTGCAAGTGGATATTTGGACCTCTTTGAGGCCTTCGTTGGAAACGGGATTTCTTCATATAACGCTAGACAGAAGAATTCTCAGTAACTTCTTTGTGTTGTGTGTATTCAACTCACAGAGTTGAACCTTTCTTGAGAGAGAGCAGAGTTGAAACACTCTGTTTGTGGAATTTGCTAGTGCAGATTTCAAACGCTTCGAAGACAGTGATAGAAAAGGATATATCTTCGTATTAAAACTAGACAAAATCATTCTCAGAAAACACTTTGTGATGTGTGTGTTCAACTCACAGAGTTTAACCTTTCTTTAATCGAGCAGTTTGGAAATACACTCTTTGTAAGTCTGCAGCTGGATAATTGTCCCTCTATGAGCCCTTCGTTGGAAACGGGATTTCCTCTTATAATGCTAGACAGAAGAATTCTCAGTAACTTCTTTGTGTTGTTTGTATTCAACTCACAGATTTGAACCTTCCTTTAGAGAGAGCAGATTTGAAACACTCTGTTTTTGGAATTTGCAAGTGCAGATTACAAGCGCTT
Source organism: Homo sapiens (assembly GCF_000001405.40). Lineage (NCBI taxonomy): Eukaryota > Metazoa > Chordata > Mammalia > Primates > Hominidae > Homo > Homo sapiens. The sequence goes on from NC_000010.11 coordinate 40,168,851, forward strand.
CTAGGCCTATGGCAGAAAAGGAAATATCTTCGTATAAAAACTACACAGAATCATTCTCAACAACTACTTTGTGATGTGTGCGTTCAACTCACAGAGTTTAACCTTTCTTTTCATAGAGCAGTTTGGAAACACTCTGTTTGTAAAGTCTGCAGGTGCTTATTTGGACTTCTTTGAGGCCTTCGTTGGAAACGGGATTTCTTCATGTAATGCTAGACAGAAGAATTCTCAGTCACTTCTTTGTGTTGTGTGTATTCAAGTCACAGAGTTGAACCTTCCTTTACACAGAGCAGTTTTGAAAAACTCTTTCTGTGGAATTTGCAAGTGGAGATTTCAAGCGATTTGAGGCTAATCTTTGAAATGGAAATAGCTTCGTGTAAAAACTACACAGAATCATTCTCAGAAACTGCTTTGTTATGTGTGCGTTCAGCTCACAGAGTTCCACCTTTCTTTTCATAGAGCAGTTTGGAAAGACTCTGTCTGTAAAGTCTGCAAGTGATTACTTGGACCCCTTTGAGGACTTCGTTGGAAGCGGGATTTTTTCATTTACTGCTAGACAGAAAGAATTCTCAGTAAATCCTTTGTGTTGTGTGTATTCAACTCACAGGAGTGGAACCTTCCTTTGTTCAGAGCACTTTTGAAACACTCTTTTTGTGGAATTTGCAAGTGGAGATTTCAAGCGAATTCACGCCAATCTTAGACATGGAAACATCTTCGTATTAAAAGTACACAGAATCATTCTCAGAAAAACATTTTGTGATGTGTGTGTTCAACTCACAGAGTTTAACCTTTCTTTAATCGAGCAGTTTGGAAATACACTCTTTGTAAGTCTGCAGGTGGATAATTGGCCCTCTTTGAGCCCTTCGTTGGAAACGGGATTTCCTCATATAATGCTAGACAGAAGAATTCTCAGTAACTTCTTTGTGTTGTTTGTATTCAACTCACAGATTTGAACCTTCCTTTGGAGAGAGCAGATTTGAAACACTCTGTTTTTGGAATTTGCAAGTGCAGATTGCAAGCGCTTCTAGGCCTATGGCAGAAAAGGAAATATCTTCGTATAAAAACTACACAGAATCATTCTCAACAACTACTTTGTGATGTGTGCGTTCAACTCACAGAGTTTAACCTTTCTTTTCATAGAGCAGTTTGGAAACACTCTGTTTGTAAAGTCTGCAGGTGCTTATTTGGACTTCTTTGAGGCCTTCGTTGGAAACGGGATTTCTTCATATAATGCTAGACAGAAGAATTCTCAGTCACTTCTTTGTGTTGTGTGTATTCAAGTCACAGAGTTGAACCTTCCTTTACACAGAGCAGTTTTGAAAAACTCTTTCTGTGGAATTTGCAAGTGGAGATTTCAAGCGATTTGAGGCTAATCTTTGAAATGGAAATATCTTCGTGTAAAAACTACACGGAATCATTCTCAGAAACTGCTTTGTTATGTGTGCGTTCAGCTCACAGAGTTCCACCTTTCTTTTCATAGAGCAGTTTGGAAAGACTCTGTCTGTAATGTCTGCAAGTGATTACTTGGACCCCTTTGAGGACTTCGTTGGAAGCGGGATTTTTTCATTTACTGCTAGACAGAAGAATTCTCAGTAAATCCTTTGTGTTGTGTGTATTCAACTCACAGAGTGGAACCTTCCTTTATTCAGAGCAGTTTTGAAACACTCTTTTTGTGGAATTTGCAAGTGGAGATTTCAAGCGAATTCACGCCAATCTTAGACATGGAAACATCTTCGTATTAAAAGTACACAGAGTCATTCGCAGAAACTAGTTTGTGATGTGTGCCTTCAACTCACAGAGTTTAACCTTTCTTTTCATAGAGCAGTTTGGAAACACTCTATTTGTAAAGTCTGCAAGTGGATATTTGGACCTCTTTGAGGCCTTCGTTGGAAACGGGATTTCTTCTTATAACGCTAGACAGAAGAATTCTCAGTAACTTCTTTGTGTTGTGTGTATTCCACTCACAGAGTTGAACCTTTCTTGAGAGAGAGCAGAGTTGAAACACTCTGTTTGTGGAATTTGCTAGTGCAGATTTCAAACGCTTCGAAGACAGGGATAGAAAAGGATATATCTTCGTATTAAAACTAGACAAAATCATTCTCAGAAAACACTTTGTGATGTGTGTGTTCAACTCACAGAGTTTAACCTTTCTTTAATCGAGCAGTTTGGAAATACACTCTTTGTAAGTCTGCAGCTGGATAATTGTCCCTCTCTGAGCCCTTCATTGGAAACGGGATTTCCTCATATAATGCTAGACAGAAGAATTCTCAGTAACTTCTTTGTGTTGTTTGTATTCAACTCACAGATTTGAACCTTCCTTTGGAGAGAGCAGATTTGAAACACTCTGTTTTTGGAATTTGCAAGTGCAGATTGCAAGCGCTTCTAGGCCTATGGCAGAAAAGGAAATATCTTCGTATAAAAACTACACAGAATCATTCTCAACAACTACTTTGTGATGTGTGCGTTCAGCTCACAGAAGTTTAACCTTTCTTTTCATAGAGCAGTTTGGAAACACTCTGTTTGTAAAGTCTGCAGGTGCTTATTTGGACTTCTTTGAGGCCTTCGTTGGAAACGGGATTTCTTCATATAATGCTAGACAGAAGAATTCTCAGTCACTTCTTTGTGTTGTGTGGATTCAAGTCACAGAGTTGAACCTTCCTTTACACAGAGCAGTTTTGAAAAACTCTTTCTGTGGAATTTGCAAGTGGAGATGTCAAGCGATTTGAGGCTAATCTTTGAAATGGAAATATCTTCGTGTAAAAACTACACAGAATCATTCTCAGAAACTGCTTTGTTATGTGTGCGTTCAGCTCACAGAGTTCCACCTTTCTTTTCATAGAGCAGTTTGGAAAGACTCTGTCTGTAAAGTCTGCAAGTGATTACTTGGACCCCTTTGAGGACTTCGTTGGAAGCGGGATTTTTTCATTTACTGCTAGACAGAAGAATTCTCAGTAAATCCTTTGTGTTGTGTGTATTCAACTCACAGAGTGGAACCTTCCTTTATTCAGAGCAGTTTTGAAACACTCTTTTTGTGGAATTTGCATGTGGAGATTTCAAGCGAATTCACGCCAATCTTAGACATGGAAACATCTTCGTATTAAAAGTACACAGAGTCATTCGCAGAAACTAGTTTGTGATGTGTGCCTTCAACTCACAGAGTTTAACCTTTCTTTTCATAGAGCAGTTTGGAAACACTCTATTTGTAAAGTCTGCAAGTGGATATTTGGACCTCTTTGAGGCCTTCGTTGGAAACGGGATTTCTTCATATAACGCTAGACAGAAGAATTCTCAGTAACTTCTTTGTGTTGTGTGTATTCCACTCACAGAGTTGAACCTTTCTTGAGAGAGAGCAGAGTTGAAACACTCTGTTTGTGGAATTTGCTAGTGCAGATTTCAAACGCTTCGAAGACAGTGATAGAAAAGGATATATCTTCGTATTAAAACTAGACAAAATCATTCTCAGAAAACACTTTGTGATGTGTGTGTTCAACTCACAGAGTTTAACCTTTCTTTAATCGAGCAGTTTGGAAATACACTCTTTGTAAGTCTGCAGCTGGATAATTGTCCCTCTATGAGCCCTTCGTTGGAAACGGGATTTCCTCATATAATGCTAGACAGAAGAATTCTCAGTAACTTCTTTGTGTTGTTTGTATTCAACTCACAGATTTGAACCTTCCTTTAGAGAGAGCAGATTGCAAACACTCTGTTTTTGGAATTTGCAAGTGCAGATTTGCAAGTCGCTTCTAGGCCTATGGCAGAAAAGGAAATATCTTTGTATAAAAACATACACGAGAATCATTCTCAACAACTACTTTGTGATGTGTGCGTTCAACTCACAGAGTTTAACCTTTCTTTTCATAGAGCAGTTTGGAAACACTCTGTTTGTAAAGTCTGCAGGTGCTTATTTGGACTTCTTTGAGGCCTTCGTTGGAAACAGGATTTCTTCATATAATGCTAGACAGAAGAATTCTCAGTCACTTCTTTGTGTTGTGTGTATTCAAGTCACAGAGTTGAACCTTCCTTTACACAGAGCAGTTTTGAAAAACTCTTTCAGTGGAATTTGCAAGTGGAGATTTCAAGCGATTTGAGGCTAATACTTTGAAATGGAAATATCTTCGTGTAAAAACTACACAGAATCATTCTCAGAAACTGCTTTGTTATGTGTGCGTTCAGCTCACAGAGTTCCACCTTTCTTTTCATAGAGCAGTTTGGAAAGACTCTGTCTGTAAAGTCTGCAAGTGATTACTTGGACCCCTTTGAGGACTTCGTTGGAAGCGGGATTTTTTCATTTACTGCTAGACAGAAGAATTCTCAGTAAATCCTTTGTGTTGTGTGTATTCAACTCACAGAGTGGAACCTTCCTTTATTCAGAGCAGTTTTGAAACACTCTTTTTGTGGAATTTGCAAGTGGAGATTTCAAGCGAATTCACGCCAATCTTAGACATGGAAACATCTTCGTATTAAAAGTACACAGAGTCATTCGCAGAAACTACTTTGTGATGTGTGCCTTCAACTCACAGAGTTTAACCTTTCTTTTCATAGAGCAGTTTGGAAACACTCTATTTGTAAAGTCTGCAAGTGGATATTTGGACCTCTTTGAGGCCTTCGTTGGAAACGGGATTTCTTCATGTAACGCTAGACAGAAGAATTCTCAGTAACTTCTTTGTGTTGTGTGTATTCCACTCACAGAGTTGAACCTTTCTTGAGAGAGAGCAGAGTTGAAACACTCTGTTTGTGGAATTTGCTAGTGCAGATTTCAAACGCTTCGAAGACAGTGATAGAAAAGGATATATCTTCGTATTAAAACTAGACAAAATCATTCTCAGAAAACACTTTGTGATGTGTGTGTTCAACTCACAGAGTTTAACCTTTCTTTAATCGAGCAGTTTGGAAATGCACTCTTTGTAAGTCTGCAGGTGGATAATTGTCCCTCTATGAGCCCTTCGTTGGAAACGGGATTTCCTCATATAATGCTAGACAGAAGTATTCTCAGTAACTTCTTTGTGTTGTTTGTATTCAACTCACAGATTTGAAACTTCCTTTAGAGAGAGCAGATTTGAAACACTCTGTTTTTGGAATTTGCAAGTGCAGATTGCAAGCGCTTCTAGGCCTATGGCAGAAAAGGAAATATCTTCGTATAAAAACTACACAGAATCATTCTCAACAACTACTTTGTGATGTGTGCGTTCAACTCACAGAGTTTAACCTTTCTTTTCATAGAGCAGTTTGGAAACACTCTGTTTGTAAAGTCTGCAGGTGCTTATTTGGACTTCTTTGAGGCCTTCGTTGGAAACGGGATTTCTTCATATAATGCTAGACAGAAGAATTCTCAGTCACTTCTTTGTGTTGTGTGTATTCAAGTCACAGAGTTGAACCTTCCTTTACACAGAGCAGTTTTGAAAAACTCTTTCTGTGGAATTTGCAAGTGGAGATTTCAAGCGATTTGAGGCTAATCTTTGAAATGGAAATATCTTCGTGTAAAAACTACACAGAATCATTCTCAGAAACTGCTTTGTTATGTGTGCGTTCAGCTCACAGAGTTCCACCTTTCTTTTCATAGAGCAGTTTGGAAAGACTCTGTCTGTAAAGTCTGCAAGTGATTACTTGGACCCCTTTGAGGACTTCGTTGGAAGCGGGATTTTTTCATTTACTGCTAGACAGAAGAATTCTCAGTAAATCCTTCGTGTTGTGTGTATTCAACTCACAGAGTGGAACCTTCCTTTATTCAGAGCAGTTTTGAAACACTCTTTTTGTGGAATTTGCAAGTGGAGATTTCAAGCGAATTCACGCCAATCTTAGACATGGAAACATCTTCGTATTAAAAGTACACAGAGTCATTCGCAGAAACTAGTTTGTGATGTGTGCCTTCAACTCACAGAGTTTAACCTTTCTTTTCATAGAGCAGTTTGGAAACACTCTATTTGTAAAGTCTGCAAGTGGATATTTGGACCACTTTGAGGCCTTCGTTGGAAACGGGATTTCTTCATATAACGCTAGACAGAAGAATTCTCTGTAACTTCTTTGTGTTGTGTGTATTCCACTCACAGAGTTGAACCTTTGTTGAGAGAGAGCAGAGTTGAAACACTCTTTTTGTGGAATTTGCTAGTGCAGATTTCAAACTCTTCGAAGACAGTGATAGAAAAGGATATATCTTCGTATTAAAACTAGACAAAATCATTCTCAGAAAACACTTTGTGATGTGTGTGTTCAACTCACAGAGTTTAACCTTTCTGTAATCGAGCAGTTTGGAAATACACTCTTTGTAAGTCTGCAGGTGGATAATTGTCCCTCTATGAGCCCTTCGTTGGAAACGGGATTTCCTCATATAATGCTAGACAGAAGAATTCTCAGTAACTTCTTTGTGTTGTTTGTATTCAACTCACAGATTTGAACCTTCCCTTAGAGAGAGCAGATTTGAAACACTCTGTTTTTGGAATTTGCAAGTGCAGATTACAAGCGCTTCTAGGCCTATGGCAGAAAAGGAAATATCTTCGTATAAAAACTACACAGAATCATTCTCAACAACTACTTTGTGATGTGTGCGTTCAACTCACAGAGTTTAACCTTTCTTTTCATAGAGCAGTTTGGAAACACTCTGTTTGTAAAGTCTGCAGGTGCTTATTTGGACTTCTTTGAGGCCTTCGTTGGAAACGGGATTTCTTCATATAATGCTAGACAGAAGAATTCTCAGTCACTTCTTTGTGTTGTGTGTATTCAAGTCACAGAGTTGAACCTTCCTTTACACAGAGCAGTTTTGAAAAACTCTTTCTGTGGAATTTGCAAGTGGAGATTTCAAGCGATTTGAGGCTAATCTTTGAAATGGAAATATCTTCGTGTAAAAACTACACAGAATCATTCTCAGAAACTGCTTTGTTATGTGTGCGTTCAGCTCACAGAGTTCCACCTTTCTTTTCATAGAGCAGTTTGGAAAGACTCTGTCTGTAAAGTCTGCAAGTGATTACTTGGACCCCTTTGAGGACTTCGTTGGAAGCGGGATTTTTTCATTTACTGCTAGACAGAAGAATTCTCAGTAAATCCTTTGTGTTGTGTGTATTCAACTCTCAGAGTGGAACCTTCCTTTATTCAGAGCAGTTTTGAAACACTCTTTTTGTGGAATTTGCAAGTGGAGATTTCAAGCGAATTCACGCCAATCTTAGACATGGAAACATCTTCGTATTAAAAGTACACAGAGTCATTCGCAGAAACTAGTTTGTGATGTGTGCCTTCAACTCACAGAGTTTAACCTTTCTTTTCATAGAGCAGTTTGGAAACACTCTATTTGTAAAGTCTGCAAGTGGATATTTGGACGTCTTTGAGGCCTTCGTTGGAAACGGGATTTCTTCATATAACGCTAGACAGAAGAATTCTCAGTAACTTCTTTGTGTTGTGTGTATTCCACTCACAGAGTTGAACCTTTCTTGAGAGAGAGCAGAGTTGAAACACTCTGTTTGTGGAATTTGCTAGTGCCGATTTCAAACGCTTCGAAGACAGTGATAGAAAAGGATATATCTTCGTATTAAAACTAGACAAAATCATTCTCAGAAAACACTTTGTGATGTGTGTGTTCAACTCACAGAGTTTAACCTTTCTTTAATCGAGCAGTTTGGAAATACACTCTTTGTAAGTCTGCAGCTGGATAATTGTCCCTCTATGAGCCCTTCGTTGGAAACGGGATTTCCTCTTATAATGCTAGACAGAAGAATTCTCAGTAACTTCTTTGTGTTGTTTGTATTCAACTCACAGATTTGAACCTTCCTTTAGAGAGAGCAGATTTGAAACACTCTGTTTTCGGAATTTGCAAGTGCAGATTACAAGCGCTTCTAGGCCTATGGCAGAAAAGGAAATATCTTCGTATAAAAACTACACAGAATCATTCTCAACAACTACTTTGTGATGTGTGCGTTCAACTCACAGAGTTTAACCTTTCTTTTCATAGAGCAGTTTGGAAACACTCTGTTTGTAAAGTCTGCAGGTGCTTATTTGGACTTCTTTGAGGCCTTCGTTGGAAACGGGATTTCTTCATATAATGCTAGACAGAAGAATTCTCAGTCACTTCTTTGTGTTGTGTGTATTCAAGTAACAGAGTTGAACCTTCCTTTACACAGAGCAGTTTTGAAAAACTCTTTCTGTGGAATTTGCAAGTGGAGATTTCAAGCGATTTGAGGCTAATCTTTGAAATGGAAATAGCTTCGTGTAAAAACTACACAGAATCATTCTCAGAAACTGCTTTGTTATGTGTGCGTTCAGCTCACAGAGTTCCACCTTTCTTTTCATAGAGCAGTTTGGAAAGACTCTGTCTGTAAAGTCTGCAAGTGATTACTTGGACCCCTTTGAGGACTTCGTTGGAAGCGGGATTTTTTCATTTACTGCTAGACAGAAGAATTCTCAGTAAATCCTTTGTGTTGTGTGTATTCAACTCACAGAGTGGAACCTTCCTTTATTCAGAGCAGTTTTGAAACACTCTTTTTGTGGAATTTGCAAGTGGAGATTTCAAGCGAATTCACGCCAATCTTAGACATGGAAACATCTTCGTATTAAAAGTACACAGAGTCATTCGCAGAAACTAGTTTGTGATGTGTGCCTTCAATTCACGGAGTTTAACCTTTCTTTTCATAGAGCAGTTTGGAAACACTCTATTTGTAAAGTCTGCAAGTGGATATTTGGACCTCTTTGAGGCCTTCGTTGGAAACGGGATTTCTTCATATAACGCTAGACAGAAGAATTCTCAGTAACTACTTTGTGTTGTGTGTATTCCACTCACAGAGTTGAACCTTTCTTGAGAGAGAGCAGAGTTGAAACACTCTGTTTGTGGAATTTGCTAGTGCAGATTTCAAACGCTTCGAAGACAGTGATAGAAAAGGATATATCTTCGTATTAAAACTAGACAAAATCATTCTCAGAAAACACTTTGTGATGTGTGTGTTCAACTCACAGAGTTTAACCTTTCTTTAATCGAGCAGTTTGGAAATACACTCTTTGTAAGTCTGCAGCTGGATAATTGTCCCTCTATGAGCCCTTCGTTGGAAACGGGATTTCCTCTTATAATGCTAGACAGAAGAATTCTCAGTAACTTCTTTGTGTTGTTTGTATTCAACTTACAGATTGAACCTTCCTTTAGAGAGAGCAGATTTGTAACACTCTGTTTTTGGAATTTGCAAGTGCAGATTACAAGCGCTTCTAGGCCTATGGCAGAAAAGGAAATATCTTCGTATAAAAACTACACAGAATCATTCTCAACAACTACTTTCTGATGTGTGCGTTCAACTCACAGAGTTTCACCTTTCTTTTCATAGAGCAGTTTGGAAACACTCTGTTTGTAAAGTCTGCAGGTGCTTATTTGGACTTCTTTGAGGCCTTCGTTGGAAACGGGATTTCTTCATGTAATGCTAGACAGAAGAATTCTCAGTCACTTCTTTGTGTTGTGTGTATTCAAGTCACAGAGTTGAACCTTCCTTTACACAGAGCAGTTTTGAAAAACTCTTTCTGTGGAATTTGCAAGTGGAGATTTCAAGCGATTTGAGGCTAATCTTTGAAATGGAAATATCTTCGTGTAAAAACTACACAGAATCATTCTCAGAAACTGCTTTGTTATGTGTGCGTTCAGCTCACAGAGTTTCACCTTTCTATTCATAGAGCAGTTTGGAAAGACTCTGTCTGTAAAGTCTGCAAGTGATTACTTGGACCCCTTTGAGGACTTCGTTGGAAGCGGGATTTTTTCATTTACTGCTAGACAGAAGAATTCTCAGTAAATCCTTTGTGTTGTGTGTATTCAACTCACAGAGTGGAACCTTCCTTTATTCAGAGCAGTTTTGAAACACTCTTTTTGTGGAATTTGCAAGTGGAGATTTCAAGCGAATTCACGCCAATCTTACACATGGAAACATCTTCGTATTAAAAGTACACAGAGTCATTCGCAGAAACTAGTTTGTGATGTGTGCCTTCAACTCACGGAGTTTAACCTTTCTTTTCATAGAGCAGTTTGGAAACACTCTATTTGTAAAGTCTGCAAGTGGATATTTGGACCTCTTTGAGGCCTTCGTTGGAAACGGGATTTCTTCATATAACGCTAGACAGAAGAATTCTCAGTAACTTCTTTGTGTTGTGTGTATTCAACTCACAGAGTTGAACCTTTCTTGAGAGAGAGCAGAGTTGAAACACTCTGTTTGTGGAATTTGCTAGTGCAGATTTCAAACGCTTCGAAGACAGTGATAGAAAAGGATATATCTTCGTATTAAAACTAGACAAAATCATTCTCAGAAAACACTTTGTGATGTGTGCGTTCAACTCACAGAGTTTAACCTTTCTTTAATCGAGCAGTTTGGAAATACACTCTTTGTAAGTCTGCAGCTGGATAATTGTCCCTCTATGAGCCCTTCGTTGGAAACGGGATTTCCTCTTATAATGCTAGACAGAAGAATTCTCAGTAACTTCTTTGTGTTGTTTGTATTCAACTCACAGATTTGAACCTTCCTTTAGAGAGAGCAGATTTGAAACACTCTGTTTTTGGAATTTGCAAGTGCAGATTACAAGCGCTTCTAGGCCTATGGCAGAAAAGGAAATATCTTCGTATAAAAACTACACAGAATCATTCTCAACAACTACTTTGTGATGTGTGCGTTCAACTCACAGAGTTTAACCTTTCTTTTCATAGAGCAGTTTGGAAACACTCTGTTTGTAAAGTCTGCAGGTGCTTATTTGGACTTCTTTGAGGCCTTCGTTGGAAACGGGATTTCTTCATATAATGCTAGACAGAAGAATTCTCAGTCACTTCTTTGTGTTGTGTGTATTCAAGTCACAGAGTTGAACCTTCCTTTACACAGAGCAGTTTTGAAAAACTCTTTCTGTGGAATTTGCAAGTGGAGATTTCAAGCGATTTGAGGCTAATCTTTGAAATGGAAATAGCTTCGTGTAAAAACTACACAGAATCATTCTCAGAAACTGCTTTGTTATGTGTGCGTTCAGCTCACAGAGTTCCACCTTTCTTTTCATAGAGCAGTTTGGAAAGACTCTGTTTGTAAAGTCTGCAAGTGATTACTTGGACCCCTTTGAGGACTTCGTTGGAAGCGGGATTTTTTCATTTACTGCTAGACAGAAGAATTCTCAGTAAATCCTTTGTGTTGTGTGTATTCAACACACAGAGTGGAACCTTCCTTTATTCAGAGCAGTTTTGAAACACTGTTTTTGTGGAATTTGCAAGTGGAGATTTCAAGCGAATTCACGCCAATCTTAGACATGGAAACATCTTCGTATTAAAAGTACACAGAGTCATTCGCAGAAACTAGTTTGTGATCTGTGCGTTCAACTCACAGAGTTTAACCTTTCTTTTCATAGAGCAGTTTGGAAACACTCTGTTTGTAAAGTCTGCAGGTGCTTATTTGGACTTCTTTGAGGCCTTCGTTGGAAACGGGATTTCTTCATATAATGCTAGACAGAAGAATTCTCAGTCACTTCTTTGTGTTGTGTGTATTCAAGTCACAGAGTTGAACCTTCCTTTACACAGAGCAGTTTTGAAAAACTCTTTCTGTGGAATTTGCAAGTGGAGATTTCAAGCGATTTGAGGCTAATCTTTGAAATGGAAATATCTTCGTGTAAAAACTACACAGAATCATTCTCAGAAACTGCTTTGTTATGTGTGCGTTCAGCTCACAGAGTTCCACCTTTCTTTTCATAGAGCAGTTTGGAAAGACTCTGTCTGTAAAGTCTGCAAGTGATTACTTGGACCCCTTTGAGGACTTCGTTGGAAGCGGGATTTTTTCATTTACTGCTAGACAGAAGAATTCTCAGTAAATCCTTTGTGTTGTGTGTATTCAACTCACAGAGTGGAACCTTCCTTTATTCAGAGCAGTTTTGAAACACTCTTTTTGTGGAATTTGCAAGTGGAGATTTCAAGCGAATTCACGCCAATCTTAGACATGGAAACATCTTCGTATTAAAAGTACACAGAGTCATTCGCAGAAACTAGTTTGTGATGTGTGCCTTTAACTCACGGAGTTTAACCTTTCTTTTCATAGAGCAGTTTGGAAACACTCTATTTGTAAAATCTGCAAGTGGATATTTGGACCTCTTTGAGGCCTTCGTTGGAAACGGGATTTCTTCATATAACGCTAGACAGAAGAATTCTCAGTAACTTCTTTGTGTTGTTTGCATTCAACTCACAGATTTGAACCTTCCTTTAGAGAGAGCAGATTTGAAACACTCTGTTTTTGGAATTTGCAAGTGCAGATTGCAAGCGCTTCTAGGCCTATGGCAGAAAAAGAAATATCTTCGTATAAAAACTACACAGAATCATTCTCAACAACTACTTTGTGATGTGTGCGTTCAACTCACAGAGTTTAACCTTTCTTTTCATAGAGCAGTTTGGAAACACTCTGTTTGTAAAGTCTGCAGGTGCTTATTTGGACTTCTTTGAGGCCTTCGTTGGAAACGGGATTTCTTCATATAATGCTAGACAGAAGAATTCTCAGTCACTTCTTTGTGTTGTGTGTATTCAAGTCACAGAGTTGAACCTTCCTTTACACAGAGCAGTTTTGAAAAACTCTTTCTGTGGAATTTGCAAGTGGAGATTTCAAGCGATTTGAGGCTAATCTTTGAAATGGAAATATCTTCGTGTAAAAACTACACAGAATCATTCTCAGAAACTGCTTTGTTATGTGTGCGTTCAGCTCACAGAGTTCCACCTTTCTTTTCGTAGAGCAGTTTGGAAAGACTCTGTCTGTAAAGTCTGCAAGTGATTACTTGGACCCCTTTGAGGACTTCGTTGGAAGCGGGATTTTTTCATTTACTGCTAGACAGAAGAATTCTCAGTAAATCCTTTGTGTTGTGTGTATTCAACTCACAGAGTGGAACCTTCCTTTATTCAGAGCAGTTTTGAAACACTCTTTTTGTGGAATTTGCAAGTGGAGATTTCAAGCGAATTCACGCCAATCTTAGACATGGAAACATCTTCGTATTAAAAGTACACAGAGTCATTCGCAGAAACTAGTTTGTGATGTGTGCCTTCAACTCACAGTTTAACCTTTCTTTTCATAGAGCAGTTTGGAAACACTCTATTTGTAAAGTCTGCAAGTGGATATTTGGACCTCTTTGAGGCCTTCGTTGGAAACGGGATTTCTTCATATAACGCTAGACAGAAGAATTCTCAGTAACTTCTTTGTGTTGTGTGTATTCCACTCACAGAGTTGAACCTTTCTTGAGAGAGAGCAGAGTTGAAACACTCTGTTTGTGGAATTTGCTAGTGCAGATTTCAAATGCTTCGAAGACAGTGATAGAAAAGGATATATCTTCGTATTAAAACTAGACAAAATCATTCTCAGAAAACACTTTGTGATGTGTGTGTTCAACTCACAGAGTTTAACCTTTCTTTAATCGAGCAGTTTGGAAATACACTCTTTGTAAGTCTGCAGCTGGATAATTGTCCCTCTATGAGCCCTTCGTTGGAAACGGGATTTCCTCATATAATGCTAGACAGAAGAATCCTCAGTAACTTCTTTGTGTTGTTTGTATTCAACTCACAGATTTGAACCTTCCTTTAGAGAGAGCAGATTTGAAACACTCTGGTTTTGGAATTTGCAAGTGCAGATTACAAGCGCTTCTAGGCCTATGGCAGAAAAGGAAATATCTTCGTATAAAAACTACACAGAATCATTCTCAACAACTACTTTGTGATGTGTGCGTTCAACTCACAGAGTTTAACCTTTCTTTTCATAGAGCAGTTTGGAAACACTCTGTTTGTAAAGTCTGCAGGTGCTTATTTGGACTTCTTTGAGGCCTTCGTTGGAAACGGGATTTCTTCATATAATGCTAGACAGAAGAATTCTCAGTCACTTCTTTGTGTTGTGTGTATTCAAGTCACAGAGTTGAACCTTCCTTTACACAGAGCAGTTTTGAAAAACTCTTTCTGTGGAATTTGCAAGTGGAGATTTCAAGCGATTTGAGGCTAATCTTTGAAATGGAAATATCTTCGTGTAAAAACTACACAGAATCATTGTCAGAAACTGCTTTGTTATGTTTGCGTTCAGCTCACAGAGTTCCACCTTTGTTTTCATAGAGCAGTTTGGAAAGACTCTGTCTGTAAAGTCTGCAAGTGATTACTTGGACCCCTTTGAGGACTTCGTTGGAAGCGGGATTTTTTCATTTACTGCTAGACAGAAGAATTCTCAGTAAATCCTTTGTGTTGTGTGTATTCAACTCACAGAGTGGAACCTTCCTTTATTCAGAGCAGTTTTGAAACACTCTTTTTGTGGAATTTGCAAGTGGAGATTTCAAGCGAATTCACGCCAATCTTAGACATGGAAACATCTTCGTATTAAAAGTACACAGAGTCATTCGCAGAAACTAGTTTGAGATGTGTGCCTTCAACTCACAGAGTTTAACCTTTCTTTTCATAGAGCAGTTTGGAAACACTCTATTTGTAAAGTCTGCAAGTGGATATTTGGACCTCTTTGAGGCCTTCGTTGGAAACGGGATTTCTTCATATAACGCTAGACAGAAGAATTCTCTGTAACTTCTTTGTGTTGTGTGTATTCCACTCACAGAGTTGAACCTTTCTTGAGAGAGAGCAGAGTGGAAACACTCTGTTTGTGGAATTTGCTAGTGCAGATTTCAAACGCTTCGAAGACAGTGATAGAAAAGGATATATCTTCGTATTAAAACTAGACAAAATCATTCTCAGAAAACACTTTGTGATGTGTGTGTTCAACTCACAGAGTTTAACCTTTCTTTAATCGAGCAGTTTGGAAATACACTCTTTGTAAGTCTGCAGGTGGATAATTGTCCCTCTATGAGCCCTTCGTTGGAAACGGGATTTCCTCATATAATGCTAGACAGAAGAATTCTCAGTAACTTCTTTGTGTTGTTTGTATTCAACTCACAGATTTGAACCTTCCTTTAGAGAGAGCAGATTTGAAACACTCTGGTTTTGGAATTTGCAAGTGCAGATTACAAGCGCTTCTAGGCCTATGGCAGAAAAGGAAATATCTTCGTATTAAAACTACACAGAATCATTCTCAACAACTACTTTGTGATGTGTGCGTTCAACTCACAGAGTTTAACCTTTCTTTTCATAGAGCAGTTTGGAAACACTCTGTTTGTAAAGTCTGCAGGTGCTTATTTGGACTTCTTTGAGGCCTTCGTTGGAAACGGGATTTCTTCATATAATGCTAGACAGAAGAATTCTCAGTCACTTCTTTGTGTTGTGTGTATTCAAGTCACAGAGTTGAACCTTCCTTTACACAGAGCAGTTTTGAAAAACTCTTTCTGTGGAATTTGCAAGTGGAGATTTCAAGCGATTTGAGGCTAATCTTTGAAATGGAAATATCTTCGTGTAAAAACTACACAGAATCATTGTCAGAAACTGCTTTGTTATGTGTGCGTTCAGCTCACAGAGTTCCACCTTTCTTTTCATAGAGCAGTTTGGAAAGACTCTGTCTGTAAAGTCGGCAAGTGATTACTTGGACCCCTTTGAGGACTTCGTTGGAAGCAGGATTTTTTCATTTACTGCTAGACAGAAGAATTCTCAGTAAGTCCTTCGTGTTGTGTGTATTCAACTCACAGAGTGGAACCTTCCTTTATTCAGAGCAGTTTTGAAACACTCTTTTTGTGGAATTTGCAAGTGGAGATTTCAAGCGAATTCACGCCAATCTTAGACATGGAAACATCTTCGTATTAAAAGTACACAGAGTCATTCGCAGAAACTACTTTGTGATGTGTGCCTTCAACTCACAGAGTTTAACCTTTCTTTTCATAGAGCAGTTTGGAAACACTCTATTTGTAAAGTCTGCAAGTGGATATTTGGACCTCTTTGAGGCCTTCGTTGAAAACGGGATTTCTTCATGTAACGCTAGACAGAAGAATTCTCAGTAACTTCTTTGTGTTGTGTGTATTCAACTCACAGAGTTGAACCTTTCTTTAGAGGGAGCAGAGGTGAAACACTCTTTTTGTGGAATTTCCTAGTGTAGATTTCAAACGCTTCGAAGACAGTGATAGAAAAGGATGTATCTTCGTATTAAAAGTAGACAAAATCATTCTCAGAAAACTCTTTGTGATGTGTGTGTTCAACTCACAGCAGTTTAACCTTTCTTTAATCGAGCAGTTTGGAAATACACTCTTTGTAAGTCTGCAGGTGGATATTTGGCCCTCTTTGAGCCCTTCGTTGGAAACGGGATTTCCTCATATAATGCTAGACAGAAGAATTCTCAGTAACTTCTTTGTGTTGTTTGTATTCAACACACAGATTTGAACCTTCCTTTAGAGAGAGCAGATTTGAAACACTCTGTTTTTGGAATTTGCAAGTGCAGATTTCAAGCGCTTCTAGGCCTATGGCAGAAAAGGAAATATCTTCGTATAAAAACTACACAGAATCATTCTCAACAACTACTTTGTGATGTGTGCGTTCAACTCACAGAGTTTAACCTTTCTTTTCATAGAGCAGTTTGGAAACACTCTGTTTGTAAAGCCTGCAAGTGCTTTTTTGGACTTCATTGAGGCCTTCGTTGGAAACGGGATTTCTTCATATAATGCTAGACAGAAGAATTCTCAGTCACTTGTTTGTGTTGTGTGTATTCAAGTCACAGAGTTGAACCTTCCTTTAGACAGAGCAGTTTTGAAAAAT
Source organism: Homo sapiens (assembly GCF_000001405.40). Lineage (NCBI taxonomy): Eukaryota > Metazoa > Chordata > Mammalia > Primates > Hominidae > Homo > Homo sapiens. The sequence goes on from NC_000010.11 coordinate 40,185,457, forward strand.
TCTTTCTGTGGAGTTTGCAAGTGGAGATTTCAAGCGATTTGAGGCTAATCTTTGAAATGGAAATATCTTCGTGTAAAAACTACACAGAATCATTCTCAGAAACTGCTTTGTCATCTGTGCGTTCAGTTCACAGAGTTTCACCTTTCTCTTCATAGAGCAGTTTGGAAAGACTCTGTCTGTAAAGTCTGCAAGTGATTAGTTAGACCCCTTTGAGGCCTTCGTTGGAAGCGGGATTTCTCATTTACTGCTAGACAGAAGAATTCTCAGTAAATCCTTTGTGTTGTGTGTATTCAACTCACAGAGTGGAACCTTCCTTTATTCAGAGCAGTTTTGAAACACTCTTTTTGTGGAATTTGCAAGTGGAGATTTCAAGCGATTTGACGCCAATCTTAGACATGGAAATATCTTCATATTAAAAGTACACAGAATCATTCTCAGAAACTGCTTTATTATCTGTGCGTTCAGTTCACAGAGTTTCACCTTTCTCTTCATAGAGCAGTTTGGAAAGACTCTGTCTGTAAAGTCCACAAGTGATTAGTTAGACCCCTTTGAGGCCTTCGTTGGAAGCGGGATTTCCCATTTACTGCTAGACAGAAGAATTCTCAGTAAATCCTTTGTGTTCTGTTTATTCAACTCACAGAGTGGAACCTTCCTTTATTCAGAGCAGTTTTGAAAAACACTTTTTGTGGAATTTGCAAGTGGAGATTTCAAGCGATTTGACGCCAATCTTAGACATGGAAATATCTTCATATTAAAAGTACACAGAGTCATTCATAAAAACTAGTTTGTGATGTGTGCCTTCAACTCACAGAGTTTAACCTTTCTTTTCATAGAGCAGTTTGGAAACACTCTATTTGTAAAGTCTGCAAGTGGATATTTGGACCTCTTTGAGGCCTTCGTTGGAAACGGGATTTCTTCATACAACGCTAGACAGAAGAATTCTCAGTAAATCCTTTGTGTTGTGTGTATTCAACTCACAGAGTGGAACCTTCCTTTATTCAGAGCAGTTTTGAAAAACACTTTTTGTGGAATTTCCAAGTGGAGATTTCAAGCGATTTGACGCCAATCTTAGACATGGACATATCTTCATATTAAAAGTACACAGAGTCATTCGTAGAAACTAGTTTGTGATGTGTGCCTTCAACTCACAGAGTTTAACCTTTCTTTTCATAGAGCAGTTTGGAAACACTCTATTTGTAAAGCCTGCAATTGCTTTTTTGGACTTCATTGAGGCCTTCGTTGGAAACGGGATTTCTTCATATAATGCTAGACAGAAGAATTCTCAGTAACTTCTTTGTGTTGTGTGTATTCAAGTCACAGAGTTGAACTTTCCTTTAGACAGAGCAGTTTTGAAAAATTCTTTCTGTGGAGTTTGCAAGTGGAGATTTCAAGCGATTTGAGGCTAATCTTTGAAATGGAAATATCTTCGTGTAAAAACTACACAGAATCATTCTCAGAAACTGCTTTGTCATCTGTGCGTTCAGTTCACAGAGTTTCACCTTTCTCTTCATAGAGCAGTTTGGAAAGACTCTGTCTGTAAAGTCTGCAAGTGATTAGTTAGACCCCTTTGAGGCCTTCGTTGGAAGCGGGATTTCTCATTTACTGCTAGACAGAAGAATTCTCAGTAAATCCTTTGTGTTGTGTGTATTCAACTCACAGAGTGGAACCTTCCTTTATTCAGAGCAGTTTTGAAACACTCTTTTTGTGGAATTTGCAAGTGGAGATTTCAAGCGATTTGACGCCAATCTTAGACATGGAAATATCTTCATATTAAAAGTACACAGAGTCATTCGTAGAAACTAGTTTGTGATGTGTGCCTTCAACTCACAGAGTTTAACCTTTCTTTTCATAGAGCAGTTGGGAAACACTCTACTTGTAAAGTCTGCAAGTGGATATTTGGACCTCTTTGAGGCCTTCGTTGGAAACGGGATTTCTTCATATAACGCTAGACAGAAGAATTCTCAGTAACTTCTTTGTGTTGTGTGTATTCAACTCACAGAGTTGAACCTTTCTTTAGAGGGAGCAGAGGTGAAACACTCTTTTTGTGGAATTTGCTAGTGTAGATTTCAAACGCTTCGAAGACAGTGATAGAAAAGGATATATCTTCGTATTAAAAGTAGACAAAATCATTCTCAGAAAACTCTTTGTGATGTGTGTGTTCAACTCACAGAGTTTAACCTTTCTTTAATCGAGCAGTTTGGAAATACACTCTTTGTAAGTCTGCAGGTGGATATTTGGCCCTCTTTGAGCCCTTCGTTGGAAACGGGATTTCCTCATATAATGCTAGACAGAAGAATTCTCAGTAACTTCTTTGTGTTGCTTGTATTCAACACACAGATTTGAACCTTCCTTTAGAGAGAGCAGATTTGAAACACTCTGTTTTTGGAATTTGCAAGTGCAGATTTCAAGCGCTTCTAGGCCTATGGCAGAAAAGGAAATATCTTCGTATAAAAACTACACAGAATCATTCTCAACAACTACTTTGTGATGTGTGCGTTCAACTCACAGAGTTTAACCTTTCTTTTCATAGAGCAGTTTGGAAACACTCTGTTTGTAAAGTCTGCAGGTGCTTATTTGGACTTCTTTGAGGCCTTCGTTGGAAACGGGATTTCTTCATGTAATGCTAGACAGAAGAATTCTCAGTCACTTCTTTGTGTTGTGTGTATTCAAGTCACAGAGTTGAACCTTCCTTTACACAGAGCAGTTTTGAAAAACTCTTTCTGTGGAATTTGCAAGTGGAGATTTCAAGCGATTTGAGGCTAATCTTTGAAATGGAAATAGCTTCGTGTAAAAACTACACAGAATCATTCTCAGAAACTGCTTTGTTATGTGTGCGTTCAGCTCACAGAGTTCCACCTTTCTTTTCATAGAGCAGTTTGGAAAGACTCTGTCTGTAAAGTCTGCAAGTGATTACTTGGACCCCTTTGAGGACTTCGTTGGAAGCGGGATTTTTTCATTTACTGCTAGACAGAAGAATTCTCAGTAAATCCTTTGTGTTGTGTGTATTCAACTCACAGAGTGGAACCTTCCTTTATTCAGAGCAGTTTTGAAACACTCTTTTTGTGGAATTTGCAAGTGGAGATTTCAAGCGAATTCACGCCAATCTTAGACATGGAAACATCTTCGTATTAAAAGTACACAGAGTCATTCGCAGAAACTAGTTTGTGATGTGTGCCTTCAACTCACGGAGTTTAACCTTTCTTTTCATAGAGCAGTTTGGAAACACTCTATTTGTAAAGTCTGCAAGTGGATATTTGGACCTCTTTGAGGCCTTCGTTGGAAACGGGATTTCTTCATATAACGCTAGACAGAAGAATTCTCAGTAACTTCTTTGTGTTGTGTGTATTCCACTCACAGAGTTGAACCTTTCTTGAGAGAGAGCAGAGTTGAAACACTCTGTTTGGGGAATTTGCTAGTGCCGATTTCAAACGCTTCGAAGACTGTGATAGAAAAGGATATATCTTCGTATTAAAACTAGACAAAATCATTCTCAGAAAACACTTTGTGATGTGTGTGTTCAACTCACAGAGTTTAACCTTTCTTTAATCGAGCAGTTTGGAAATACACTCTTTGTAAGTCTGCAGCTGGATAATTGTCCCTCTATGAGCCCTTCGTTGGAAACGGGATTTCCTCTTATAATGCTAGACAGAAGAATTCTCAGTAACTTCTTTGTGTTGTTTGTATTCAACTCACAGATTTGAACCTTCCTTTAGAGAGAGCAGATTTGAAACACTCTGTTTTTGGAATTTGCAAGTGCAGATTACAAGCGCTTCTAGGCCTATGGCAGAAAAGGAAATATCTTCGTATAAAAACTACACAGAATCATTCTCGACAACTACTTTGTGATGTGTGCGTTCAACTCACAGAGTTTAACCTTTCTTTTCATAGAGCAGTTTGGAAACACTCTGTTTGTAAAGTCTGCAGGTGCTTATTTGGACTTCTTTGAGGCCTTCGTTGGAAACGGGATTTCTTCATATAATGCTAGACAGAAGAATTCTCAGTCACTTCTTTGTGTTGTGTGTATTCAAGTCACAGAGTTGAACCTTCCTTTACACAGAGCAGTTTTGAAAAACTCTTTCTGTGGAATTTGCAAGTGGAGATTTCAAGCGATTTGAGGCTAATCTTTGAAATGGAAATATCTTCGTGTAAAAACTACACAGAATCATTCTCAGAAACTGCTTTGTTATGTGTGCGTTCAGCTCACAGAGTTCCACCTTTCTTTTCATAGAGCAGTTTGGAAAGACTCTGTCTGTAAAGTCTGCAAGTGATTACTTGGACCCCTTTGAGGACTTCGTTGGAAGCGGGAATTTTTCATTTACTGCTAGACAGAAGAATTCTCACTAAATCCTTTGTGTTGTGTGTATTCAACTCACAGAGTGGAACCTTCCTTTATTCAGAGCACTTTTGAAACACTCTTTTTGTGGAATTTGCAAGTGGAGATTTCAAGCGAATTCACGCCAATCTTAGACATGGAAACATCTTCGTATTAAAAGTACACAGAGTCATTCGCAGAAACTAGTTTGTGATGTGTGCCTTCAACTCACAGAGTTTAACCTTTCTTTTCATAGAGCAGTTTGGAAACACTCTATTTGTAAAGTCTGCAAGTGGATATTTGGACCTCTTTGAGGCCTTCGTTGGAAACGGGATTTCTTCATATAACGCTAGACAGAAGAATTCTCAGTAACTTCTTTGTGTTGTGTGTATTCCACTCACAGAGTTGAACCTTTCTTGAGAGAGAGCAGAGTTGAAACACTCTGTTTGTGGAATTTGCTAGTGCAGATTTCAAACGCTTCGAAGACAGTGATAGAAAAGGATATATCTTCGTATTAAAACTAGACAAAATCATTCTCAGAAAACACTTTGTGATGTGTGTGTTCAACTCACAGAGTTTAACCTTTCTTTAATCGAGCAGTTTGGAAATACACTCTTTGTAAGTCTGCAGCTGGATAATTGTCCCTCTATGAGCCCTTCGTTGGAAACGGGATTTCCTCATATAATGCTAGACAGAAGAACTCTCAGTAACTTCTTTGTGTTGTTTGTATTCAACTCACAGATTTGAACCTTCCTTTGGAGAGAGCAGATTTGAAACACTCCGTTTTTGGAATTTGCAAGTGCAGATTGCAAGCGCTTCTAGGCCTATGGCAGAAAAGGAAATATCTTCGTATAAAAACTACACAGAATCATTCTCAACAACTACTTTGTGATGTGTGCGTTCAGCTCACAGAGTTTAACCTTTCTTTTCATAGAGCAGTTTGGAAACACTCTGTTTGTAAAGTCTGCAGGTGCTTATTTGGACTTCTTTGAGGCCTTCGTTGGAAACGGGATTTCTTCATATAATGCTAGACAGAAGAATTCTCAGTCACTTCTTTGTGTTGTGTGGATTCAAGTCACAGAGTTGAACCTTCCTTTACACAGAGCAGTTTTGAAAAACTCTTTCTGTGGAATTTGCAAGTGGAGATTTCAAGCGATTTGAGGCTAATCTTTGAAATGGAAATATCTTCGTGTAAAAACTACACAGAATCATTCTCAGAAACTGCTTTGTTATGTGTGCGTTCAGCTCACAGAGTTCCACCTTTCTTTTCATAGAGCAGTTTGGAAAGACTCTGTCTGTAAAGTCTGCAAGTGATTACTTGGACCCCTTTGAGGACTTCGTTGGAAGCGGGATTTTTTCATTTACTGCTAGACAGAAGAATTCTCAGTAAATCCTTTGTGTTGTGTGTATTCAACTCACAGAGTGGAACCTTCCTTTATTCAGAGCAGTTTTGAAACACTCTTTTTGTGGAATTTGCAAGTGGAGATTTCAAGCGAATTCACGCCAATCTTAGACATGGAAACATCTTCGTATTAAAAGTACACAGAGTCATTCGCAGAAACTAGTTTGTGATGTGTGCCTTCAACTCACGGAGTTTAACCTTTCTTTTCATAGAGCAGTTTGGAAACACTCTATTTGTAAAGTCTGCAAGTGGATATTTGGACCTCTTTGAGGCCTTCGTTGGAAACGGGATTTCTTCATATAACGCTAGACAGAAGAATTCTCAGTAACTTCTTTGTGTTGTGTGTATTCAACTCACAGAGTTGAACCTTTCTTGAGAGAGAGCAGAGTTGAAACACTCTGTTTGTGGAATTTCCTAGTGCAGATTTCAAACGCTTCGAAGACAGTGATAGAAAAGGATATATCTTCGTATTAAAACTAGACAAAATCATTCTCAACAACGACTTTGTGATGTGTGCGTTCAACTCACAGAGTTTAACCTTTCTTTTCATAGAGCAGTTTGGAAACACTCTGTTTGTAAAGCCTGCAAGTGCTTTTTTGGACTTCATTGAGGCCTTCGTTGGAAACGGGATTTCTTCATGTAATGCTAGACAGAAGAATTCTCAGTCACTTCTTTGTGTTGTGTGTATTCAAGTCACAGAGTTGAACCTTCCTTTAGACAGAGCAGTTTTGAAAAGTTCTTTCTGTGTAATTTGCAAGTGGAGATTTCAAGCGATTTGAGGCTAATCTTTGAAATGGAAATATCTTTCGTGTAAAAACTACACAGAATCATTCTCAGAAACTGCTTTCTTATGTGTGCGTTCAGCTCACAGAGTTCCACCTTTCTTTTCATAGAACAGTTTGGAAAGACTCTGTCTGTAAAGTCTGCAACTGATTACTTGGACCACTTTGAGGACTTCGTTGGAAGCGGGATTTTTTCATTTACTGCTAGACAGAAGAATTCTCAGTAAATCCTTTGTGTTGTGTGTATTCAACTCACAGAGTGGAACCTTCCTTTATTCAGAGCAGTTTTGAAAAACACTTTTTGTGGAATTTGCAAGTGGAGATTTCAAGCGATTTGACGCCAATCTTAGACATGGAAATATCTTCATATTAAAAGTACACAGAGTCATTCGTAGAAACTAGTTTGTGATGTGTGCCTTCAACTCACAGAGTTTAACCTTTCTTTTCATAGAGCAGTTTGGAAACACTCTATTTGTAAAGTCTGCAAGTGGATATTTGGGACCTCTTTGAGGCCTTCGTTGGAAACGGGATTTCTTCATACAACGCTAGACAGAAGAATTCTCAGTAACTTCTTTGTGTTGTTTGTATTCAACACACAGATTTGAACCTTCCTTTAGAGAGAGCAGATTTGAAACACTCTGTTTTTGGAATTTGCAAGTGCAGATTTCAAGCGCTTCTAGGCCTATGGCAGAAAAGGAAATATCTTCGTAGAAAAACTACACAGAATCATTCTCAACAACTACTTTGTGATGTGTGCGTTCAACTCACAAAGTTTAACCTTTCTTTTCATAGAGAAGTTTGGAAACACTCTGTTTGTAAAGCCTGCAATTGCTTTTTTGGACTTCATTGAGGCCTTCGTTGGAAACGGGATTTCTTCATATAATGCTAGACAGAAGAATTCTCAGTAAATCCTTTGTGTTGTGTTTATTCAACTCACAGAGTGGAACCTTCCTTTATTCAGAGCAGTTTTGAAACTCTCTTTTTGTGGAATTTGCAAGTGGAGATTTCAAGCGATTTGACGCCAATCTTAGACATGGAAATATCTTCATATTAAAAGTACACAGAATCATTCGTAGAAACTAGTTTGTGATGTGTGCCTTCAACTCACAGAGTTTAACCTTTCTTTTCATAGAGCAGTTCGGAAACATTCTATTTGTAAAGTCTGCAAGTGGATATTTGGACCTCTTTGAGGCCTTCGTTGGAAAAGGGATTTCTTCATATAACACTAGACAGAAGAATTCTCAGTAACTTCTTTGTGTTGTGTGTATTCAACTCACAGAGTTGAACCTTTCTTTAGAGAGAGCAGAGTTGAAACACTCTTTTTGTGGAATTTGCTAGTGCAGATTTCAAACGCTTCGAAGACAGTGATAGAAAAGGATATATCTTCGTATTAAAACTAGCCAAAATCATTCTCAGAAAACACTTTGTGATGTGTGTGTTCAACTCACAGAGTTTAACCTTTCTTTAATCGAGCAGTTTGGAAATACACTCTTTGTAAGTCTGCAGCTGGATAATTGTCCCTCTATGAGCCCTTCGTTGGAAACGGGATTTCCTCTTATAATGCTAGACAGAAGAATTCACAGTAACTTCTTTGTGTTGTTTGTATTCAACTCACAGATTTGAACCTTCCTTTAGAGAGAGCAGATTTGAAACACTCTGTTTTTGGAATTTGCAAGTGCAGATTACAAGCGCTTCTAGGCCTATGGCAGAAAAGGAAATATCTTCGTATAAAAACTACACAGAATCATTCTCAACAACTACTTTGTGATGTGTGCGTTCAACTCACAGAGTTTAACCTTTCTTTTCATAGAGCAGTTTGGAAACACTCTGTTTGTAAAGTCTGCAGGTGCTTCTTTGGACTTCTTTGAGGCCTTCGTTGGAAACGGGATTTCTTCATGTAATGCTAGACAGAAGAATTCTCAGTCACTTCTTTGTGTTGTGTGTATTCAAGTCACAGAGTTGAACCTTCCTTTACACAGAGCAGTTTTGAAAAACTCTTTCTGTGGAATTTGCAAGTGGAGATTTCAAGCGATTTGAGGCTAATCTTTGAAATGGAAATAGCTTCGTGTAAAAACTACACAGAATCATTGTCAGAAACTGCTTTGTTATGTGTGCGTTCAGCTCACAGAGTTCCACCTTTCTTTTCATAGAGCAGTTTGGAAAGACTCTGTCTGTAAAGTCTGCAAGTGATTACTTGGACCCCTTTGAGGACTTCGTTGGAAGCGGGATTTTTTCATTTACTGCTAGACAGAAGAATTCTCAGTAAATCCTTTGTGTTGTGTGTATTCAACTCACAGAGTTTAACCTTCCTTTATTCAGAGCACTTTTGAAACACTCTTTTTGTGGAATTTGCAGGTGGAGATTTCAAGCGAATTCACGCCAATCTTAGACATGGAAACATCTTCGTATTAAAAGTACACAGAGTCATTCGCAGAAACTAGTTTGTGATGTGTGCCTTCAACTCACGGAGTTTAACCTTTCTTTTCATAGAGCAGTTTGGAAACACTCTATTTGTAAAGTCTGCAAGTGGATATTTGGACCTCTTTGAGGCCTTCGTTGGAAACGGGATTTCTTCATATAACGCTAGACAGAAGAATTCTCAGTAACTTCTTTGTGTTGTGTGTATTCTACTCACAGAGTTGAACCTTTCTTGAGAGAGAGCCGAGTTGAAACACTCTGTTTGTGGAATTTGCTAGTGCAGATTTCAAACGCTTCGAAGACAGTGATAGAAAAGGATATATCTTCGTATTAAAACTAGACAAAATCATTCTCAGAAAACACTTTGTGATCTGTGTGTTCAACTCACAGAGTTTAACCTTTCCTTAATTGAGCAGTTTGGAAATACCCTCTTTGTAAGTCTGCAAGTGGATAATTGGCCCTCTTTGAGCCCTTCGTTGGAAACGGGATTTCCTCATATAGTGCTAGACAGAAGAATTCTCAGTCACTTCTTTGTGTTGTGTGTATTCAAGTCACAGAGTTGAACCTTCCTTTACACAGAGCAGTTTTGAAAAACTCTTTCTGTGGAATTTGCAAGTGGAGATTTCAAGCGATTTGAGGCTAATCTTTGAAATGGAAATAGCTTCGTGTAAAAACAACACAGAATCATTCTCAGAAACTGCTTTGTTATGTGTGCGTTCAGCTCACAGAGTTCCACCTTTCTTTTCATAGAGCAGTTTGGAAAGACTCTGTCTGTAAAGTCTGCAAGTGATTACTTGGACCCCTTTGAGGACTTCGTTGGAAGCGGGATTTTTTCATTTACTGCTAGACAGAAGAATTCTCAGTAAATCCTTTGTGTTGTGTGTATTCAACTCACAGAGTGGAACCTTCCTTTATTCAGAGCACTTTTGAAACACTCTTTTTGTGGAAATTGCAAGTGGAGATTTCAAGCGAATTCACGCCAATCTTAGACATGGAAACATCTTCGTATTAAAAGTACACAGAGTCATTCGCAGAAACTAGTTTGTGATGTGTGCCTTCAACTCACGGAGTTTAACCTTTCTTTTCATAGAGCAGTTTGGAAACACTCTATTTGTAAAGTCTGCAAGTGGATATTTGGACCTCTTTGAGGCCTTCGTTGGAAACGGGATTTCTTCATATAACGCTAGACAGAAGAATTCTCAGTAACTTCTTTGTGTTGTGTTTATTTCACTCACAGAGTTGAACCTTTCTTGAGAGAGAGCAGAGTTGAAACACTCTGTTTGTGGAATTTGCTAGTGCAGATTTCAAACGCTTCGAAGACAGTGATAGAAAAGGATATATCTTCGTATTAAAACTAGACAAAATCATTCTCAGAAAACACTCTGTGATGTGTGTGTTCAACTCACAGAGTTTAACCTTTCTTTAATCGAGCAGTTTGGAAATACACTCTTTGTAAGTCTGCAGCTGGGTAATTGTCCCTCTATGAGCCCTTCGTTGGAAACGGGATTTCCTCTTATAATGCTAGACAGAAGAATTCTCAGTAACTTCTTTGTGTTGTTTGTATTCAACTCACAGATTTGAACCTTCCTTTAGAGAGAGCAGATTTGAAACACTCTGTTTTTGGAATTTGCAAGTGCAGATTACAAGCGCTTCTAGGCCTATGGCAGAAAAGGAAATATCTTCGTATAAAAACTACACAGAATCATTCTCAACAACTACTTTGTGATGTGTGCGTTCAACTCACAGAGTTTAACCTTTCTTTTCATAGAGCAGTTTGGAAACACTCTGTTTGTAAAGTCTGCAGGTGCTTATTTGGACTTCTTTGAGGCCTTCGTTGGAAACGGGATTTCTTCATGTAATGCTAGACAGAAGAATTCTCAGTCACTTCTTTGTGTTGTGTGTATTCAAGTCACAGAGTTGAACCTTCCTTTACACAGAGCAGTTTTGAAAAACTCTTTCTGTGGAATTTGCAAGTGGAGATTTCAAGCGATTTGAGGCTAATCTTTGAAATGGAAATATCTTCGTGTAAAAACTACACAGAATCATTCTCAGAAACTTCTTTGTTATGTGTGCGTTCAGCTCACAGAGTTCCACCTTTCTTTTCATAGAGCAGTTTGGAAAGACTCTGTCTGTAAAGTCTGCAAGTGATTACTTGGACCCCTTTGAGGACTTCGTTGGAAGCGGGATTTTTTCATTTACTGCTAGACAGAAGAATTCTCAGTAAATCCTTTGTGTTGTGTGTATTCAACTCACAGAGTGGAACCTTCCTTTATTCAGAGCAGTTTTGAAACACTCTTTTTGTGGAATTTGCAAGTGGAGATTTCAAGCGAATTCACGCCAATCTTAGACATGGAAACATCTTCGTATTAAAAGTACACAGAGTCATTCGCAGAAACTAGTTTGTGATGTGTGCCTTCAACTCACGGAGTTTAACCTTTCTTTTCATAGAGCAGTTTGGAAACACTCTATTTGTAAAGTCTGCAAGTGGATATTTGGACCTCTTTGAGGCCTTCGTTGGAAACGGGATTTCTTCATATAACGCTAGACAGAAGAATTCTCAGTAACTTCTTTGTGTTGTGTGTATTCCACTCACAGAGTTGAACCTTTCTTGAGAGAGAGCAGAGTTGAAACACTCTGTTTGTGGAATTTGCTAGTGCAGATTTCAAACGCTTCGAAGACAGTGATAGAAAAGGATATATCTTCGTATTAAAACTAGACAAAATCATTCTCAGAAAACACTTTGTGATGTGTGTGTTCAACTCACAGAGTTTAACCTTTCTTTAATCGAGCAGTTTGGAAATACACTCTTTGTAAGTCTGCAGCTGGATAATTGTCCCTCTATGAGCCCTTCGTTGGAAACGGGATTTCCTCATATAATGCTAGACAGAAGAATTCTCAGTAACTTCTTTGTGTTGTTTGTATTCAACTCACAGATTTGAACCTTCCTTTAGAGAGAGCAGATTTGAAACACTCTGGTTTTGGAATTTGCAAGTGCAGATTACAAGCGCTTCTAGGCCTATGGCAGAAAAGGAAATATCTTCGTATAAAAACTACACAGAATCATTCTCAACAACTACTTTGTGATGTGTGCGTTCAACTCACAGAGTTTAACCTTTCTTTTCATAGAGCAGTTTGGAAACACTCTGTTTGTAAAGTCTGCCGGTGCTTATTTGGACTTCTTTGAGGCCTTCGTTGGAAACGGGATTTCTTCATATAATGCTAGACAGAAGAATTCTCAGTCACTTCTTTGTGTTGTGTGTATTCAAGTCACAGAGTTGAACCTTCCTTTACACAGAGCAGTTTTGAAAAACTCTTTCTGTGGAATTTGCAAGTGGAGATTTCAAGCGATTTGAGGCTAATCTTTGAAATGGAAATATCTTCGTGTAAAAACTACACAGAATCATTCTCAGAAACTGCTTTGTTATGTGTGCGTTCAGCTCACAGAGTTCCACCTTTCTTTTCATAGAGCAGTTTGGAAAGACTCTGTCTGTAAAGTCTGCAAGTGATTACTTGGACCCCTTTGAGGACTTCGTTGGAAGCGGGATTTTTTCATTTACTGCTAGACAGAAGAATTCTCAGTAAATCCTTTGTGTTGTGTGTATTCAACTCACAGAGTGGAACCTTCCTTTATTCAGAGCAGTTTTGAAACACTCTTTTTGTGGAATTTGCAAGTGGAGATTTCAAGCGAATTCACGCCAATCTTAGACATGGAAACATCTTCGTATTAAAAGTACACAGAGTCATTCGCAGAAACTAGTTTGTGATGTGTGCCTTCAACTCACGGAGTTTAACCTTTCTTTTCATAGAGCAGTTTGGAAACACTCTATTTGTAAAGTCTGCAAGTGGATATTTGGACCTCTTTGAGGCCTTCGTTGGAAACGGGATTTCTTCATATAACGCTAGACAGAAGAATTCTCAGTAACTTCTTTGTGTTGTGTGTATTCCACTCACAGAGTTGAACCTTTCTTGAGAGAGAGCAGAGTGGAAACACTCTGTTTGTGGAATTTGCTAGTGCAGATTTCAAACGCTTCGAAGACAGTGATAGAAAAGGATATATCTTCGTATTAAAACTAGACAAAATCATTCTCAGAAAACACTTTGTGATGTGTGTGTTCAACTCACAGAGTTTAACCTTTCTTTAATCGAGCAGTTTGGAAATACACTCTTTGTAAGTCTGCAGCTGGATAATTGTCCCTCTATGAGCCCTTCGTTGGAAACAGGATTTCCTCTTATAATGCTAGACAGAAGAATTCTCAGTAACTACTTTGTGTTGTTTGTATTCAACTCACAGATTGAACCTTCCTTTAGAGAGAGCAGATTTGTAACACTCTGTTTTTGGAATTTGCAAGTGCAGATTACAAGCGCTTCTAGGCCTATGGCAGAAAAGGAAATATCTTCGTATAAAAACTACACAGAATCATTCTCAACAACTACTTTGTGATGTGTGCGTTCAACTCACAGAGTTTAACCTTTCTTTTCATAGAGCAGTTTGGAAACACTCTGTTTGTAAAGTCTGCAGGTGCTTATTTGGACTTCTTTGAGGCCTTCGTTGGAAACGGGATTTCTTCATATAATGCTAGACAGAAGAATTCTCAGTCACTTCTTTGTGTTGTGTGTATTCAAGTCACAGAGTTGAACCTTCCTTTACACAGAGCAGTTTTGAGAAACTCTTTCTGTGGAATTTGCAAGTGGAGATTTCAAGCGATTTGAGGCTAATCTTTGAAATGGAAATATCTTCGTGTAAAAACTACACAGAATCATTCTCAGAAACTGCTTTGTTATGTGTGCGTTCAGCTCACAGAGTTCCACCTTTCTTTTCATAGAGCAGTTTGGAAAGACTCCGTCTGTAAAGTCTGCAAATGATTACTTGGACCCCTTTGAGGACTTCGTTGGAAGCGGGATTTTTTCATTTACTGCTAGACAGAAGAATTCTCAGTAAATCCTTTGTGTTGTGTGTATTCAACTCACAGAGTGGAACCTTCCTTTATTCAGAGCAGTTTTGAAACACTCTTTTGGTGGAATTTGCAAGTGGAGATTTCAAGCGAATTCACGCCAATCTTAGACATGGAAACATCTTCGTATTAAAAGTACACAGAGTCATTCGCAGAAACTAGTTTGTGATGTGTGCCTTCAACTCACGGAGTTTAACCTTTCTTTTCATAGAGCAGTTTGGAAACACTCTATTTGTAAAGTCTGCAAGTGGATATTTGGACCTCTTTGAGGCCTTCGTTGGAAACGGGATTTCTTCATATAACGCTAGACAGAAGAATTCTCAGTAACTTCTTTGTGTTGTGTGTATTCCACTCACAGAGTTGAACCTTTCTTGAGAGAGAGCAGAGTTGAAACACTCTGTTTGTGGAATTTGCTAGTGCAGATTTCAAACGCTTCGAAGACAGTGATAGAAAAGGATATATCTTCGTATTAAAACTAGACAAAATCATTCTCAGAAAACACTTTGTGATGTGTGTGTTCAACTCACAGAGTTTAACCTTTCTTTAATCGAGCAGTTTGGAAATACACTCTTTGTAAGTCTGCAGCTGGATAATTGTCCCTCTATGAGCCCTTCGTTGGAAACGGGATTTCCTCTTATAATGCTAGACAGAAGAATTCTCAGTAACTTCTTTGTGTTGTTTGTATTCAACTCACAGATTTGAACCTTCCTTTAGAGAGAGCAGATTTGAAACACTCTGGTTTTGGAATTTGCAAGTGCAGATTACAAGCGCTTCTAGGCCTATGGCAGAAAAGGAAATATCTTCGTATAAAAACTACACAGAATCATTCTCAACAACTACTTTGTGATGTGTGCGTTCAACTCACAGAGTTTAACCTTTCTTTTCATAGAGCAGTTTGGAAACACTCTGTTTGTAAAGTCTGCAGGTGCTTATTTGGACTTCTTTGAGGCCTTCGTTGGAAACGGGATTTCTTCATATAATGCTAGACAGAAGAATTCTCAGTCACTTCTTTGTGTTGTGTGTATTCAAGTCACAGAGTTGAACCTTCCTTTACACAGAGCAGTTTTGAAAAACTCTTTCTGTGGAATTTGCAAGTGGAGATTTCAAGCGATTTGAGGCTAATCTTTGAAATGGAAATATCTTCGTGTAAAAACTACACAGAATCATTCTCAGAATCTGCTTTGTTATGTGTGCGTTCAGCTCACAGAGTTCCACCTTTCTTTTCATAGAGCAGTTTGGAAAGACTCTGTCTGTAAAGTCTGCAAGTGATTACTTGGACCCCTTTGAGGACTTCGTTGGAAGCGGGATTTTTTCATTTACTGCTAGACAGAAGAATTCTCAGTAAATCCTTTGTGTTGTGTGTATTCAACTCACAGAGTGGAACCTTCCTTTATTCAGAGCAGTTTTGAAACACTCTTTTTGTGGAATTTGCAAGTGGAGATTTCAAGCGATTTGACGCCAATCTTAGACATGGAAATATCTTCATATTAAAAGTACACAGAGTCATTCGTAGAAACTAGTTTGTGATGTGTGCCTTCAACTCACAGAGTTTAACCTTTCTTTTCATAGAGCAGTTTGGAAACACTCTATTTGTAAAGTCTGCAAGTGGATATTTGGACCTCTTTGAGGCCTTCGTTGGAAATGGGATTTCTTCATATAACGCTAGACAGAAGAATTCTCAGTAACTTCTTTGTGTTGTGTGTATTCAACTCACAGAGTTGAACCTTTCTTTAGAGGGAGCAGAGGTGAAACACTCTTTTTGTGGAATTTGCTAGTGTAGATTTCAAACGCTTCGAAGACAGTGATAGAAAAGGATATATCTTCGTATTAAAAGTAGACAAAATCATTCTCAGAAAACTCTTTGTGATGTGTGTGTTCAACTCACAGAGTTTAACCTTTCTTTAATCGAGCAGTTTGGAAATACACTCTTTGTAAGTCTGCAGGTGGATATTTGGCCCTCTTTGAGCCCTTCGTTGGAAACGGGATTTCCTCATATAATGCTAGACAGAAGAATTCTCAGTAACTTCTTTGTGTTGTTTGTATTCAACACACAGATTTGAACCTTCCTTTAGAGAGAGCAGATTTGAAACACTCTGTTTTTGGAATTTGCAAGTGCAGATTTCAAGCGCTTCTAGGCCTATGGCAGAAAAGGAAATATCTTCGTATAAAAACTACACAGAATCATTCTCAACAACTACTTTGTGATGTGTGCGTTCAACTCACAGAGTTTAACCTTTCTTTTCATAGAGCAGTTTGGAAACACTCTGTTTGTAAAGCCTGCAAGTGCTTTTTTGGACTTCATTGAGGCCTTCGTTGGAAACGGGATTTCTTCATATAATGCTAGACAGAAGAATTCTCAGTCACTTCTTTGTGTTGTGTGTATTCAAGTCACAGAGTTGAACCTTCCTTTAGACAGAGCAGTTTTGAAAAATTCTTTCTGTGGAGTTTGCAAGTGGAGATTTCAAGCGATTTGAGGCTAATCTTTGAAATGGAAATATCTTCGTGTAAAAACTACACAGAATCATTCTCAGAAACTGCTTTGTCATCTGTGCGTTCAGTTCACAGAGTTTCACCTTTCTCTTCATAGAGCAGTTTGGAAAGACTCTGTCTGTAAAGTCTGCAAGTGATTAGTTAGACCCCTTTGAGGCCTTCGTTGGAAGCGGGATTTCTCATTTACTGCTAGACAGAAGAATTCTCAGTAAATCCTTTGTGTTGTGTGTATTCAACTCACAGAGTGGAACCTTCCTTTATTCAGAGCAGTTTTGAAAAACACTTTTCGTGGAATTTGCAAGTGGAGATTTCAAGCGATTTGACGCCAATCTTAGACATGGAAATATCTTCATATTAAAAGTACACAGAGTCATTCGTAGAAACTAGTTTGTGATGTGTGCCTTCAACTCACAGAGTTTAACCTTTCTTTTCATAGAGCAGTTTGGAAACACTCTATTTGTAAAGTCTGCAAGTGGATATTTGGACCTCTTTGAGGCCTTCGTTGGAAACGGGATTTCCTCATATAATGCTAGACAGAAGAATTCTCAGTAACTTCTTTGTGTTGTGTGTATTCAACTCACAGGAGTTGAACCTTTCTTTAGAGAGAGCAGAGTTGAAACACTCTGTTTTTGGAATTTGCAACTGCAGATTTCAAGCGATTCTAGGCCTATGGCAGAAAAGGAAATATCTTCGTATAAAAACTACACAGAATCATTCTCAACAACTACTTTGTGATGTGTGCGTTCAACTCACAGAGTTTAACCTTTCTTTTCATAGAGCAGTTTGGAAACACTCTGTTTGTAAAGCCTGCAAGTGCTTTTTTGGACTTCATTGAGGCCTTCGTTGGAAACGGGATTTCTTCATATAATGCTAGACAGAAGAATTCTCAGTCACTTCTTTGTGTTGTGTGTATTCAAGTCACAGAGTTGAACCTTCCTTTAGACAGAGCAGTTTTGAAAAATTCTTTCTGTGGAGTTTGCAAGTGGAGATTTCAAGCGATTTGAGGCTAATCTTTGAAATGGAAATATCTTCGTGTAAAAACTACACAGAATCATTCTCAGAAACTGCTTTGTCATCTGTGCGTTCAGTTCACAGAGTTTCACCTTTCTCTTCATAGAGCAGTTTGGAAAGACTCTGTCTGTAAAGTCTGCAAGTGATTAGTTAGACCCCTTTGAGGCCTTCGTTGGAAGCGGGATTTCTCATTTACTGCTAGACAGAATAATTCTCAGTAAATCCTTTGTGTTGTGTGTATTCAACTCACAGAGTGGAACCTTCCTTTATTCAGAGCAGTTTTGAAACACTCTTTTTGTGGAATTTGCAAGTGGAGATTTCAAGCGATTTGACGCCAATCTTAGACATGGAAATATCTTCATATTAAAAGTACACAGAGTCATTCGTAGAAACTAGTTTGTGATGTGTGCCTTCAACTCACAGAGTTTAACCTTTCTTTTCATAGAGCAGTTTGGAAACACTCTATTTGTAAAGTCTGCAAGTGGATATTTGGACCTCTTTGAGGCCTTCGTTGGAAACGGGATTTCTTCATACAACGCTAGACAGAAGAATTCTCAGTAACTTCTTTGTGTTGTGTGTATTCAACTCACAGAGTTGAACCTTTCTTTAGAGAGAGCAGAGTTGAAACACTCTGTTTTTGGAATTTGCACCTGCAGATTTCAAGCGATTCTAGGCCTATGGCAGAAAAGGAAATATCTTCGTATAAAAACTACACAGAATCATTCTCAACAACTACTTTGTGATGTGTGCGTTCAACTCACAGAGTTTAACCTTTCTTTTCATAGAGCAGTTTGGAAACACTCTGTTTGTAAAGCCTGCAAGTGCTTTTTTGGACTTCATTGAGGCCTTCGTTGGAAACGGGATTTCTTCATATAATGCTAGACAGAAGAATTCTCAGTCACTTCTTTGTGTTGTGTGTATTCAAGTCACAGAGTTGAACCTTCTTTTAGACAGAGCAGTTTTGAAAAATTCTTTCTGTGGAATTTGCAAGTGGAGATTTCAAGCGATTTGAGGCTAATCTTTGAAATGGAAATATCTTCGTGTAAAAACTACACAGAATCATTCTCAGAAACTGCTTTGTTATATGTGCGTTCAGTTCACAGAGTTTAACCTTTCTCTTCAGAGAGCAGTTTGGAAAGACTCTGTCTGTTAAGTCCGCAAGTGATTAGTTAGACCCCTTTGAGGCCTTCGTTGGAAGCGGGATTTCCCATTTACTGCTAGACAGAACAATTCTCAGTAAATCCTTTGTGTTGTGTGTATTCAACTCACAGAGTGGAACCTTCCTTTATTCAGAGCACTTTTGAAAAACACTTTTTGTGGAATTTGCAAGTGGAGATTTCAAGCGATTTGACGCCAATCTTAGACATGGAAATATCTTCATATTAAAAGTACACAGAGTCATTCGTAAAAACTAGTTTGTGATGTGTGCCTTCAACTCACAGAGTTTAACCTTTCTTTTCATAGAGCAGTTTGGAAACACTCTATTTGTAAAGTCTGCAAGTGGATATTTGGACCTCTTTGAGGCCTTCGTTGGAAACGGGATTTCTTCATACAACGCTAGACAGAAGAATTCTCAGTAACTTCTTTGTGTTGTGTGTATTCAACTCACAGAGTTGAACCTTTCTTTAGAGAGAGCAGAGTTGAAACACTCTGTTTTTGGAATTTGCAAGTGCAGATTTCAAGCGCTTCTAGGCCTATGGCAGAAAAGGAAATATCTTCGTATAAAAACTACACAGAATCATTCTCAACAACTACTTTGTGATGTGTGCGTTCAACTCACAGAGTTTAACCTTTCTTTTCATAGAGCAGTTTGGAAACACTCTGTTTGTAAAGCCTGCAAGTGCTTTTTTGGACTTCATTGAGGCCTTCGTTGGAAACGGGATTTCTTCATATAATGCTAGACAGAAGAATTCTCAGTCACTTCTTTGTGTTGTGTGTATTCAAGTCACAGAGTTGAACCTTCCTTTAGACAGAGCAGTTTTGAAAAATTCTTTCTGTGGAGTTTGCAAGTGGAGATTTCAAGCGATTTGAGCCTAATCTTTGAAATGGAAATATCTTCGTGTAAAAACTACACAGAATCATTCTCAGAAACTGCTTTGTCATCTGTGCGTTCAGTTCACAGAGTTTCACCTTTCTCTTCATAGAGCAGTTTGGAAAGACTCTGTCTGTAAAGTCTGCAAGTGATTAGTTAGACCCCTTTGAGGCCTTCGTTGGAAGCGGGATTTCTCATTTACTGCTAGACAGAAGAATTCTCAGAAAATCCTTTGTGTTGTGTGTATTCAACTCACAGAGTGGAACCTTCCTTTATTCAGAGCAGTTTTGAAAAACACTTTTTGTGGAATTTGCAAGTGGAGATTTCAAGCGATTTGACGCCAATCTTAGACATGGAAATATCTTCATATTAAAAGTACACAGAATCATTCTCAACAACTACTTTGTGATCTGTGCGTTCAACTCACAGAGTTTAACCTTTCTTTTCATAGAGCAGTTTGGAAACACTCTGTTTGTAAAGCCTGCAAGTGCTTTTTTGGACTTCATTGAGGCCTTCGTTGGAAACGGGATTTCTTCATACAACGCTAGACAGAAGAATTCTCAGTAACTTCTTTGTGTTGTGTGTATTCAACTCACAGAGTTGAACCTTTCTTTAGAGAGAGCAGAGTTGAAACACTCTGTTTTTGGAATTTGCAAGTGCAGATTTCAAGCGATTCTAGGCCTATGGCAGAAAAGGAAATATCTTCGTATAAAAACTACACAGAATCATTCTCAACAACTACTTTGTGAATGTGTGCGTTCAACTCACAGAGTTTAACCTTTCTTTTCATAGAGCAGTTTGGAAACACTCTGTTTGTAAAGCCTGCAAGTGCTTTTTTGGACTTCATTGAGGCCTTCGTTGGAAACGGGATTTCTTCATATAATGCTAGACAGAAGAATTCTCAGTCACTTCTTTGTGTTGTGTGTATTCAAGTCACAGAGTTGAACCTTCCTTTAGACAGAGCAGTTTTGAAAAATTCTTTCTGTGCAGTTTGCAAGTGGAGATTTCAAGCGATTTGAGGCTAATCTTTGAAATGGAAATATCTTCGTGTAAAAACTACACAGAAATCATTCTCAGAAACTGCTTTGTTATGTGTGCGTTCAGCTCACAGGAGTTCCACCTTTCTTTTCATAGAGCAGTTTGGAAAGACTCTGTCTGTAAAGTCTGCAAGTGATTACTTGGACCCCTTTGAGGACATCGTTGGAAGCGGGATTTTTTCATTTACTGCTAGACAGAAGAATTCTCAGTAAATCCTTTGTGTTGTGTGTATTCAACTCACAGAGTGGAACCTTCCTTTATTCAGAGCAGTTTTGAAACACTCTTTTTGTGGAATTTGCAAGTGGAGATTTCAAGCGATTTGACGCCAATCTTAGACATGGAAATATCTTCATATTAAAAGTACACAGAGTCATTCGTAGAAACTAGTTTGTGATGTGTGCCTTCAACTCACAGAGTTTAACCTTTCTTTTCATAGAGCAGTTGGGAAACACTCTATTTGTAAAGTCTGCAAGTGGATATTTGGACCTCTTTGAGGCCTTCGTTGGAAACGGGATTTCTTCATATAACGCTAGACAGAAGAATTCTCAGTAACTTCTTTGTGTTGTGTGTATTCAACTCACAGAGTTGAACCTTTCTTTAGAGGGAGCAGAGGTGAAACACTCTTTTTGTGGAATTTGCTAGTGTAGATTTCAAACGCTTCGAAGACAGTGATAGAAAAGGATATATCTTCGTATTAAAAGTAGACAAAATCATTCTCAGAAAACTCTTTGTGATGTGTGTGTTCAACTCACAGCAGTTTAACCTTTCTTTAATCGAGCAGTTTGGAAATACACTCTTTGTAAGTCTGCAGGTGGATATTTGGCCCTCTTTGAGCCCTTCGTTGGAAACGGGATTTCCTCATATAATGCTAGACAGAAGAATTCTCAGTAACTTCTTTGTGTTGTTTGTATTCAACACACAGATTTGAACCTTCCTTTAGAGAGAGCAGATTTGAAACACTCTGTTTTTGGAATTTGCAAGTGCAGATTTCAAGCGCTTCTAGGCCTATGGCAGAAAAGGAAATATCTTCGTATAAAAACTACACAGAATCATTCTCAACAACTACTTTGTGATGTGTGCGTTCAACTCACAGAGTTTAACCTTTCTTTTCATAGAGCAGTTTGGAAACACTCTGTTTGTAAAGCCTGCAAGTGCTTTTTTGGACTTCATTGAGGCCTTCGTTGGAAACGGGATTTCTTCATATAATGCTAGACAGAAGAATTCTCAGTCCCTTCTTTGTGTTGTGTGTATTCAAGTCACAGAGTTGAACCTTCCTTTAGACAGAGCAGTTTTGAAAAATTCTTTCTGTGGAGTTTGCAAGTGGAGATTTCAAGCGATTTGAGGCTAATCTTTGAAATGGAAATATCTTCGTGTAAAAACTACACAGAATCATTCTCAGAAACTGCTTTGTCATCTGTGCGTTCAGTTCACAGAGTTTCACCTTTCTCTTCATAGAGCAGTTTGGAAAGACTCTGTCTGTAAAGTCTGCAAGTGATTAGTTAGACCCCTTTGAGGCCTTCGTTGGAAGCGGGATTTCTCATTTACTGCTAGACAGAAGAATTCTCAGTAAATCCTTTGTGTTGTGTGTATTCAACTCACAGAGTGGAACCTGCCTTTATTCAGAGCAGTTTTGAAACACTCTTTTTGTGGAATTTGCAAGTGGAGATTTCAAGCGATTTGACGCCAATCTTAGACATGGAAATATCTTCATATTAAAAGTACACAGAGTCATTCGTAGAAACTAGTTTGTGATGTGTGCCTTCAACTCACAGAGTTTAACCTTTCTTTTCATAGAGCAGTTGGGAAAAACTCTATTTGTAAAGTCTGCAAGTGGATATTTGGACCTCTTTGAGGCCTTCGTTGGAAACGGGATTTCTTCATATAACGTTAGACAGAAGAATTCTCAGTAACTTCTTTGTGTTGTGTGTATTTCACTCACAGAGTTGAACCTTTCTTGAGAGAGAGCAGAGTTGAAACACTCTGTTTGTGGAATTTGCTAGTGCAGATTTCAAACGCTTCGAAGACAGTGATAGAAAAGGATATATCTTCGTATTAAAACTAGACAAAATCATTCTCAGAAAACACTTTGTGATGTGTGTGTTCAACTCACAGAGTTTAACCTTTCTTTAATCGAGCAGTTTGGAAATACACTCTTTGTAAGTCTGCAGCTGGATAATTGTCCCTCTATGAGCCCTTCGTTGGAAACAGGATTTCCTCTTATAATGCTAGACAGAAGAATTCTCAGTAACTACTTTGTGTTGTGTGTATTCAACTCACAGAGTTGAACCTTCCTTTAGACAGAGCAGTTTTGAAAAACTCGTTGTTGTGGAATTTGCAAGTGGAGATTTCTAGCGATTTGTGGCCAGTCTTTGAAATGGAAATATCTTCTTGTAAAAACTGGACAGAATCATTCTCAACAACTACTTTGTGATGTGTGCGTTCAACTCACAGAGTTTAACCTTTCTTTTCATAGAGCAGTTTGGAAACACTCTGTTTGTAAAGTCTGCAGGTGCTTATTTGGACTTCCTTTGAGGCCTTCGTTGGAAACGGGATTTCTTCATGTAATGCTAGACAGAAGAATTTTCAGTAACTTCTTTGTGTTGTGTCTGTTCAACTCACAGTTTTGAAACTTCCTTTACACAGAGCAGATTTGAAACACTCTTTTTGTGGAATTTGCAAGTGCAGATTTCAAGCGCTTCTAGGCCAATTGTAGAAAAGGAAGTATCTTCGTATAAAAACTAGACAGAATCATTCTAAAGAACTACTTTGTGATGTGTGCATTCAACTCACAGAGTTTAACCTTTCTTTTCATAGAGCAGTTTGGAAACACTCTGTTTGTAAAGTCTGCAAGTGCATATTTGGACTTCTTTGAGGCCTTCGTTGGAAACGGGATTTCTTCATATAATGCTAGACAGAAGAATTCTCAGTCACTTCTTTGTGTTGTGTGTATTCAAGTCACAGAGTTGAACCTTCCTTTACACAGAGCAGTTTTGAAAAACTCTTTCTGTGGAATTTGCAAGTGGAGATTTCAAGCGATTTGAGGCTAATCTTTGAAATGGAAATATCTTCGTGTAAAAACTACACAGAATCATTCTCAGAAACTGCTTTGTTATGTGTGCGTTCAGCTCACAGAGTTCCACCTTTCTTTTCATAGAGCAGTTTGGAAAGACTCTGTCTGTAAAGTCTGCAAGTGATTACTTGGACCCCTTTGAGGACTTCGTTGGAAGCGGGATTTTTTCATTTACTGCTAGACAGAAGAATTCTCAGTAAATCCTTTGTGTTGTGTGTATTCAACTCACAGAGTGGAACCTTCCTTTATTCAGAGCAGTTTTGAAACACTCTTTTTGTGGAATTTGCAAGTGGAGATTTCAAGCGAATTCACGCCAATCTTAGACATGGAAACATCTTCGTATTAAAAGTACACAGAGTCATTCGCAGAAACTAGTTTGTGATGTGTGCGTTCAACTCACAGAGTTTAACCTTTCTTTTCATAGAGCAGTTTGGAAACACTCTATTTGTAAAGTCTGCAAGTGGATATTTGGACCTCTTTGAGGCCTTCGTTGGAAACGGGATTTCTTCATATAACGCTAGACAGAAGAATTCTCAGTAACTTCTTTGTGTTGTGTGTATTCCACTCACAGAGTTGAACCTTTCTTGAGAGAGAGCAGAGTTGAAACACTCTGTTTGTGGAATTTGCTAGTGCAGATTTCAAACGCTTCGAAGACAGTGATAGAAAAGGATATATCTTCGTATTAAAACTAGACAAAATCATTCTCAGAAAACACTTTGTGATGTGTGTGTTCAACTCACAGAGTTTAACCTTTCTTTAATCGAGCAGTTTGGAAATACACTCTTTGTAAGTCTGCAGCTGGATAATTGTCCCTCTATGAGCCCTTCGTTGGAAACAGGATTTCCTCTTATAATGCTAGACAGAAGAATTCTCAGTAACTTCTTTGTGTTGTTTGTATTCAACTCACAGATTTGAACCTTCCTTTAGAGAGAGCAGATTTGAAACACTCTGTTTTTGGAATTTGCAAGTGCAGATTGCAAGCGCTTCTAGGCCTATGGCAGAAAAGGAAATATCTTCGTATAAAAACTACACAGAATCATTCTCAACAACTACTTTGTGATGTGTGCGTTCAACTCACAGAGTTTAACCTTTCTTTTCATAGAGCAGTTTGGAAACACTCTGTTTGTAAAGTCTG
Organism: Homo sapiens; assembly: GCF_000001405.40. Taxonomy (NCBI): domain Eukaryota; kingdom Metazoa; phylum Chordata; class Mammalia; order Primates; family Hominidae; genus Homo; species Homo sapiens. The sequence continues at coordinate 40,210,099 of NC_000010.11, forward strand.
CAGGTGCTTATTTGGACTTCTTTGAGGCCTTCGTTGGAAACGGGATTTCTTCATATAATGCTAGACAGAAGAATTCTCAGTCACTTCTTTGTGTTGTGTGTATTCAAGTCACAGAGTTGAACCTTCCTTTACACAGAGCAGTTTTGAAAAACTCTTTCTGTGGAATTTGCAAGTGGAGATTTCAAGCGATTTGAGGCTAATCTTTGAAATGGAAATATCTTCGTGTAAAAACTACACAGAATCATTCTCAGAAACTGCTTTGTTATGTGTGCGTTCAGCTCACAGAGTTCCACCTTTCTTTTCATAGAGCAGTTTGGAAAGACTCTGTCTGTAAAGTCTGCAAGTGATTACTTGGACCCCTTTGAGGACTTCGTTGGAAGCGGGATTTTTTCATTTACTGCTAGACAGAAGAATTCTCAGTAAATCCTTTGTGTTGTGTGTATTCAACTCACAGAGTGGAACCTTCCTTTATTCAGAGCAGTTTTGAAACACTCTTTTTGTGGAATTTGCAAGTGGAGATTTCAAGCGAATTCACGCCAATCTTAGACATGGAAACATCTTCGTATTAAAAGTACACAGAGTCATTCGCAGAAACTAGTTTGTGATGTGTGCCTTCAACTCACAGAGTTTAACCTTTCTTTTCATAGACCAGTTTGGAAACACTCTATTTGTAAAGTCTGCAAGTGGATATTTGGACCTCTTTGAGGCCTTCGTTGGAAACGGGATTTCTTCATATAACGCTAGACAGAAGAATTCTCAGTAACTTCTTTGTGTTGTGTGTATTCCACTCACAGAGTTGAACCTTTCTTGAGAGAGAGCAGAGTTGAAACACTCTGTTTGTGGAATTTGCTAGTGCAGATTTCAAACGCTTCGAAGACAGTGATAGAAAAGGATATATCTTCGTATTAAAACTAGACAAAATCATTCTCAGAAAACACTTTGTGATGTGTGTGTTCAACTCACAGAGTTTAACCTTTCTTTAATCGAGCAGTTTGGAAATACACTCTTTGTAAGTCTGCAGCTGGATAATTGTCCCTCTAGGAGCCCTTCGTTGGAAACGGGATTTCCTCTTATAATGCTAGACAGAAGAATTCTCAGTAACTTCTTTGTGTTGTTTGTATTCAACTCACAGATTTGAACCTTCCTTTGGAGAGAGCAGATTTGAAACACTCTGTTTTTGGAATTTGCAAGTGCAGATTGCAAGCGCTTCTAGGCCTATGGCAGAAAAGGAAATATCTTCGTATAAAAACTACACAGAATCATTCTCAACAACTACTTTGTGATGTGTGCGTTCAGCTCACAGAGTTTAACCTTTCTTTTCATAGAGCAGTTTGGAAACACTCTGTTTGTAAAGTCTGCAGGTGCTTATTTGGACTTCTTTGAGGCCTTCGTTGGAAACGGGATTTCTTCATATAATGCTAGACAGAAGAATTCTCAGTCACTTCTTTGTGTTGTGTGTATTCAAGTCACAGAGCTGAACCTTCCTTTACACAGAGCAGTTTTGAAAACCTCTTTCTGTGGAATTTGCAAGTGGAGATTTCAAGCGATTTGAGGCTAATCTTTGAAATGGAAATATCTTCGTGTAAAAACTACACAGAATCATTCTCAGAAACTGCTTTGTTATGTGTGCGTTCAGCTCACAGAGTTCCACCTTTCTTTTCATAGAGCAGTTTGGAAAGACTCTGTCTGTAAAGTCTTCAAGTGATTACTTGGACCCCTTTGAGGACTTCGTTGGAAGCGGGATTTTTTCATTTACTGCTAGACAGAAGAATTCTCAGTAAATCCTTTGTGTTGTGTGTATTCAACTCACAGAGTGGAACCTTCCTTTATTCAGAGCAGTTTTGAAACACTCTTTTTGTGGAATTTGCAAGTGGAGATTTCAAGCGAATTCACGCCAATCTTAGACATGGAAACATCTTCGTATTAAAAGTACACAGAGTCATTCGCAGAAACTAGTTTGTGATGTGTGCCTTCAACTCACAGAGTTTAACCTTTCTTTTCATAGAGCAGTTTGGAAACACTCTATTTGTAAAGTCTGCAAGTGGATATTTGGACCTCTTTGAGGCCTTCGTTGGAAACGGGATTTCTTCATATAACGCTAGACAGAAGAATTCTCAGTAACTTCTTTGTGTTGTGTGTATTCCACTCACAGAGTTGAACCTTTCTTGAGAGAGAGCAGAGTTGAAACACTCTTTCTGTGGAATTTGCTAGTGCAGATTTCAAACGCTTCGAAGACAGTGATAGAAAAGGATATATCTTCGTATTAAAACTAGACAAAATCATTCTCAGAAAACACTTTGTGATGTGTGTGTTCAACTCACAGAGTTTAACCTTTCTTTAATCGAGCAGTTTGGAAATACACTCTTTGTAAGTCTGCAGCTGGATAATTGTCCCTCTATGAGCCCTTCGTTGGAAACGGGATTTCCTCTTATAATGCTAGACAGAAGAATTCTCAGTAACTTCTTTGTGTTGTTTGTATTCAACTCACAGATTTGAACCTTCCTTTAGAGAGAGCAGATTTGAAACACTCTGTTTTTGGAATTTGCAAGTGGAGATTACAAGCGCTTCTAGGCCTATGGCAGAAAAGGAAATATCTTCGTATAAAAACTACACAGAATCATTCTCAACAACTACTTTCTGATGTGTGCGTTCAACTCACAGAGTTTAACCTTTCTTTTCATAGAGCATTTTGGAAACACTCTGTTTGTAAAGTCTGCAGGTGCTTATTTGGACTTCTTTGAGGCCTTCGTTGGAAACGGGATTTCTTCATATAATGCTAGACAGAAGAATTCTCAGTCACTTCTTTGTGTTGTGTGTATTCAAGTCACAGAGTTGAACCTTCCTTTACACAGAGCAGTTTTGAAAAACTCTTTCTGTGGAATTTGCAAGTGGAGATTTCAAGCGATTTGAGGCTAATCTTTGAAATGGAAATAGCTTCGTGTAAAAACTACACAGAATCATTCTCAGAAACTGCTTTGTTATGTGTGCGTTCAGCTCACAGAGTTCCACCTTTCTTTTCATAGAGCAGTTTGGAAAGACTCCGTCTGTAAAGTCTGCAAGTGATTACTTGGACCCCTTTGAGGACTTCGTTGGAAGCGGAATTTTTTCATTTACTGCCAGACAGAAGAATTCTCAGTAAATCCTTTGTGTTGTGTGTATTCAACTCACAGAGTGGAACCTTCCTTTATTCAGAGCAGTTTTGAAACACTCTTTTTGTGGAATTTGCAAGTGGAGATTTCAAGCGAATTCACGCCAATCTTAGACATGGAAACATCTTCGTATTAAAAGTACACAGAGTCATTCGCAGAAACTAGTTTGTGATGTGTGCCTTCAACTCACGGAGTTTAACCTTTCTTTTCATAGAGCAGTTTGGAAACACTCTATTTGTAAAATCTGCAAGTGGATATTTGGACCTCTTTGAGGCCTTCGTTGGAAACGGGATTTCTTCATATAACGCTAGACAGAAGAATTCTCAGTAACTTCTTTGTGTTGTGTGTATTCAACTCACAGAGTTGAACCTTTCTTGAGAGAGAGCAGAGTTGAAACACTCTGTTTGTGGAATTTGCTAGTGCAGATTTCAAACGCTTCGAAGACAGTGATAGAAAAGGATATATCTTCGTATTAAAACTAGACAAAATCATTCTCAGAAAACACTTTGTGATGTGTGTGTTCAACTCACAGAGTTTAACCTTTCTTTAATCGAGCAGTTTGGAAATACACTCTTTGTAAGTCTGCAGCTGGATAATTGTCCCTCTATGAGCCCTTCGTTGGAAACGGGATTTCCTCTTATAATGCTAGACAGAAGAATTCTCAGTAACTTCTTTGTGTTGTTTGTATTCAACTCACAGATTTGAACCTTCCTTTAGAGAGAGCAGATTTGAAACACTCTGTTTTTGGAATTTGCAAGTGCAGATTACAAGCGCTTCTAGGCCTATGGCAGAAAAGGAAATATCTTCGTATAAAAACTACACAGAATCATTCTCAACAACTACTTTGTGATGTGTGCGTTCAACTCACAGAGTTTAACGTTTCTTTTCATAGAGCAGTTTGGAAACACTCTGTTTGTAAAGTCTGCAGGTGCTTATTTGGACTTCTTTGAGGCCTTCGTTGGAAACGGGATTTCTTCATATAATGCTAGACAGAAGAATTCTCAGTCACTTCTTTGTGTTGTGTGTATTCAAGTCACAGAGTTGAACCTTCCTTTACACAGAGCAGTTTTGAGAAACTCTTTCTGTGGAATTTGCAAGTGGAGATTTCAAGCGATTTGAGGCTAATCTTTGAAATGGAAATATCTTCGTGTAAAAACTACACAGAATCATTCTCAGAAACTGCTTTGTTATGTGTGCGTTCAGCTCACAGAGTTCCACCTTTCTTTTCATAGAGCAGTTTGGAAAGACTCTGTCTGTAAAGTCTGCAAATGATTACTTGGACCCCTTTGAGGACTTCGTTGGAAGCGGGATTTTTTCATTTACTGCTAGACAGAAGAATTCTCAGTAAATCCTTTGTGTTGTGTGTATTCAACTCACAGAGTGGAACCTTCCTTTATTCAGAGCAGTTTTGAAACACTCTTTTGGTGGAATTTGCAAGTGGAGATTTCAAGCGAATTCACGCCAATCTTAGACATGGAAACATCTTCGTATTAAAAGTACACAGAGTCATTCGCAGAAACTAGTTTGTGATGTGTGCCTTCAACTCACGGAGTTTAACCTTTCTTTTCATAGAGCAGTTTGGAAACACTCTATTTGTAAAGTCTGCAAGTGGATATTTGGACCTCTTTGAGGCCTTCGTTGGAAACGGGATTTCTTCATATAACGCTAGACAGAAGAATTCTCAGTAACTTCTTTGTGTTGTGTGTATTCCACTCACAGAGTTGAACCTTTCTTGAGAGAGAGCAGAGTTGAAACACTCTTTTTGTGGAATTTGCTAGTGCAGATTTCAAACACTTCGAAGACAGTGATAGAAAAGGATATATCTTCGTATTAAAACTAGACAAAATCATTCTCAGAAAACACTTTGTGATGTGTGTGTTCAACTCACAGAGTTTAACCTTTCTTTAATCGAGCAGTTTGGAAATACACTCTTTGTAAGTCTGCAGCTGGATAATTGTCCCTCTATGAGCCCTTCGTTGGAAACAGGATTTCCTCTTATAATGCTAGACAGAAGAATTCTCAGTAACTTCTTTGTGTTGTTTGTATTCAACTCACAGATTTGAACCTTCCTTTGGAGAGAGCAGATTTGAAACACTCTGTTTTTGGAATTTGCAAGTGCAGATTACAAGCGCTTCTAGGCCTATGGCAGAAAAGGAAATATCTTCGTATAAAAACTACACAGAATCATTCTCAACAACTACTTTGTGATGTGTGCGTTCAACTCACAGAGTTTAACCTTTCTTTTCATAGAGCAGTTTGGAAACACTCTGTTTGTAAAGTCTGCAGGTGCTTATTTGGACTTCTTTGAGGCCTTCGTTGGAAACGGGATTTCTTCATGTAATGCTAGACAGAAGAATTCTCAGTCACTTCTTTGTGTTGTGTGTATTCAAGTCACAGAGTTGAACCTTCCTTTACACAGAGCAGTTTTGAAAAACTCTTTCTGTGGAATTTGCAAGTGGAGATTTCAAGCGATTTGAGGCTAATCTTTGAAATGGAAATAGCTTCGTGTAAAAACTACACAGAATCATTCTCAGAAACTGCTTTGTTATGTGTGCGTTCAGCTCACAGAGTTCCACCTTTCTTTTCATAGAGCAGTTTGGAAAGACTCTGTCTGTAAAGTCTGCAAGTGATTACTTGGACCCCTTTGAGGACTTCGTTGGAAGCGGGATTTTTTCATTTACTGCTAGACAGAAGAATTCTCAGTAAATCCTTTGTGTTGTGTGTATTCAACTCACAGAGTGGAACCTTCCTTTATTCAGAGCAGTTTTGAAACACTCTTTTTGTGGAATTTGCAAGTGGAGATTTCAAGCGAATTCACGCCAATCTTAGACATGGAAACATCTTCGTATTAAAAGTACACAGAGTCATTCGCAGAAACTAGTTTGTGATGTGTGCCTTCAACTCACAGAGTTTAACCTTTCTTTTCATAGAGCAGTTTGGAAACACTCTGTTTGTAAAGTCTGCAGGTGCTTATTTGGACTTCTTTGAGGCCTTCGTTGGAAACGGGATTTCTTCATATAATGCTAGACAGAAGAATTCTCAGTTACTTCTTTGTGTTGTGTGTATTCAACTCACAGAGTTGAACCTTTCTTTAGAGAGAGCAGAGTTGAAACACTCTGTTTTTGGAATTTGCAAGTGCAGATTTCAAGCGATTCTAGGCCTATGGCAGAAAAGGAAATATCTTCGTATAAAAACTACACAGAATCATTCTCAACAACTACTTTGTGATGTGTGCGTTCAACTCACAGAGTTTAAACTTTCTTTTCATAGAGCAGTTTGGAAACACTCTGTTTGTAAAGCCTGCAAGTGCTTTTTTGGACTTCATTGAGGCCTTCGTTGGAAACGGGATTTCTTCATATAATGCTAGACAGAAGAATTCTCAGTCACTTCTTTGTGTTTTGTGTATTCAAGTCACAGAGTTGAACCTTCCTTTAGACAGAGCAGTTTTGAAAAATTCTTTCTGTGGAATTTGCAATTGGAGATTTTAAGAGATTTGAGGCTAATCTTTGAAATGGAAATATCTTCGTGTAAAAACTACACAGAATCATTCTCAGAAACTGCTTTGTTATCTGTGCGTTCAGTTCACAGAGTTTCACCTTTCTCTTCATAGAGCAGTTTGGAAAGACTCTGTCTGTAAAGTCTGCAAGTGATTAGTTAGACCCCTTTGAGGCCTTCGTTGGAAGCGGGATTTCTCATTTACTGCTAGACAGAAGAATTCTCAGTAAATCCTTTGTGTTGTGTGTATTCAACTCACAGAGTGGAACCTTCCTTTATTCAGAGCAGTTTTGAAAAACACTTTTTGTGGAATTTGCAAGTGGAGATTTCAAGCGATTTGACGCCAATCTTAGACATGGAAATATCTTCATATTAAAAGTACACAGAGTCATTCGCAGAAACTAGTTTGTGATGTGTGCCTTCAACTCACAGAGTTTAACTTTTCTTTTCATAGAGCAGTTTGGAAACACTCTGTTTGTAACGTCTGCAAGTGGATATTTGGACCTCTTTGAGGCCTTCGTTGGAAACGGGATTTCTTCATAAAACGCTAGACAGAAGAATTCTCAGTAACTTCTTTGTGTTGTGTGTATTCAACTCACAGAGTTGAACCTTTCTTTAGAGAGAGCAGAGTTGAAACACTCTGTTTTTGGAATTTGCAAGTGCAGATTTCAAGCGATTCTAGGCCTATGGCAGAAAAGGAAATATCTTCGTATAAAAACTACACAGAATCATTCTCAACAACTACTTTGTGATGTGTGCGTTCAACTCACAAAGTTTAACCTTTCTTTTCATAGAGAAGTTTGGAAACACTCTGTTTGTAAAGCCTGCAATTGCTTTTTTGGACTTCATTGAGGCCTTCGTTGGAAACGGGATTTCTTCATATAATGCTAGACAGAAGAATTCTCAGTAAATCCTTTGTGTTGTGTTTATTCAACTCACAGAGTGGAACCTTCCTTTATTCAGAGCAGTTTTGAAACTCTCTTTTTGTGGAATTTGCAAGTGGAGATTTCAAGCGATTTGACGCCAATCTTAGACATGGAAATATCTTCATATTAAAAGTACACAGAAATCATTCGTAGAAACTAGTTTGTGATGTGTGCCTTCAACTCACAGAGTTTAACCTTTCTTTTCATAGAGCAGTTCGGAAACATTCTATTTGTAAAGTCTGCAAGTGGATATTTGGACCTCTTTGAGGCCCTTCGTTGGAAAAGGGATTTCTTCATATAACGCTAGACAGAAGAATTCTCAGTAACTTCTTTGTGTTGTGTGTATTCAACTCACAGAGTTGAACCTTTCTTTAGAGAGAGCAGAGTTGAAACACTCTTTTTGTGGAATTTGCTAGTGCAGATTTCAAACGCTTCGAAGACAGTGATAGCAAAGGATATATCTTCGTATTAAAACTAGACAAAATCATTCTCAGAAAACACTTTGTGATGTGTGTGTTCAACTCACAGAGTTTAACCTTTCTTTAATCGAGCAGTTTGGAAATACACTCTTTGTAAGTCTGCAGGTGGATAATTGGCCCTCTTTGAGCCCTTCGTTGGAAACGGGATTTCCTCATATAATGCTAGACAGAAGAATTCTCAGTAACTTCTTTGTGTTGTTTGTATTCAACTCACAGATTTGAACCTTCCTTTAGAGAGAGCAGATTTGAAACACTCTGTTTTTGGAATTTGCAAGTGCAGATTTCAAGCACATCTAGGCCTATGGCAGAAAAGGAAATATCTTCGTATAAAAAATACACAGAATCATTCTCAACAACTACTTTGTGATGTGTGCGTTCAACTCACAGAGTTTAACCTTTCTTTTCATAGAGCAGTTTGGAAACACTCTGTTTGTAAAGCCTGCAAGTGCTTTTTTGGACTTCATTGAGGCCTTCGTTGGAAACGGGATTTCTTCATATAATGCTAGACAGAAGAATTCTCAGTCACTTCTTTGTGTTGTGTGTATTCAAGTCACAGAGTTGAACCTTCCTTTAGACAGAGCAGTTTTGAAAAATTCTTTCTGTGGAGTTTGCAAGTGGAGATTTCAAGCGATTTGAGGCTAATCTTTGAAATGGAAATATCTTCGTGTAAAAACTACACAGAATCATTCTCAGAAACTGCTTTGTCATCTGTGCGTTCAGTTCACAGAGTTTCACCTTTCTCTTCATAGAGCAGTTTGGAAAGACTCTGTCTGTAAAGTCTGCAAGTGATTAGTTAGACCCCTTTGAGGCCTTCGTTGGAAGCGGGATTTCTCATTTACTGCTAGACAGAAGAATTCTCAGTAAATCCTTTGTGTTGTGTGTATTCAACTCACAGAGTGGAACCTTCCTTTATTCAGAGCAGTTTTGAAACACTCTTTTTGTGGAATTTGCAAGTGGAGATTTCAAGCGAATTCACGCCAATACTTAGACATGGAAACATCTTCGTATTAAAAGTACACAGAGTCATTCGTAGAAACTAGTTTGTGATGTGTGCCTTCAACTCACAGAGTTTAACCTTTCTTTTCATAGAGCAGTTTGGAAACACTCTATTTGTAAAGTCTGCAAGTGGATATTTGGACCTCTTTGAGGCCTTCATTGGAAACGGGATTTCTTCATACAACGCTAGACAGAAGAATTCTCAGTAACTTCTTTGTGTTGTTTGTATTCAACTCACAGATTTGAACCTTCCTTTAGAGAGAGCAGATTTGAAACACTCTGTTTTTGGAATTTGCAAGTGCAGATTTCAAGCGCTTCTAGGCCTATGGCAGAAAAGGAAATATCTTCGTATAAAAACTACACAGAATCATTCTCAACAACTACTTTGTGATGTGTGCGTTCAACTCCCAGAGTTTAACCTTTCTTTTCATAGAGCAGTTTGGAAACACTCTGTTTGTAAAGCCTGCAAGTGCTTTTTTGGACTTCATTGAGGCCTTCGTTGGAAACGGGATTTCTTCATATAATGCTAGACAGAAGAATTCTCAGTCACTTCTTTGTGTTGTGTGTATTCAAGTCACAGAGTTGAACCTTCTTTTAGACAGAGCAGTTTTGAAAAATTCTTTCTGTGGAATTTGCAATTGGAGATTTTAAGAGAGTTGAGGCTAATCTTTGAAATGGAAATATCTTCGTGTAAAAACTACACAGAATCATTCTCAGAAACTGCTTTGTTATCTGTGCGTTCAGTTCACAGAGTTTCACCTTTCTCTTCATAGAGCAGTTTGGAAAGACTCTGTCTGTAAAGTCTGCAAGTGATTAGTTAGACCCCTTTGAGGCCTTCGTTGGAAGCGGGATTTCTCATTTACTGCTAGACAGAAGAATTCTCAGTAAATCCTTTGTGTTGTGTGTATTCAACTCACAGAGTGGAACCTTCCTTTATTCAGAGCAGTTTTGAAAAACACTTTTTGTGGAATTTGCAAGTGGAGATTTCAAGCGATTTGACGCCAATCTTAGACATGGAAATATCTTCATATTAAAAGTACACAGAGTCATTCGTAGAAACTAGTTTGTGATGTGTGCCTTCAACTCACAGAGTTTAACCTTTCTTTTCATAGAGCAGTTGGGAAACACTCTATTTGTAAAGTCTGCAAGTGGATATTTGGACCTCTTTGAGGCCTTCGTTGGAAATGGGATTTCTTCATACAACACTAGACAGAAGAATTCTCAGTAACTTCTTTGTGTTGTGTGTATTCAACTCACAGAGTTGAACCTTTCTTTAGAGAGAGCAGAGTTGAAACACTCTGTTTTTGGAATTTGCAAGTGCAGATTTCAAGCGATTCTAGGCCTATGGCAGGAAAGGAAATATCTTCGTATGAAAACTACACAGAATCATTCTCAACAACTACTTTGTGATGTGTGCGTTCAACTCACAAAGTTTAACCTTTCTTTTCATAGAGCAGTTTGGAAACACGCTGTTTGTAAAGCCTGCAAGTGCTTTTTTGGACTTCATTGAGGCCTTCGTTGGAAACGGGATTTCTTCATATAATGCTAGACAGAAGAATACTCAGTAAATCATTTGTGTTGCGTTTATTCAACTCACAGAGTGGAACCTTCCTTTATTCAGAGCAGTTTTGAAACACTCTTTTTGTGGAATTTGCAAGTGGAGATTTCAAGCGAATTCACGCCAATCTTAGATATGGAAACATCTTCGTATTAAAAGTACACAGAATCATTCGTAGAAACTAGTTTGTGATGTGTGCCTTCAACTCACAGAGTTTAACCTTTCTTTTCATAGAGCAGTTCGGAAACACTCTATTTGTAAAGTCTGCAAGTGGATATTTGGACCTCTTTGAGGCCATCGTTGGAAAAGGGATTTCTTCATATAACGCTAGACAGAAGAATTTTCAGTAACTTCTTTGTGTTGTGTGTATTCAACTCACAGAGTTCAAGTTTTCTTTAGAGAGAGCAGAGTTGAAACACTCTTTTTGTGGAATTTGCTAGTGCAGATTTCAAACGCTTCGAAGACAGTGATAGCAAAGGATATATCTTCGTATTAAAACTAGACAAAATCATTCTCAACAACTACTTTGTGATGTGTGCGTTCAACTCACACAGTTTAACCTTTCTTTTCTTAGAGCAGTTTGGAAACACTCTGTTTGTAAAGCCTGCAAGTGCTTTTTTGGACTTCATTGAGGCCTTCGTTGGAAACGGGATTTCTTCATATTATGCTAGACAGAAGAATTCTCAGTCACTTCTTTGTGTTGTGTGTATTCAAGTCACAGAGTTGAACCTTCCTTTAGACAGAGCAGTTTTGAAAAATTCTTTCTGTGGAGTTTGCAAGTGGAGATTTCAAGCGATTTGAGGCTAATCTTTGAAATGGAAATATCTTCGTGTAAAAACTACACAGAATCATTCTCAGAAACTGCTTTGTCATCTGTGCGTTCAGTTCACAGAGTTTCACCTTTCTCTTCATAGAGCAGTTTGGAAAGACTCTGTCTGTAAAGTCTGCAAGTGATTAGTTAGACCCCTTTGAGGCCTTCGTTGGAAGCGGGATTTCTCATTTACTGCTAGACAGAAGAATTCTCAGTAAATCCTTTGTGTTGTGTGTATTCAACTCACAGAGTGGAACCTTCCTTTATTCAGAGCAGTTTTGAAAAACACTTTTTGTGGAATTTGCAAGTGGAGATTTCAAGCGATTTGACGCCAATCTTAGACATGGAAATGTCTTCATATTAAAAGTACACAGAGTCATTCGTAGAAACTAGTTTGTGATGTGTGCCTTCAACTCACAGAGTTTAACCTTTCTTTTCATAGAGCAGTTTGGAAACACTCTATTTGTAAAGTCTGCAAGTGGATATTTGGACCTGTTTGAGGCCTTCGTTGGAAACGGGATTTCTTCATACAACGCTAGACAGAAGAATTCTCAGTAACTTCTTTGTGCTGTGTGTATTCAACTCACAGAGTTGAACCTTTCTTTAGAGGGAGCAGAGGTGAAACAGTCTTTTTGTGGAATTTGCTAGTGTAGATTTCAAACGCTTCGAAGTCAGTGATAGAAAAGGATATATCTTCGTATTAAAAGTAGACAAAATCATTCTCAGAAAACTCTTTGTGATGTGTGTGTTCAACTCACAGAGTTTAACCTTTCTTTAATCGAGCAGTTTGGAAATACACTCTTTGTAAGTCTGCAGGTGGATATTTGGCCCTCTTTGAGCCCTTGGTTGGAAACGGGATTTCCTCTTATAATGCTAGACAGAAGAATTCTCAGTCACTTCTTTGTGTTGTGTGTATTCAAGTCACAGAGTTGAACCTTCCTTTAGACAGAGCAGTTTTGAAAAATTCTTTCTGTGGAGTTTGCAAGTGGAGATTTCAAGCGATTTGAGCCTAATCTTTGAAATGGAAATATCTTCGTGTAAAAACTACACAGAATCATTCTCAGAAACTGCTTTGTCATCTGTGCGTTCAGTTCACAGAGTTTCACCTTTCTCTTCATAGAGCAGTTTGGAAAGACTCTGTCTGTAAAGTCTGCAAGTGATTAGTTAGACCCCTTTGAGGCCTTCGTTGGAAGCGGGATTTCTCATTTACTGCTAGACAGAAGAATTCTCAGAAAATCCTTTGTGTTGTGTGTATTCAACTCACAGAGTGGAACCTTCCTTTATTCAGAGCAGTTTTGAAACACTCTTTTTGTGGAATTTGCAAGTGGAGATTTCAAGCGATTTGACGCCAATCTTAGACATGGAAATATCTTCATATTAAAAGTACACAGAGTCATTCGTAGAAACTAGTGTGTGATGTGTGCCTTCAACTCACAGAGTTTAACCTTTCTTTTCATAGAGCAGTTGGGAAACACTCTATTTGTAAAGTCTGCAAGTGGATATTTGGACCTCTTTGAGGCCTTCGTTGGAAACGGGATTTCTTCATATAACGCTAGACAGAAGAATTCTCAGTAACTTCTTTGTGTTGTGTGTATTCAACTCACAGAGTTGAACCTTTCTTTAGAGGGAGCAGAGGTGAGACACTCTTTTTGTGGAATTTGCAACTGCAGATTTCAAGCGATTCTTGGCCTATGGCAGAAAAGGAAATATCTTCGTATAAAAACTACACAGAGTCATTCTCAACAACTACTTTGTGATGTGTGCGTTCAACTCACAGAGTTTAACCTTTCTTTTCATAGAGCAGTTTGGAAACACTCTGTTTGTAAAGCCTGCAAGTGCTTTTTTGGACTTCATTGAGGCCTTCGTTGGAAACGGGATTTCTTCATATAATGCTAGACAGAAGAATTCTCAGTCACTTCTTTGTGTTGTGTGTATTCAAGTCACAGAGTTGAACCTTACTTTAGACAGAGCAGTTTTGAAAAATTCTTTCTGTGTAATTTGCAAGTGGAGATTTCAAGCGATTTGAGGCTAATCTTTGAAATGGAAATATCTTCGTGTAAAAACTACACAGAATCATTCTCAGAAACTGCTTTGTCATCTGTGCGTTCAGTTCACAGAGTTTCACCTTTCTCTTCATAGAGCAGTTTGGAAAGACTCTGTCTGTAAAGTCTGCAAGTGATTAGTTAGACCCCTTTGAGGCCTTCGTTGGAAGCGGGATTTCTCATTTACTGCTAGACAGAAGAATTCTCAGTAAATCCTTTGTGTTGTGTGTATTCAACTCACAGAGTGGAACCTTCCTTTATTCAGAGCAGTTTTGAAACACTCTTTTTGTGGAATTTGCAAGTGGAGATTTCAAGCGATTTGACGCCAATCTTAGACATGGAAATATCTTCATATTAAAAGTACACAGAGTCATTCGTAGAAACTAGTTTGTGATGTGTGCCTTCAACTCACAGAGTTTAACCTTTCTTTTCATAGAGCAGTTGGGAAACACTCTATTTGTAAAGTCTGCAAGTGGATATTTGGACCTCTTTGAGGCCTTCGTTGGAAACGGGATTTCTTCATATAACGCTAGACAGAAGAATTCTCAGTAACTTCTTTGTGTTGTGTGTATTCAACTCACAGAGTTGAACCTTTCTTTAGAGGGAGCAGAGGTGAAACACTCTTTTTGTGGAATTTGCTAGTGTAGATTTCAAACGCTTCGAAGACAGTGATAGAAAAGGATATATCTTCGTATTAAAAGTAGACAAAATCATTCTCAACAACTACTTTGTGATGTGTGCGTTCAACTCACAGAGTTTAACCTTTCTTTTCATAGAGCAGTTTGGAAACACTCTGTTTGTAAAGTCTGCAGGTGCTTATTTGGACTTCTTTGAGGCCTTCGTTGGAAACGGGATTTCTTCATATAATTCTAGACAGAAGAATTCTCAGTCACTTCTTTGTGTTGTGTGTATTCAAGTCACAGAGTTGAACCTTCCTTTACTCAGAGCAGTTTTGAAAAACTCTTTCTGTGGAATTTGCAAGTGGAGATTTCAAGCGATTTGAGGCTAATCTTTGAAATGGAAATACCTTCGTGTAAAAACTACACAGAATCATTCTCAGAAACTGCTTTGTTATGTGTGCGTTCAGCTCTCAGAGTTCCACCTTTCTTTTCATAGAGCAGTTTGGAAAGACTCTGTCTGTAAAGTCTGCAAGTGATTACTTGGACCCCTTTGAGGACTTCGTTGGAAGCGGGATTTTTTCATTTACTGCTAGACAGAAGAATTCTCAGTAAATCCTTTGTGTTGTGTGTATTCAACTCACAGAGTGGAACCTTCCTTTATTCAGAGCAGTTTTGAAACACTCTTTTTGTGGAAATTGCAAGTGGAGATTTCAAGCGAATTCACGCCAATCTTAGACATGGAAACATCTTCGTATTAAAAGTACACAGAGTCATTCGCAGAAACTAGTTTGTGATGTGTGCCTTCAACTCACGGAGTTTAACCTTTCTTTTCATAGAGCAGTTTGGAAACACTCTATTTGTAAAGTCTGCAAGTGGATATTTGGACCTCTTTGAGGCCTTCGTTGGAAACGGGATTTCTTCATATAACGCTAGACAGAAGAATTCTCAGTAACTTCTTTGTGTTGTGTGTATTCCACTCACAGAGTTGAACCTTTCTTGAGAGAGAGCAGAGTTGAAACACTCTTTTTGTGGAATTTGCTAGTGCAGATTTCAAACGCTTCGAAGACAGTGATAGAAAAGGATATATCTTCGTATTAAAACTAGACAAAATCATTCTCAGAAAACACTTTGTGATGTGTGTGTTCAACTCACAGAGTTTAACCTTTCTTTAATCGAGCAGTTTGGAAATACACTCTTTGTAAGTCTGCAGCTGGATAATTGTCCCTCTATGAGCCCTTCGTTGGAAACGGGATTTCCTCTTATAATGCTAGACAGAAGAATTCACAGTAACTTCTTTGTGTTGTTTGTATTCAACTCACAGATTTGAACCTTCCTTTAGAGAGAGCAGATTTGAAACACTCTGTTTTTGGAATTTGCAAGTGCAGATTACAAGCGCTTCTAGGCCTATGGCAGAAAAGGAAATATCTTCGTATAAAAACTACACAGAATCATTCTCAACAACTACTTTGTGATGTGTGCGTTCAACTCACAGAGTTTAACCTTTCTTTTCATAGAGCAGTTTGGAAACACTCTGTTTGTAAAGTCTGCAGGTGCTTATTTGGACTTCTTTGAGGCCTTCGTTGGAAACGGGATTTCTTCATGTAATGCTAGACAGAAGAATTCTCAGTCACTTCTTTGTGTTGTGTGTATTCAAGTCACAGAGTTGAACCTTCCTTTACACAGAGCAGTTTTGAAAAACTCTTTCTGTGGAATTTGCAAGTGGAGATTTCAAGCGATTTGAGGCTAATCTTTGAAATGGAAATAGCTTCGTGTAAAAACCACACAGAATCATTCTCAGAAACTGCTTTGTTATGTGTGCGTTCAGCTCACAGAGTTCCACCTTTCTTTTCATAGAGCAGTTTGGAAAGACTCTGTCTGTAAAGTCTGCAAGTGATTACTTGGACCCCTTTGAGGACTTCGTTGGAAGCGGGATTTTTTCATTTACTGCTAGACAGAAGAATTCTCAGTAAATCCTTTGTGTTGTGTGTATTCAACTCACAGAGTGGAACCTTCCTCTATTCAGAGCAGTTTTGAAACATTCTTTTTGTGGAATTTGCAGGTGGAGATTTCAAGCGAATTCACGCCAATCTTAGACATGGAAACATCTTCGTATTAAAAGTACACAGAGTCATTCGCAGAAACTAGTTTGTGATGTGTGCCTTCAACTCACGGAGTTTAACCTTTCTTTTCATAGAGCAGTTTGGAAACACTCTATTTGTAAAGTCTGCAAGTGGATATTTGGACCTCTTTGAGGCCTTCGTTGGAAACGGGATTTCTTCATATAACGCTAGACAGAAGAATTCTCAGTAACTTCTTTGTGTTGTGTGTATTCCACTCACAGAGTTGAACCTTTCTTGAGAGAGAGCAGAGTTGAAACACTCTTTCTGTGGAATTTGCTAGTGCAGATTTCAAACGCTTCGAAGACAGTGATAGAAAAGGATATATCTTCGTATTAAAACTAGACAAAATCATTCTCAGAAAACACTTTGTGATGTGTGTGTTCAACTCACAGAGTTTAACCTTTCTTTAATCGAGCAGTTTGGAAATACACTCTTTGTAAGTCTGCAGCTGGATAATTGTCCCTCTATGAGCCCTTCGTTGGAAACGGGATTTCCTCATATAATGCTAGACAGAAGAATTCTCAGTAACTTCTTTGTGTTGTTTGTATTCAACTCAAAGATTTGAATCTTCCTTTAGAGAGAGCAGATTTGAAACTCTCTGGTTTTGGAATTTGCAAGTGCAGATTACAAGCGCTTCTAGGCCTATGGCAGAAAAGGAAATATCTTCGTATAAAAACTACACAGAGTCATTCGCAGAAACTAGTTTGTGATGTGTGCGTTCAACTCACAGAGTTTAACCTTTCTTTTCATAGAGCAGTTTGGAAACACTCTGTTTGTAAAGTCTGCAGGTGCTTATTTGGACTTCTTTGAGGCCTTCGTTGGAAACGGGATTTCTTCATATAATGCTAGACAGAAGAATTCTCAGTCACTTCTTTGTGTTGTGTG
This sequence comes from Homo sapiens, assembly GCF_000001405.40. Taxonomy (NCBI): domain Eukaryota; kingdom Metazoa; phylum Chordata; class Mammalia; order Primates; family Hominidae; genus Homo; species Homo sapiens. The sequence continues at coordinate 40,227,180 of NC_000010.11, forward strand.
TATTCAAGTCACAGAGTTGAACCTTCCTTTACACAGAGCAGTTTTGAAAAACTCTTTCTGTGGAATTTGCAAGTGGAGATTTCAAGCGATTTGAGGCTAATCTTTGAAATGGAAATAGCTTCGTGTAAAAACTACACAGAATCATTCTCAGAAACTGCTTTGTTATGTGTGCGTTCAGCTCACAGAGTTCCACCTTTCTTTTCATAGAGCAGTTTGGAAAGACTCTGTCTGTAAAGTCTGCAAGTGAATACTTGGACCCCTTTGAGGACTTCGTTGGAAGCGGGATTTTTTCATTTACTGCTAGACAGAAGAATTCTCAGTAAATCCTTTGTATTGTGTGTATTCAACTCACAGAGTGGAACCTTCCTTTATTCAGAGCAGTTTTGAAACACTCTTTTTGTGGAATTTGCAAGTGGAGATTTCAAGCGAATTCACGCCAATCTTAGACATGGAAACATCTTCGTATTAAAAGTACACAGAGTCATTCGTAGAAACTAGTTTGTGATGTGTGCCTTCAACTCACAGAGTTTAACCTTTCTTTTCATAGAGCAGTTTGGAAACACTCTATTTGTAAAGTCTGCAAGTGGATATTTGGACCTCTTTGAGGCCTTCGTTGGAAACGGGATTTCTTCATACAACGCTAGACAGAAGAATTCTCAGTAACTTCTTTGTGTTGTGTGTATTCAACTCACAGAGTTGAACCTTTCTTTAGAGAGAGCAGAGTTGAAACACTCTGTTTTTGGAATTTGCAACTGCAGATTTCAAGCGATTCTAGGCCTATGGCAGAAAAGGAAATATCTTCGTATAAAAACTACACAGAATCATTCTCAACAACTACTTTGTGATGTGTGCGTTCAACTCACAGAGTTTAACCTTTCTTTTCATAGAGCAGTTTGGAAACACTCTGTTTGTAAAGCCTGCAAGTGCCTTTTTGGACTTCATTGAGGCCTTCGTTGGAAACGGGATTTCTTCATATAATGCTAGACAGAAGAATTCTCAGTCACTTCTTTGTGTTGTGTGTATTCAAGTCACAGAGTTGAACCTTCCTTTAGACAGAGCAGTTTTGAAAAATTCTTTCTGTGTAATTTGCAAGTGGAGATTTCAAGCGATTTGAGGCTAATCTTTGAAATGGAAATATCTTCGTGTAAAAACTACACAGAATCATTCTCAGAAACTGCTTTGTCATCTGTGCGTTCAGTTCACAGAGTTTCACCTTTCTCTTCATAGAGCAGTTTGGAAAGACTCTGTCTGTAAAGTCTGCAAGTGATTAGTTAGACCCCTTTGAGGCCTTCGTTGGAAGCGGGATTTCTCATTTACTGCTAGACAGAAGAATTCTCAGTAAATCATTTGTGTTGCGTTTATTCAACTCACAGAGTGGAACCTTCCTTTATTCAGAGCAGTTTTGAAACACTCTTTTTGTGGAATTTGCAAGTGGAGATTTCAAGCGATTTGACGCCAATCTTAGACATGGAAATATCTTCATATTAAAAGTACACAGAATCATTCGTAGAAACTAGTTTGTGATGTGTGCCTTCAACTCACAGAGTTTAACCTTTCTTTTCATAGAGCAGTTCGGAAACACTCTATTTGTAAAGTCTGCAAGTGGATATTTGGACCTCTTTGAGGCCATCGTTGGAAAAGGGATTTCTTCATATAACGCTAGACAGAAGAATTTTCAGTAACTTCTTTGTGTTGTGTGTATTCAACTCACAGAGTTCAACTTTTCTTTAGAGAGAGCAGGGTTGAAACACTCTTTTTGTGGAATTTGCTAGTGCAGATTTCAAACGCTTCGAAGACAGTGATAGCAAAGGATATATCTTCGTATTAAAACTAGACAAAATCATTCTCAGAAAACACTTTGTGATGTGTGTGTTCAACTCACAGAGTTTAACCTTTCTTTAATCGAGCAGTTTGGAAATACACTCTTTGTAAGTCTGCAGCTGGATAATTGTCCCTCTATGAGCCCTTCGTTGGAAACGGGATTTCCTCATATAATGCTAGACAGAAGAATTCTCAGTAACTTCTTTGTGTTGTTTGTATTCAACTCACAGATTTGAACCTTCCTTTGGAGAGAGCAGATTTGAAACACTCTGTTTTTGGAATTTGCAAGTGCAGATTACAAGCGCTTCTAGGCCTATGGCAGAAAAGGAAATATCTTCGTATAAAAACTACACAGAATCATTCTCAACAACTACTTTGTGATGTGTGCGTTCAACTCACAGAGTTTAACCTTTCTTTTCATAGAGCAGTTTGGAAACACTCTGTTTGTAAAGTCTGCAGGTGCTTATTTGGACTTCTTTGAGGCCTTCGTTGGAAACGGGATTTCTTCATATAATGCTAGACAGAAGAATTCTCAGTCACTTCTTTGTGTTGTGTGTATTCAAGTCACAGAGTTGAACCTTCCTTTACACAGAGCAGTTTTGAAAAACTCTTTCTGTGGAATTTGCAAGTGGAGATTTCAAGCGATTTGAGGCTAATCTTTGAAATGGAAATAGCTTCGTGTAAAAACTACACAGAATCATTCTCAGAAACTGCTTTGTTATGTGTGCGTTCAGCTCACAGAGTTCCACCTTTCTCTTCATAGAGCAGTTTGGAAAGACTCTGTCTGTAAAGTCTGCAAGTGATTACTTGGACCCCTTTGAGGACTTCGTTGGAAGCGGGATTTTTTCATTTACTGCTAGACAGAAGAATTCTCAGTAAATCCTTTGTGTTGTGTGTATTCAACTCACAGAGTGGAACCTTCCTTTATTCAGAACACTTTTGAAACACTCTTTTTGTGGAATTTGCAGGTGGAGATTTCAAGCGAATTCACGCCAATCTTAGACATGGAAACATCTTCGTATTAAAAGTACACAGAGTCATTCGCAGAAACTAGTTTGTGATGTGTGCCTTCAACTCACGGAGTTTAACCTTTCTTTTCATAGAGCAGTTTGGAAACACTCTATTTGTAAAGTCTGCAAGTGGATATTTGGACCTCTTTGAGGCCTTCGTTGGAAACGGGATTTCTTCATATAACGCTAGACAGAAGAATTCTCAGTAACTTCTTTGTGTTGTGTGTATTCTACTCACAGAGTTGAACCTTTCTTGAGAGAGAGCAGAGTTGAAACACTCTTTCTGTGGAATTTGCTAGTGCAGATTTCAAACGCTTCGAAGACAGTGATAGAAAAGGATATATCTTCGTATTAAAACTAGACAAAATCATTCTCAGAAAACACTTTGTGATGTGTGTGTTCAACTCACAGAGTTTAACCTTTCTTTAATCGAGCAGTTTGGAAATACACTCTTTGTAAGTCTGCAGCTGGATAATTGTCCCTCTATGAGCCCTTCGTTGGAAACGGGATTTCCTCTTATAATGCTAGACAGAAGAATTCTCAGTAACTTCTTTGTGTTGTTTGTATTCAACTCACAGATTTGAACCTTCCTTTGGAGAGAGCAGATTTGAAACACTCTGTTTTTGGAATTTGCAAGTGCAGATTGCAAGCGCTTCTAGGCCTATGGCAGAAAAGGAAATATCTTCGTATAAAAACTACACAGAATCATTCTCAACAACTACTTTGTGATGTGTGCGTTCAACTCACAGAGTTTAACCTTTCTTTTCATAGAGCAGTTTGGAAACACTCTGTTTGTAAAGTCTGCAGGTGCTTATTTGGACTTCTTTGAGGCCTTCGTTGGAAACGGGATTTCTTCAGGTAATGCTAGACAGAAGAATTCTCAGTCACTTCTTTGTGTTGTGTGTATTCAAGTCACAGAGTTGAACCTTCCTTTACACAGAGCAGTTTTGAAAAACTCTTTCTGTGGAATTTGCAAGTGGAGATTTCAAGCGATTTGAGGCTAATCTTTGAAATGGAAATATCTTCGTGTAAAAACTACACAGAATCATTGTCAGAAACTGCTTTGTTATGTGTGCGTTCAGCTCACAGAGTTCCACCTTTCTTTTCATAGAGCAGTTTGGAAAGACTCTGTCTGTAATGTCTGCAAGTGATTACTTGGACCCCTTTGAGGACTTCATTGGAAGCGGGATTTTTTCATTTACTGCTAGACAGAAGAATTCTCAGTAAATCCTTCGTGTTGTGTGTATTCAACTCACAGAGTGGAACCTTCCTTTATTCAGAGCAGTTTTGAAACACTCTTTTTGTGGAATTTGCAAGTGGAGATTTCAAGCGAATTCACGCCAATCTTAGACATGGAAACATCTTCGTATTAAAAGTACACAGAGTCATTCGCAGAAACTAGTTTGTGATGTGTGCCTTCAACTCACAGAGTTTAAGCTTTCTTTTCATAGAGCAGTTTGGAAACACTCTATTTGTAAAGTCTGCAAGTGGATATTTGGAACTCTTTGAGGCCTTCGTTGGAAACGGGATTTCTTCATATAACGCTAGACAGAAGAATTCTCTGTAACTTCTTTGTGTTGTGTGTATTCCACTCACAGAGTTGAACCTTTCTTGAGAGAGAGCAGAGTTGAAACACTCTTTCTGTGGAATTTGCTAGTGCAGATTTCAAACGCTTCGAAGACAGTGATAGAAAAGGATATATCTTCGTATTAAAACTAGACAAAATCATTCTCAGAAAACACTTTGTTATGTGTGTGTTCAACTCACAGAGTTTAACCTTTCTTTAATCGAGCAGTTTGGAAATGCACTCTTTGTAAGTCTGCAGGTGGATAATTGTCCCTCTATGAGCCCTTCGTTGGAAACGGGATTTCCTCATATAATGGTAGACAGAAGAATTCTCAGTCACTTCTTTGTGTTGTGTGTATTCAAGTCACAGAGTTGAACCTTCCTTTACACAGAGCAGTTTTGAAAAACTCTTTCTGTGGAATTTGCAAGTGGAGATTTCAAGCGATTTGAGGCTAATCTTTGAAATGGAAATATCTTCGTGTAAAAACTACACAGAATCATTCTCAGAAACTGCTTTGTTATGTGTGCGTTCAGCTCACAGAGTTCCACCTTTCTTTTCATAGAGCAGTTTGGAAAGACTCTGTCTGTAAAGTCTGCAAGTGATTACTTGGACCCCTTTGAGGACTTCGTTGGAAGCGGGATTTTTTCATTTACTGCTAGACAGAAGAATTCTCAGTAAATCCTTTGTGTTGTGTGTATTCAACTCACAGAGTGGAACCTTCCTTTATTCAGAGCAGTTTTGAAACACTCTTTTTGTGGAATTTGCAAGTGGAGATTTCAAGCGAATTCACGCCAATCTTAGACATGGAAACATCTTCGTATTAAAAGTACACAGAGTCATTCGCAGAAACTAGTTTGTGATGTGTGCCTTCAACGCACGGAGTTTAACCTTTCTTTTCATAGAGCAGTTTGGAAACACTCTATTTGTAAAGTCTGCAAGTGGATATTTGGACCTCTTTGAGGCCTTCGTTGGAAACGGGATTTCTTCATATAATGCTAGACAGAAGAATTCTCAGTAACTTCTTTGTGTTGTGTGTATTCAACTCACAGAGTTGAACCTTTCTTGAGAGAGAGCAGAGTTGAAACACTCTGTTTGTGGAATTTGCTAGTGCAGATTTCAAACGCTTCGAAGACAGTGATAGAAAAGGATATATCTTCGTATTAAAAATAGACAAAATCATTCTAGGAAAACACTTTGTGATGTGTGTGTTCAACTCACAGAGTTTAACCTTTCTTTAATCGAGCAGTTTGGAAATACACTCTTTGTAAGTCTGCAGCTGGATAATTGTCCCTCTATGAGCCCTTCGTTGGAAACGGGATTTCCTCTTATAATGCTAGACAGAAGAATTCTCAGTAACTTCTTTGTGTTGTTTGTATTCAACTCACAGATTTGAACCTTCCTTTAGAGAGAGCAGATTTGAAACACTCTGTTTTTGGAATTTGCAAGTGCAGATTACAAGCGCTTCTAGGCCTATGGCAGAAAAGGAAATATCTTCGTATAAAAACTACACAGAATCATTCTCAACAACTACTTTGTGATGTGTGCGTTCAACTCACAGAGTTTAACCTTTCTTTTCATAGAGCAGTTTGGAAACACTCTGTTTGTAAAGTCTGCAGGTGCTTATTTGGACTTCTTTGAGGCCTTCGTTGGAAACGGGATTTCTTCATATAATGCTAGACAGAAGAATTCTCAGTCACTTCTTTGTGTTGTGTGTATTCAAGTCACAGAGTTGAACCTTCCTTTACACAGAGCAGTTTTGAAAAACTCTTTCTGTGGAATTTGCAAGTGGAGATTTCAAGCGATTTGAGGCTAATCTTTGAAATGGAAATAGCTTCGTGTAAAAACTACACAGAATCATTCTCAGAAACTGCTTTGTTATGTGTGCGTTCAGCTCACAGAGTTCCACCTTTCTTTTCATAGAGCAGTTTGGAAAGACTCTGTCTGTAAAGTCTGCAAGTGATTACTTGGACCCCTTTGAGGACTTCGTTGGAAGCGGGATTTTTTCATTTACTGCTAGACAGAAGAATTCTCAGTAAATCCTTTGTGTTGTGTGTATTCAACTCACAGAGTGGAACCTTCCTTTATTCAGAGCAGTTTTGAAACACTCTTTTTGTGGAATTTGCAAGTGGAGATTTCAAGCGAATTCACGCCAATCTTAGACATGGAAACATCTTCGTATTAAAAGTACACAGGTCATTCGTAGAAACTAGTTTGTGATGTGTGCCTTCAACTCACAGAGTTTAACCTTTCTTTTCATAGAGCAGTTGGGAAACACTCTATTTGTAAAGTCTGCAAGTGGATATTTGGAGCTCTTTGAGGCCTTCGTTGGAAATGGGATTTCTTCATACAACACTAGACAGAAGAATTCTCAGTAACTTCTTTGTGTTGTTTGTATTCAACTCACAGATTTGAACCTTCCTTTAGAGAGAGCAGATTTGAAACACTCTCTTTTTGGAATTTGCAAGTGCAGATTACAAGCGCTTCTAGGCCTATGGCAGAAAAGGAAATATCTTCGTATAAAAACTACACAGAATCATTCTCAACAACTACTTTGTGATGTGTGCGTTCAACTCACAGAGTTTAACCTTTCTTTTCATAGAGCAGTTTGGAAACACTCTGTTTGTAAAGTCTGCAGGTGCTTATTTGGACTTCTTTGAGGCCTTCGTTGGAAACGGGATTTCTTCATATAATGCTAGACAGAAGAATTCTCAGTCACTTCTTTGTGTTGTGTGTATTCAAGTCACAGAGTTGAACCTTCCTTTACACAGAGCAGTTTTGAAAAACTCTTTCTGTGGAATTTGCAAGTGGAGATTTCAAGCGATTTGAGGCTAATCTTTGAAATGGAAATAGCTTCGTGTAAAAACCACACAGAATCATTCTCAGAAACTGCTTTGTTATGTGTGCGTTCAGCTCACAGAGTTCCACCTTTCTTTTCATAGAGCAGTTTGGAAAGACTCTGTCTGTAAAGTCTGCAAGTGATTACTTGGACCCCTTTGAGGACTTCGTTGGAAGCGGGATTTTTTCATTTACTGCTAGACAGAAGAATTCTCAGTAAATCCTTTGTGTTGTGTGTATTCAACTCACAGAGTGGAACCTTCCTCTATTCAGAGCTGTTTTGAAACATTCTTTTTGTGGAATTTGCAGGTGGAGATTTCAAGCGAATTCACGCCAATCTTAGACATGGAAACATCTTCGTATTAAAAGTACACAGAGTCATTCGCAGAAACTAGTTTGTGATGTGTGCCTTCAACTCACGGAGTTTAACCTTTCTTTTCATAGAGCAGTTTGGAAACACTCTATCTGTAAAGTCTGCAAGTGGATATTTGGACCTCTTTGAGGCCTTCGTTGGAAACGGGATTTCTTCATATAACGCTAGACAGAAGAATTCTCAGTAACTTCTTTGTGTTGTGTGTATTCAACTCACAGAGTTGAACCTTTCTTGAGAGAGAGCAGAGTTGAAACACTCTTTCTGTGGAATTTGCTAGTGCAGATTTCAAACGCTTCGAAGACAGTGATAGAAAAGGATATATCTTCGTATTGAAACTAGACAAAATCATTCTCAGAAAACACTTTGTGATGTGTGTGTTCAACTCACAGAGTTTAACCTTTCTTTAATCGAGCAGTTTGGAAATACACTCTTTGTAAGTCTGCAGCTGGATAATTGTCCCTCTATGAGCCCTTCGTTGGAAACAGGATTTCCTCTTATAATGCTAGACAGAAGAATTCTCAGTAACTTCTTTGTGTTGTTTGTATTCAACTCACAGATTTGAACCTTCCTTTAGAGAGAGCAGATTTGAAACACTCTGTTTTTGGAATTTGCAAGTGCAGATTACAAGCGCTTCTAGGCCTATGGCAGAAAAGGAAATATCTTCGTATAAAAACTACACAGAATCATTCTCAACAACTACTTTGTGATGTGTGCGTTCAACTCACAGAGTTTAACCTTTCTTTTCATAGAGCAGTTTGGAAACACTCTGTTTGTAAAGTCTGCAGGTGCTTATTTGGACTTCTTTGAGGCCTTCGTTGGAAACGGGATTTCTTCATGTAATGCTAGACAGAAGAATTCTCAGTCACTTCTTTGTGTTGTGTGTATTCAAGTCACAGAGTTGAACCTTCCTTTACACAGAGCAGTTTTGAAAAACTCTTTCTGTGGAATTTGCAAGTGGAGATTTCAAGCGATTTGAGGCTAATCTTTGAAATGGAAATATCTTCGTGTAAAAACTACACAGAATCATTCTCAGAAACTGCTTTGTTATGTGTGCGTTCAGCTCACAGAGTTCCACCTTTCTTTTCATAGAGCAGTTTGGAAAGACTCTGTCTGTAAAGTCTGCAAGTGATTACTTGGACCCCTTTGAGGACTTCGTTGGAAGCGGGATTTTTTCATTTACTGCTAGACAGAAGAATTCTCAGTAAATCCTTTGTG